>NC_000002.12:8494848-8797878 GCF_000001405.40 Homo sapiens | reverse complement strand
TGCTCAGGAGTTCCAGGCCAGCCTGGGCAATATAGTGAGACCCTGTCTCTTTAAATGAATACATAAATAACCATGTGACTGGTGGTTGGTTCCCCAGACTAGCTACTTTCAACTGTTTTACTCAAATTGTGTAAAAAATAAAAAATTATCTAATACTGTGGTCTCCTATTTAGCGTATGTGTAATCATTTTCTATGGGGAAAATATATTTGGAATTCTGGGTTGATATGGCAGGAATTCTTAATGAATAAAGCAAAATTATAGAGTCATCCATAAGACAATCCTATGTCATCTGCTGTAGATCAGGACCGGCCAATTTCTAAATCAGTGATGGTACTTCCAGTACCCCAGGATAGAAAATTTCTGAGATACCTTCTGGTTTGCAGGTGGCTCCTTAATCCTCTTTTTTCTTTTTCTTTTGGACCTTGGTGTCAGCCAGGGTGACTACCTGTGGCTTCTGACCAGATTTTTGTCTAACTCAGTGCTGAATTGTGGTCTCTTCTTGTTTCCCTTCCTTTGGTTTTGAAAGCAATCATGAACTCTTTTGAGGTTTTCTGAAGGCATACTGCTTGTTTCAAATGGTTTCACTGAGAATTGAAGTGATGTTGGTATACATTTCTGAAAAACTCTGGACACTGGCTTACCTGGACGTTGACAGGCTGGGCTGTGGGTTGGTCGGTGGGGAGAACGGGAAGTAGCCTCTGGAGGGGAGCTGCCCCAGGTCAGTGGTAGAACCTGGGGTAGGGCAGAAGCAGCCACTGCTGCCGGCTGTAGCTTACGAGCAGCTGGGGCAGGTCCCACACCTGGCTACGTGATTTACAGTCACTTTGATACAAATGAGTGGGTGTAAAGGAAAAGCATTTTTTTGTTGTTAGCTTTTATGTTTTCTTGAGAGGGTTTTAAATATAGGCTGTTACCAGAGTCAGATATTTCTTGACATGTGCATTTGTATGACATAAACACAGGAGTCAAGCTATTAATCTGGCAAATGTTCTTATTTGTGCCCACAGGATGGTGAAACGCCACTTATAAAGGCTACCAAGATGAGAAACATTGAAGTGGTGGAGCTGCTGCTAGATAAAGGTGCTAAAGTGTCTGCTGTAGATAAGGTAAAACATCTGTGCGGAGAGAACACTGTATGGAAAGCTGTTGGTCGACTGACCTCTATATGGAGTGGATTTAATGGGGATCTGATTTTAGGTTGTGTGGGGAGAGATGACTTGCTGGGGATGTCTGTGTGGGCTTTGGATCCCACACAGTAGTGTGCTGAGGAGTGGGTGGGCTCAGTGTGCTATTAACGCAGCTGCTTCCGACTTTCCTTCTACGGCTCACAGCAGCTGTGGGGCACTGCCATTGACTACCACATCAGGAGGAGGCTCTGCCTTCATCAGGGTAGAGCTTGCTGCAGATAAACAGGAGGAAAGAATGCACAGGGGCTGGAGGAGGCCGATGCTCAGAGCAGACGGTGTTAATGTTCACTGACAGGAGTCAATGTGTTTGTTCTGCCGCGTGTCCTTGCTATAATCCTTTCAGAGGAATTTTTATATTTTCTATAATAAGTTTAGCTCTAAGTGGCTTCATACTTCATATAGATTTGATTTTTCATTTTAGTTTCTTTTTATTTTAAACAAGCTTATTTCTTTCTGTACTTTAAATTGGTTTTCCCCCAGGATAGAAGTGAACTGATGTATAAAGTAAAAAATAATATTGTAAATTTTCTCCTCTGATGAATGATATGGTTTGGGCTTTACTAATTAATAATAGATTGAAGTTTGTTTTTCTATTAGTTATAAGGCAGTTAAACAAAAACAGGGAGTCACGAGTCAATGTGTTTATGTTTCATTTTGCCATGTTACAACATTATTTTAAAACATAAAAGCACCTCCCCCCTGTCATTACCATGTTAACATGTCATATCAAAGAAAGGAAACTTTAATATTAAAAACTAGAAGACATAAAAAGTCAAAGAAGAGTTTTCAAAATGGAATATATGTAGCTTTCTAGAAAACTTCTTATAATGCCTGTTTTTCTCAATCTGCCATTGACTCATCTGACACTGGTCCCCCAATTTGCGATACAGAACCACCAGACTGTATCCTTCAAGGTTCCATATAGCCTTGTTAATTATATAATATGCTATCTTAAGTAATTGCTTTATACTCATTAATAAGTTTCCTGAAGGCCTCTGCCTTGGTATTCTTTTGTGTGTTGCTGTGCCCAGAGTCAGCACATGATACTTGTTGACAAATACACATGATAGTTGCAACAGTTGTTCATTCATGAACACATTCTTACTGAGGACGGGTAAAGTGCTATCCTGCTAGAATTTGGGATACAAACTTTTAAAAGTCTTGAACCTGGATCTTCATAGAGAATTTCATAAAAACAATTTTAAAAGTGACGATTAATGTTATTTTTACCTTGCCCGTCACTGCTCTCTGATTATTTTCAGCCTGTCAGCAAAGTATGCTAATATCCTCCCTGCATTTATAGGAATTTTGTATCTGGCAGAAATGCTGCTGCTACTGTTTTGTCTTCTCACAGGTCTGGGGATGAGAATTGGAATTGAGATGGGAAAATAAGATGAAATTGGGTTTGGATATGTTTAGTTTGAGGGCTGATAAGACATTCAGGAGCCTGTGGCCAGTAGACATTGGGAAATCTAGTACTGGAATCTGGGCAAGAAATCAAGGCTGGTGATGGAAATTTGGCAATTAGTTACTAGGATAGAGAGTTGCATGGGAGCGACTAAGATGATCGGTGTGAAGAAAGATGAAAGCTGAAGTCAAAATGGACTCTTATGCTGTGTGTCATACTGCAGTTTTTAAATTGTGCATGTTTATCCAGTCTCTTCCTATTACGACATAAGCTACTTAAGGTCAGCAACTATTTTGTCTTACATCTTTATATCCTCCAAAGTACGAAGCACAGAGCCTTACATATAGTGAGTCTGGTGCATAGTTATGCTACCACATTTTTTAGGACATGAGAGGAGAGTCTAGAAGATGAAAAGTTCAAGATAAGGTCGTGCCTTGGAAGCCACAGGAAGAATGTGTAGGTCATTTTCATTTAGTGTCCTGGAGATCAGTGTGGATGAGAACTGAGAATTTAATTTGTCAAGGTGTTTGTGAAGTAATCAATAGGAGAGCACTTTGCAGCCCGAAGAGGACTTTTGAAATTTACATGTTAGCTTTCATTAGTGTTGGATGTGAGCACTAATGTGATTGGAGATGCTAATAAGGAGAGAAGGTGGGTTGATAGGGAAAAGTGAAAGGTGAGGAGAGTGGAAAGGTGAGGAGAATGGAAGAGGAGAGGAGAGAGTCGGAGGAGGATAGGTGTACATAGAGGACTCAGGTGGAGAATGTAGAGTGATGAGATTTAAGGGTTCACTGTGGCAAATGGTTGACAAAGGTCATGGAGCTGACAAGATCACTTGTGTTAGATGGCTGTCCGCATGGATTGTAACGCTTTCTAGACAAATGAAGAAAGCTGTGAAATAGAATTTAAATTAGTTGAGGAAGGTAGTTGACATCCTTGGACAATAAATATTTGGATGATGGAGGGATACTAATGAAGTGGACCCATGGCCTAGGAGGAGCTGCAGGGAGAAAGCCTGTTGCTTCTCCTCTTTCACTGAGTTAAGAAAAGGGGAAAAGAATGACCTTCATTCTAGAGGGCTGTGGGAGAAACAGTATCTGAGCAAAGCTGGATGAGGAGCTACAGAAGGATATTATGGGGAAGATAGAGATAAAAATTCATATTATATATGTGCTTTATATGAAAAATAAGAAAAGTTCAGATTTTGTTATTTTACAGAAACATGAAAATTGTTACTGTCTGCATACTATATATAAAGATAAGAAAGTTCAAGTTTCGTACTATTATTTTACAGAAAGGAGATACTCCCTTGCATATTGCTATTCGTGGAAGGAGCCGGAAACTGGCAGAACTGCTTTTAAGAAATCCCAAAGATGGGCGATTACTTTATAGGCCCAACAAAGCAGGCGAGACTCCTTATAATATTGACTGTAGCCATCAGAAGAGTATTTTAACTCAAATATTTGGAGCCAGTAAGTATTGAGTTTTGCTCCTAACTGAGCTTTTAAATAATCAATGTTCCATTAAAGAATATGGAAAATAAGGCCAGGCATGGTGGCTCATGCCTGTAATCCCAGCACTTGAGGAGGCCGAGGTGGGAGGATTGCTTGACCCCAGGAGTTTGAGACAAGCCTGGGCAGTATAGTGAGACCTCATCTCCACAAAAAGATTAAAAAATTAGCTGAGCGTGGTGGTGTGCTTGTAGTCCTAGCTTCTTGGGAGGCTGAGGTGGGAGGATCTCTTGAGCCAGGGAGATGGAGATTGCAGTGAGCCAAGATCACACCACTGCACTGGGTCTCACTCTGTTGCCCAGGCTGGAGTACAGTGATGCAATCATAGCTCACTGCAACCTCAAATTCCTGGGCTTAAGCGATGCTCCCACCTCAGCCTCCTGAGTACTTGGAACTACAGGCCCATGCTACCACACCCAGCTGATTTTTTTTCTTTTTTTGTAGAGACGAGGTCTTGCCATGTTCCCTAGTCTGGGGCTGAGTGATCCTCCCACCTTGGCCTCCCAAAGTGCTGGGATTACAGACATGAGCCACTGTGCCTGGCCATGATTCTATTTTTTTATGACTTTTTGTATTTTAAAATATTTTTTCTTATTATAATAGTAATGTGCACTAATTACATTTCAAGAATGAAAACATGAGTATAGCAGAAAGTGAAAATTCCCCATTACCCCCTATATCCCAACTTGTAATTGTTTAAATGACCCTCCAGGCTTTTCTTTATGCTTATAAAAATGTTACATACTATGTATATAGTTTTAAAAAATAAAAATTGAGTTATAATATGTTACAAAAGCTTAAAGTGTCATATTTTAATTATTGCATAATTTTTCGTACATTGAGTTCGCTATTGGTGAATATTTAGTTTGTTTTGCTAACAACTAGTGCTGCAGTGAACACCTTTGTACGTATATCCATTGACTCTTATTTTTAGGATTTTTTTTCTTTCTTTTGAAAATATTATTAGAGATTCAGGGGGTACAATTAGGATTATTTTCTTAGGGTAAATTCCCAGAAGTAGAATTGCCAAGTCAGTGGATGCCCATAGTTTTGATAGACTTTCCAAAATGGTTGTAAAAATTTCTTCTCCCTCTGGCAGTGTAAGATACCACAATTCCCCACAAGCTTGCTAGCACTGGGTATTTCCAGCCTCTTACTCTTTGCTAATCAGATAAATAAGAAAAGAAAATCTCATTTCAATTTGTGTTTTAAAATTATTAGTGAAATTGAGATCTTGTAATATATTCATAGGCTATTGCTTCTCAGCCTTTTGGCTTAGATAATGTGTAATATGTTCATAGGCTATTTGTATTCTTGCCAGTTTCCTTTTTGTATCCTTTGCCCACTTTTTAGTTTTTAATATTTTAAAAAAATTGATGTAAGAGTCTTTCTGTGTTATGGATATTGATCCTGGGTCTATCCCATGTGCTGCATTCCTCTCCCCCGGCATACTCTTGGTTGATGGTCATGGATTTTTATTCCTCATTCAAAAGTTTTACATTTTTGTAGTTTATTCATTAGTCTTTTCCTGCAGTTCTGGCCTTAGTATTACATTGCAAAAGAAAGGCCTTTTTAAACAAAGATTTTTAAAGTTTTTCCTATATTTCCTTCTAGTACTTCTATGGTTTTACTTTTTTCTACTTAATTTTTTAATGTTTCAGAAAATTTTGTTGAGGCTATGAGGTATATAGCATTTTAATTTAATTTTTTCATGAATGATTAAACTTTCCCAACACCACTTACTAATTCATCCTTTCCTGCCTTATTTGAAATGCCACTTATGTTAATATCCTATATGAGTTCCAGAATGTTCAAATTATTGTTTTACATTTTTATTCTTCTCCAGTGGCAACTACCCTTCAGTAGTCTTTAATTTTTTTTTCTATTCTTACACATTCTTCTTTCCTTTCAATTAAAACAAAATTCTCATGGATTTTAATTAGAACTGCCTTAAAGTGATAGAATAATTTGGGAGAATTGCTGAACCTTTCTTCCTGGAATCATAAAATGTTTCTTTTTCTATTATTATCTATTATGTTCTTCAGTAACATTTTACAACTTTCTTTGTATAGGTATTACACGTACTAAATTTATTTTATATGCTTATTTGTGTTAATCATATTTTATCGATTCTAAAATGCACAATGTTCCCATAATTTAACATCTCTGAAATTGGAATGTGTCTTGTAAGTGATGGACAAGAAAGCATGATGTCACAATTTGGCAACATTTTGTTCTTTCTTAGTTATACATAAAAATGATGTATCATATAATTAATAAGTATCAAGTTCTATGAAATATGATAGTAATTTAAGAATATCTGAAACTTTTTATGAAATACGATAGTAATTTAAGAATCTCTGAATTTTAAATCAGGTAGCCTTCCAAGTCAGAATAGGCTCAGAGACTCCCTGAAACTGTCCCTACATGGGTATAAACATTTGAAATAATTTTTTTCTCTCTAATCAAGGAAACAATGAAAATAGTGTTCATTTCTAATAGTAATGCCACTGTTTAATGTAAGATATGATGTGTTTTAATTACAGGACACTTGTCTCCTACTGAAACAGACGGTGACATGCTTGGATATGATTTATATAGCAGTGCCCTGGCAGATATTCTCAGTGAGCCTACCATGCAGCCACCCATTTGTGTGGGGTTATATGCACAGTGGGGAAGTGGGAAATCTTTCTTACTCAAGAAACTAGAAGGTAAAGGGCTTGCTTGTACAAAGTCTGTATATATAAAGCAAGGTTTTCTCTGGGGATTTTTCTGAAATAAAGAGGAAGACCACTTTCTGTATAAGCATGTGTGTTATGTGGTTTACTGAGATGAACTCCCCTCTGGTTGGTCCTTCACACGGTCATTTGAGTTCTCTTTCTAAAGCAGATCCAATTGTGTGATAACCCCACATAAAACCCTTGCTGGCAAGTTTTTTTCGGGCCCTTCACAGACTTGTCAATTTGCATGGTCCCACCTGCCAGCACCACCTCTGGCATGTGCCCCAGCTTCAGTCACAGAGGACTGTTTGCTCTTGCAAGAACAGACCAGATGTGTTTCCCAGGTTGCTCCCTCTATTAGCAGCTCCTTAGTGGCCTCACTACCACCCACCCAACATGCATGCCTTTTGCTTGGCAAAAGCTTACTTATTCTTCAAGGATAGGTTTCAGTATTGCCTATAAAATTTTCCCCAAGTTTTGTACAAAGAATTACTTGTGTGGGACTCCATTGGGCTCAACATGCACCTTTAAGAACAGTATTCTCAAATGTGATTGGAGGGAGAAGGGATGAGAAGGATCACAGTGGAATGGTGGTGATATGTAGTTTGAAGATATAGGGTATAGTTTTTATTTTTGCATGTGGAAACAATATGCATATGCATAATATTTGTTGTTTGTGTTAATGCAAACCACAAAAAACAAATCTCAAGAAAATCTTGACAGATGGGAGTATATGAGAAGGGGTTTTGTACATCCTCCACGTGAAGCAGGAGAGGGTGGCGAGTCAGGCCTAGCTGTGGTCCTGGGGGTGAGATGTTCATCTTTGGCAAGAGAACACTGGGTAAAATGGTTAAGTGGCAGTATTCCATCTAGGGACCTACTAAGTGTCCAATAAATGTTTACATTGAAAATGTGAAAACTGCATATTGAGTTAAAAGTTGTATTTCTTAAACAAAACAGGAATAAGGTTTCGTATTAAATTCTCTTTCAGACGAAATGAAAACCTTCGCCGGACAACAGATTGAGCCTCTCTTTCAGTTCTCATGGCTCATAGTGTTTCTTACCCTGCTACTTTGTGGAGGGCTTGGTTTATTGTTTGCCTTCACGGTCCACCCAAATCTTGGAATAGCAGTGTCACTGAGCTTCTTGGCTCTCTTATATATATTCTTTAGTAAGTCTTTGCTTTTTATCTTTTTCAAAAATGGAGAAAACGTTAAGATTCATAGATAAAGAAAAAACATTTTCTTTATCTGTCTTTTAAAACCTGTATGTGATTTTCATAATTGGGTGAGAAAATTGATCTTTTTGCTACTCCATAAATTTTCCTAAAGGAACATTGCTCACAACTTGGCTGAAGTAGCTTATAAACTAATGTACTACTTGTTAATCTTGAAGCAAGAACCTATATTATTATACTTACTCTTTTTGTTAATTAATGATTTATATTTAAATCTTTTTCTGGGCCGGGTGCGGTGGCTCTCACGCCTGTAATCCCAGCACTTTGGGAGCCCAAGGCGGGCAGATCGTAAGGTCAGGAGATCGAGACCATCCTGGCTGACATGGTGAAACCCCGTCTCTACTAAATATACAAAAAAATTAGCCGGGCAAGATGGCGGGCGCCTGTAGTCCCAGCTACTCGGGAGGCTGAGGCAGGAGAATGGCGTGAACCTGGGAGGGGGAGGTTGCAGTGAGCCGAGATGGCGCCACTGCTCTCCAGCCTGGGCAACAGAGCGAGACTCCATCTCAAAAAAAAAAAAAAAAAAAAAATTCTTTTTCTGAAAAGAAGGCTTCAAAGCCATCATTGGTATGCTCTTGAGCATTTTGACCATGTCTGTACTTTTAATTTTATCTAAAAGCAAAATAAAAAAAATATAATATAATCCCTATTCTTGGGGGTGTCTTCAGTTGCAAGAAAGGAAATAGATTTACTGTTAGAGGAACTGATAACCAACTTCACCAGTTGCGAATAGTGATAAACCCAAGATGATTTGCATTTGAATCTGAACTGCAGTTATGTTTCTGTTTAAGGCATGTTTTAGTCAGTTTACTTTTCATTTTTCATATCTTCTGTATCTTAGGGGAGGTTAATGGAATTCTTTGAGGAGTAGTTAGGAAATAGTATGGGACCATAGGAAGCTATGTAAGCTTAGCTCTCATTACTTGATACTTGATCTTTGGAGAAAAGATCTGCTTGACTAGTGACTGCTTTGGATAACTTTTTTAAACTGTGAATTTCAGTTGTCATTTACTTTGGTGGACGAAGAGAAGGAGAGAGTTGGAATTGGGCCTGGGTCCTCAGCACTAGATTGGCAAGACATATTGGATATTTGGAACTCCTCCTTAAATTGATGTTTGTGAATCCACCTGAGTTGCCAGAGCAGACTACTAAAGCTTTACCTGTGAGGTGAGTTGTACCATTTGACAGAAGAAATCTTCAATGAGATTCAGAAAAAAATATTTTTCACTTCGGAAAGTTTATAGGAGCCGGGTGTGGTGGCTCACGCTTGTAATCCCAGCACTTTGGGAGGCCAAGGTGGGCAGATCACCTGAGGTCAGGAGTTCGAGACCAGCCTGGCCAACATGGTGAAACCCCATCTCTACTAAAAATACAAAATTAGCGGGGGCGTCATGGCGCATGCCTGTAGTCCTAGCTACTTGGAAGGATGAAGCAGGAGAATCGCTTGAACCTGGGAGGCAGAGGTTGCAGTGAGCCAGGATCGCGCCATTGCACTCCAGCCTGGGCGACAAGAACGAAACTCTGTCTCAAAAAAAAAAAAAAGTTTATAGAATATAATTTCTCAATGTATGTTCCAAAAAACATTGGAACCTTTTACATACAGAAATAAAAACATGCCCTGGTCAAATACCGTGGGAAACACTTCAGATTATATATCCCTCCTGTACGTTAAAGGATCAGAGGCACCTTTCCATAAAGAAACCTGTTTAACTTTTATTTACCAAATTTTATTTAAGCATAAACCTTTTCTCCCTGTTATGTCACCTGTTACCATCTTTTGGAACACACTTTGAAGAGAGCACTGGATGGAGGAGGGGTCCAGCCACTGGCCTTGGTCCCCAGAGAGCTTCCCGCTGGAGACCTGGCCCTTCCTTATGTGAGCGGTTAACCTGGGGAAACCCAGCTCCCCTCTCTGAGCTGTGCTTTTCTCAGCTCAGGAAATATATTCACATGTCTGTCTAAAATTATTATTCATATTAAGTAGGAAATTTATGAGAAAAAAGAAAAGATGAAAAATGTTTAAGTCCAGGAATAAAGGAAAGGTAGAGGGCTCCAGAGGACAGTGAAATGAAAAAAAAAAAAAGCTAGAAAGTTAAAAGCAAAAGAAATTCAATGGAAGTAAGCAATGTAAGAATTTAAAATGTATTAAGCCAGATGTGGTGGCTCACACCTGTAATCCCAGCACTGTGGGAGGCCAAAGTGGTCAATTGCTTGAGCTCAGGAGTTCAAAACAAGCCTGGGTAAAGGCAAAACCCCATCTCTACAAAAAATAGAAAAATTAGCTGGGTGTGGTGGTGCGTGCCTGTAGTTCTAGCTGCTTGGGAGGCTGAAGTGGGAGGACTGCTTAAGCTTCGGGGGTTGAGGGTACAGTGAGCCAAGATCACGCCACCGCACTGCAGCCTAGGTGACAAAGTGAGACCCTGCTCAAAAAAAAAAAGCATTAAAAGATGAAAATTTTTTAGTTATAAGAAAAAATAAGTGTAATTTAAGATGAAAATAAATAAGCCAAACCAGGTAAAATATTAAAACTGAGTATAAGAGAAAAATAAAGGTAAAAACTTTTAAGTAACTAGCATAGAGAATTAAGTATTAAGAAAAGGATTTAAAAGTGAAAAAGTTAAAAGGAAAACAGAATAAAATAATTGGGGGAATATTTTTACAGAAAATAAGGAAACCAGTCTAAATTAATGAGGTGGTATTTTTTTTTTTCAGTTAGAACAATTAAAGTAGCATCGTCAAGACCACACAGTATATTACAGATTGTATTCTGAGAGCAATGCTTATCTACTGGACTGAGATGAGAGTTTAATTTAGAGATGGAAGGGAGAAAGGAACTAACAGAAATAATAATGATTCAGAGACTCTGAATACAAATAATTCACTTAATTTTGAAGATCAATTGTGAAGAGAATATTTTACAACTATTTCTCAATCCCTGGTAGACGTGGAAGCTATAAATAAAATAAGCCATGCTAAAACTTGAGTTTTTAAATGGTATTACTGGGCTTGAAATTCTTTAATGACTGTAATTAATATTTTTTCAGGGTTAGAGTCTCTTTCGTTGGTGTTAGAAAACTTTCTTGTGCAACTCTTGGTGGCCACATCATGACACGTGTGTCACCTTTTAACCACTATGTCGTGAGATCTGTTGGGGTGTCTTGATACTCCACATCTAAGTTCTGGCGTAACTTTCCCCCGCCTGTCCTTAGTCAGAATTACTTTATATGGCCCTGCACATTTCACTTTTGTTACTGTTTTTTCCTAAGAAAAGTATGTAAGATTTTAGAAGTGGAAGCTACCTAATTACAAATTCTTTTCCCTCCTTGGAATTTAAAAAACAATATTTTGAAAGAGACAAAAAGAAAATAAAGGGTAAGTGATGCAAAGATGACATACATTGAAGTTATTTGTTACTTTAGATAATAAAGTAATGTTTGATTTGTTCTTTTCTTCAAGGTTTTTGTTTACAGATTACAATAGACTGTCCAGTGTAGGTGGAGAAACTTCTCTGGCTGAAATGATTGCAACCCTCTCGGATGCTTGTGAAAGAGAGTTTGGCTTTTTGGCAACCAGGCTTTTTCGAGTATTCAAGACTGAAGATACTCAGGGTAGGATTTCCTTCCTTCCTTCTTTGTGTGTAAGGGATGGGGGTGGGATAGATGTTCAGTTTATTTTCATGAAAACACACCTTGAACATTAGACTCATCAGGTATTGTGACTATAATGTTAGGATTTTCTAGATCCTTGATATGTTAATTATTAAAACCATTTGTTGCATTACAGGTAAAAAGAAATGGAAAAAAACATGTTGTCTCCCATCTTTTGTCATCTTCCTTTTTATCATTGGCTGCATTATATCTGGAATTACTCTTCTGGCTATATTTAGAGTTGACCCAAAGCATCTGACTGTAAATGCTGTCCTCATATCAATCGCATCTGTAGTGGGATTGGCCTTTGTGTTGAACTGTCGTACATGGTGGCAAGTGCTGGACTCGCTCCTGAATTCCCAAAGAAAACGCCTCCATAATGCAGCCTCCAAACTGCACAAATTGAAAAGTGAAGGATTCATGAAAGTAAGCACTCATTGGTTATTAGAAAAAATTGTAATGCGAATATGTTGCCACTGCCATGCTCATTTGGGCTTTAGGAAGTACACTCTCTAAATGTTAAAGTGTTGCATTTATTTTAGTTTAATTTGTTCATTCATTCATTCGTTCATTCAAGACTATAATTTAAGGTAGTTTTAAGTTCACGGTAAAATTTAGAGGGAAGTGCAAAGATATCCCATATACCCACTTCCCCCACACATACACAGCCTCCCCAATTGGCACGATTACCCACCAGAGCAGTACATTTGTTACAATTGATGAACTTAGGCTGACACATCATAATCACCCAGCATCCATAGTTTACAGTAGGGTTCACTCTTGGTGTGGTACATTCTGTGGGCTTGGACAAATGTATAACATGTATCCACCATTATAGTCTTATACAGAGTAGATTTATTGCCCTCAAAATCTTCTGTGCTTCACCTCTTCACACCTGTTCACCCCTCCCTCCACCCTCCTCCCTAACCCCTGGCTACCATTTCTTTTTACTATCGCCATAGTTTTGCCCTTTCCAGAATGTCATATAGTTGAATCATACATGTGTAGTCTTTTCAGATTGGCTTCTTTCACGTAGTCATATGCATTTAAGTGCCCTTCATGTCTTTTCATGACCTGCTAGCTCATTTCTTTTTAGCATGGCTAATGTGCCATTGTCTGGATATATCACAGTTCATTTATACATTTATCTACTGAAGGACATCTTTATTGCTTCCAAGTTTTGGCAAGTATGAATAAAGCTGCTATAAACTTTTGTGGACAGGCTTTTGTGTGAACATAAAGGATTTGAAAACTCCTTTGGGTAAATACCAAGGAGTGTGATTGCTAGATTGTATGATGTTTCGTTTTGTTAGAAACAACCAGACTGTTCTGAGGTGGCTATTTTGCATTCCCACCAGAAATGAATGAGGCTCCTGTTGCTCCACATCACATCCTCACCAGCATTTGGTATTATTGGTGTTCTGGATTTTGGCCATTCTGTTAGGTGTGCAGTGGTATCTTATTGTTTGAATTTGCATTTCCCTGATTACACATGTTGTGGAGCATATTTTCATGTGCTTATTTGCTATCTGTATGTCTTCTTTGGTGAATTGGCTGTGAAGGTCTTGGCTTATTTTTCAGTCAGGTTGTTCATTTTCTTATTGTTGAGTTTTAAGAGTTCTTTGTGTATTTTGGCTAATGGTCCTTTATCAGATAAGCTTTTTGCAAATATTTTGCTCCATTCTTTTGGTTGCTTTTCATTCTCTTGACAGTGTCTTTTGCAGAGCAGACATTTTTGATGAAGTCTAGCTTACTAATTCTTTCTTTCATGGATCTTGCTTTTAGTGTCCTATCTAAAAAGTTAACACCAAACCTACGGTCACCTAGATTTTATCCTCTGTCATTTTCTAGGTGTTTTATACTTTTGCATTTAGGTCTGTGAGCTATTTTGAGTTAATTTTTGTGAAGTGTGAATGTGTCTAGATTCTTTTCTTGCTTGCTTTCTTGCTTCCTTGCTTCTTTTCTTTTTTTTTTTTTGTTTCCAGTTGTTCCAGCACCATTTGTTAAAAACGCTATTTCTTGCATTGTATTGCCTTTGCCGCTTGTCAAAGATCAATTGACTATATTTGTGTAGGTCTGTTTCTGGGCTCTTTCTCTTTGTCTGTTCGTTTGCGCATACCACACTGTTTGATTACTCTAGCTCTATTTTCTTGAAGTTGGGTAGTGTCAGTCCTCCTATTTTGTTCTCCTCCTTCAATACTGTGTTGGCTATTCTGGGTCTTTTTCTCCTCATATGAACTTTTGATTCACCTTGAATAACTTGCTGGGATTTTCATTGAGATTGCGTTAAATCTTTAGGTCAAGTATTGAGTCTTCCTACCCATGAACATGGAATATCTCCTCATTTATTTAGTTCTTCCTTGATTTCTTTCAAGAGTTTTGTGGTTTTTCTCATATAGATCTTATACATATTTTGTTAGATTTATACCTATTTCGTTTTTTGCAGTGTTAATATATATAGTAATTGTGTTCTTAATTTCATGTTTGACGCTGATATATAGGAAAGTGATCAACTTTTGTATTAATCTGAAATCTTGCTATAATTGTTTGTTAGTCCCAGGAGTTTTTTTTCATTGTGGTTCTTTCGGTTTTTCTACATAGAGAGTCAAGTCATCTGTGAACTAAGACAGTTTTCTTTCTTTCTTCCCAGTCTTCATACCTTTTATTTCCTTTTTGTTTGTTTGTTTTATTGCATTAGTTAGGACTTGCAGTACTATGTTGAAAAGGAGTGGTAAGAAAAGGGACAATCTTGCCTCGTTCCTGATCTTAGTAGATGTTTTCATGTTCTCACCATTAAGTATGATGTTAACTACAGATACTCTTTATCAAGTTGAAGAAGTTCCTCTCTATTTCTAGTTTACTGAGAGTTTCTACCATAAATGGTGTTGGATTTTGTCAAATGCTTTTGCTTTATCTAATTATGCAATCATGTGATCTTTCTTCTTTAGCCTGTTTCTTTTTTTTTTTTTGAGACGGAGTTTTACTCTTGTTGCCCAGGCTGGAGTGCAGTGGTGCCATCTCAGCTCACTACAACCTCCACCTTACGGGTTCAAGTGATTCTCCTGCCTCAGCCTCCCAAGTAGGTGAGATTACAGGCATGCAACAGCATGCCCAGCTAATTTTGTATTTTTAGTAGAGACGGAGTTTCACCGTGTTGATCAGGCTGGTCTTGAACTCCTGACCTCAGGTGATCCACCCTCCCTCCTCGGCCTCCCAAAGTGCTGGGATTACAGGCATGAGCCATTGTGCCCAGCCTAGTCTGTTGAAGTGATGGATTACATTAATTGATTTTTGAATGTGGAACCGGCCCTACCTACCTGGCATAAATCTCACTTGATTGTGGTGTATAATTCTTTTTATACATTTTGCATATGATTTTCTAATATTTTGTTGAGGTTTTTTGCATCTATGCTCATGAGATATTTATTGGTTTGTAGTTTGCTTTTCTTGTCAAGACTTCGTCTGCTTTGGGTATTAGGGTGATGCTGACTTCATAGCATGAGTTAGGAAGCATTCCCTTTGCTTCTGTCTTCTGAAAGATCCTATGTAGAGTTGGTATAATTTCTTCTGTAAGTGCTTGGTAGACTTCATTAGTGAACCCTCTGGGCCTGGTGCTTTCTGTTTTGAAAAATTATTATTGATGCAATTTCTTCAATAGATATAGGCCTGTTCTTGTGAATTTTGGCAAATTATGTCTTTGAAAGAACTGGTCTGTTTATCTAAGTTATCAAATTTGTGGGCATAGAGTTGTTTGTAGTATCCCTTTATTATCCTATTTTTGTCCATGAGGTAGGTCTAAAGTGGTAGCCTCTCTTTTATTTGTTGTTTTTCTGAATTTGTGTTTCCTCTTCTTTCATCTTAGTTAGTCCAAGGCTTATTGATTGTGTTTATCTTTTGAACTAACTAGCTTTTGGTTTCATTGTTTTATTTCTGTTTTAGTTTTTATTATTTCTTTTCTTCTGATTACTTTGGATTTAATTTGCTCTTTTTCTAGTTTCCTGAGGTGGAAGCTTAGATTATTAATTTTATTTTATTTTTATTTATTTATTTTTTGAGACAGAGTCTCACTCTGTTGCCCAGGCTGTAGTGCAGTGGTGCGATCCCAGCTTGCTGCAATCTCTGCCTCCTGGGCTCAAGGGATCCTCCCACCTCAGCCTGCCGAGTAGCTGGGACCACAGGCTACACGCCACCACACCTGGCTAATTTTTGTAGATATAGGGTTTCACCATGTTCCCCACACTGGTCTCGAACTCCTGAGCTCAAGCGATCCACCCACCTTGGCCTCCCAAAGTGCTGGGATTATAGGCATGAGCCACTGCACCCAGCCAGATTACTGATTTTATATCTTTCTTCTTTACGAATATATGCATTCAGTGCTATAAATTTTCTTCTCAGCTGTTCTTTTGTTGCGTCCCACAAATTTTGATAAGTTGTGTTTCCATTTTTATTTAGTTCAAAATATTTTAAAATTTCTCTTGAGACTTTTTTCTTTGACCCATGTGTTATTTGGAAGTGTGTTTTTAAATCTCTGCATGTTTTGGGATTTTCCAATTATCGTTCTGTTTTTGACTTCTAGTTTAATTCCACTGAGGGGAAGACATTGTATGCATGATTTCTATTTTAAATTTGTTATGGCGTGTTTTATGGCTCAGAATGTGGTCCATCTTGGTGAATGCTTTATGTGAGTTTGAAAAGAATGTGTATTCTGTTTTTTTTTCTTTTTTTGGATGAAATAAGTGTAGGTGTCAGTTATAGCCAGTTGATTGATGGTGTTGTTGAGCTGAACTGCGTCCTTACTGGTTTTCTGACTGCTGCATCTGTCCTTATAGAATGGTATTGAGGTCTCAAGCTATGATAGTGGATTTATCTATTTCTTCTTGCAGTTCTGTCAGCTTTTGTCTTACATATTTTGATTCTCCTTTCTTAGATATATAAATGTTTAGGATTATTATGTCTCCTTAGAGAATCAGCTCCTTTGTTGTTATGTAATGCCCCCCTTTAATATATATATATTATATATATATAATAATTAATATAGTTACTCCCCCTCTCTTTTGATTGGTGTTGGTATAGCTTTCTCCATTCATTTACTTTTAATCTACGTGTGTCTTTTTATGTAAGGTGGGTTTCTTGTAGATAACATACAATTAGCTCTTATTTTTTGATCATCTCTGACATCTCTTTTAATTGATATCTTTAGAACACTGACGCTCAAAGGGATAATTGGTTTTGATGGATTAATATCTATCGTATTTGTTACTGTTTTCTATTTGTTGCTTGATTTTTGTTCCTATTTTTGTCTTCTACTCTTCTTTTTGTCTTTTATGCTTTTATTGAGCATTTTTTTATGATTCCATTTTCTCACCTTTCTTAGCATATCAGTTGTACTTTTTTTTAAACTGTTTTTTTTGAGTGGTTGCCCTAGGGTTTGCAATATGCATTTATAACTAATCCAAGCCCACTTTCAAGTAATACTATATCACTTCTCAGGTAGTTTATCTTATAATAGCAAAATAATCCTAATTCCTCTCTCCCGTCCCTTGTATCATTGTTGTTACTAATTTCATTTACATTTATAAGCATACATAATATGTACATTATACACACACACACACACCCCCCACCACACACACACACACACACACAGACACACACACACATATATAAGCTTACGTAATCAAGGAGTGGCCACTTCCAAAGTGTTTACATATATGTAGAACCAGAAACCAGCAGTCCTTTTATTTATTTTGAGTTCTATTCCAGATTTTTCCAGTGGAAATACATATTTGGAGTGAGAAACATCATAACAGTAGCATGTTTTTATAAAATAGACTTTTATAAGTTATTCAAAAGAGTTAGCAACTACTGTCTAATAATATAAGTTCCTCTAGAGCCCAGTAAAGATATCTGTTTTTAAAAATAGCAAATTGAACCACCAAAATAAATAATACAGGATTTTCTTTTTCAAAGTGAAAGGTCAGATGCCATCAGGGAGCCAGCAGCAGTGTAGTGCTTTGATCATTTGGATTTGCATCCAGATCTGAATCTTTTCACATTCAGAGCCTCTAATCTTGGCAAGTTAGTCACTCAACCCAGTTTGTTCTTTTTAGAACAGATATGGTAGTGTCTATCCCACAGTGTCATTCTGAGGATCAGCTGCTGTAATTTATGTGTAGTCACTTGGTAAATTGTGAAGCACTCGCTCTTATTTTAAGTGGAAGCACAACTGGCAGCAAGGACTTTGAATGTCTTCTGTTCCTATTAGATGACTTTCTATCACGCTTTCTAAGAAATATGTTTAAGCTTCTTGGATCTTCCTTCAGTGCTTTCTATACCTTCCTTTGCAATACAGGTTCTTAAATGTGAAGTGGAATTGATGGCCAGGATGGCAAAAACCATTGACAGCTTCACTCAGAATCAGACAAGGCTGGTGGTCATCATCGATGGATTAGATGCCTGTGAGCAGGACAAAGTCCTTCAGATGCTGGACACTGTACGTTTGCGCCACCTCAAAAGCCACCATTGTTATGTTGTGGCACTTGAGAGAATGTTTGACTTCACAAATATCTAAAAATAGAACGGAATTGGTTTTTGTTTGAGTAGTTCCTATTTTGTGATTTTTCTTTTGTAAAAACAACCATTCTTTATACAGAAATGTAGCAAGAATAAATGTTTAGTCACAAAGATATTTAAATAATTTTAGCTTAGTGGCACTGTGAGAAAAATGAATAGAGCATCTGTATTCATGAATGTTTCTCATGTGCATTGATTTACCTCTTTAGCAGACTGTAAATGTCTGAAAGAAGGACAATATTAATTTTCTTTGCAGGTTTTATCTATGTCAGATGACAACAAACCTAGATTGAGCTGTCAGTAAAATTTGCTTTTGTGCAGAGTAAGTTTTGATGAAAAGAAATAGTAGTTTAGAAATATTGTCACCAAAAGGTAGCACATATTTTGAAGAGATGCCTTATTCTTTTGGACAATTTAAAATGTATGTCACAACTGTACATTTCTTCTGCCACAGGTCCGAGTTCTGTTTTCAAAAGGCCCGTTCATTGCCATTTTTGCAAGTGATCCACATATTATCATAAAGGCAATTAACCAGAACCTCAATAGTGTGCTTCGGGATTCAAATATAAATGGCCATGACTACATGCGCAACATAGTCCACTTGCCTGTGTTCCTTAATAGTCGTGGACTAAGCAATGCAAGAAAATTTCTCGTAACTTCAGCAACAAATGGAGACGTTCCATGCTCAGATACTACAGGTAAAGCTCAGGCTCCTAAAGTACTTTGAGTTTGAAATAGTTTTGTAGTTTCTTTATGGCGACTCTCCTTTTTACCTTGAAAAATATTGTTGTTGTTTCACATTTCTTTAAATATCATATACAACAGAATTTTGGTGTAAGTGATGCTGTCTTGATAAATTATTTAAGGGATACAGGAAGATGCTGACAGAAGAGTTTCACAGAACAGCCTTGGGGAGATGACAAAACTTGGTAGCAAGACAGCCCTCAATAGACGGGTAAGATGCCATTGGCTTCGAGCTGTATGTTTGTATTGCTATTCAATTTAATACAAATAAAGATGATGCCACTTAAATAATACTTTGTAAATATTGCATTAAACGCTTCAAATAAACATTATCATTGAATTTCCTTTCAGCTTCATGTGTTTCAGGGAATGTCTGCACCTAGAACCCTAACAACTGTACTTCGTATAGGGGTCCCAACCTGTTCTCAGCCCAGGTGCTGCTCCTGATCCCTGGGATCTTAAAGCTTGCCAAATGATTTCATCCAGGGTTGAGAACCACTCTATTCATTCCTGGTCAGGTTGAGCTATGCCTGTTGCCACCATAGCAGTAGGGGAGAAAGGTTTGTAGTGTGAGAAAACTCCTGGCTTTGTCTTCCTGTTGGCCAGCCTTCCCTAAATGCTTGTGGGACGCTCACTCTTTTTTCTCTACCACATAGTAATTTGTGTCCTTCCCAGCCACTGGGGGTTTCTCCAAAACATTGGTTGTCCCTGACCTCCCCATCTTATTTGTATGGAACAAGGGCATGTGCTGTGTATATGTCTGTATGCATATGACAGGAAGATATTCACTTGCAGGGCAGTTGTGACAGTGCCACTCACACTCAGTGAAGTTGGGCTAGTATTGGCATTATGTTTTTTTCTGGTTTGCTACCATTAAGTTTGGATGTCTTACTTTTTAAAAAAATGTCTTCAGTGACATTTTGATTTTATGCCTCTACCCTTTACAGATATGGATGCAAAGTTAATATGATGAATGACAGTTGACAGCACTAAATTCAGAGGCGCATATAACTTACCATTTTTAATTTCTTGCCTGGCAACCTTGGGTGCCCCATGGTTGCATCCATCCTTCCCTTGCATCGGGACCTTAGACAAGAGCACACCTTGGTTGTACCTGTTCCCCCTTTTATGAGATGGAATTCCTTTAGCCCACCCACCCTGAAGAGTGCCTTTTGTTCATGTGGCGATGTGAGGATAGTTAGAGAGGCTGTCCCTTAGTTTTCACATACTTTAAAATAACCTAAACATCAGGCCAGGTGCAGTGCTCATGCTTGTAATCCTAGCACTTTGGGAGGATTAAGTGGAAGGATCACTTGAGACCAGGAGTTCAAGACCAGCCCGGGCAACATAGTGACACCCTCTACATAAAATAGAAATAAACACATTAGCTGGATGTGGTGGTGCATGCCTGTAGTCCCAGCTACTCAGAAGGCTGAGGTGGGAGGATTGCCCAAGCCCAGAACATCCAGGTTGCAGCGAGCTATGATTGCCTTACTGTACTCCAGCCTGGGTGGCAGAGAGAGACCCTGTCTAACAATAATAATAACCTAAAAATCAAAATGCTGAATCCTTAAAACCAGACAAGGGCTTATTTGCTTTATTACTTAAGGGTTTCTATAAATAGCCAGACCCCATGGAGTTTGAATATCATTCTCTTTACACAATTCTGCCTACTTATAATCTTAAAAGCATTGAGCTTCCTCTAACTGTACCACTGTAACTTAAAATGCATCTGAAGCTAAACCATAGCATTTCATGCAGTTGCTGTGAATATGACTTTACAATTGCTTTACGAAGATTCTACCTCACAGATAATAATTTATTACTGTATGATATTCCTCTTTGACTAAAACTTTGGATTTTTTTTTTGTTATAAACATTTATTAACATCTCAAAAAGCCTTAAGTTCTTAGACTGGACGCGTGGGTTCCTTCTCACTGACGACGTGCTGTTTCAGGACACTTACCGAAGAAGGCAGATGCAGAGGACCATCACTCGCCAGATGTCCTTTGATCTTACAAAACTGCTGGTTACCGAGGACTGGTTCAGTGACATCAGTCCCCAGACCATGAGAAGATTACTTAATATTGTTTCTGTGACAGGTGACTTTTGTCTCTTATTGTCTATGATAGTTAATAAGCTTTAGCATTCACAAAACCATTTAATTTCAGAAACAAAGGTATGTATTGTGTGTATATGTTTACATTGCTGAATACTGGCTTTATTTGTATTAAGTGCACTTAGTGAAGTCAGTTTTAGTTTTGACAATGAAAAGTCAACTGATATTATCAACTGTCGGCTGTATACCATTATTTTAAAACTTTATTATTTAAAAAATCTTTTGCTTCAAGTTTTTCTTTCACTATAAAGATAATTTTATTCTGATTTGTATTACTGAGTATAAGCTTATAATTTAAAATGTTGAGATTCAGATGTTATATGCTTTTTTTTTAATTTTCATATATTTTGAATAAAAAATATTGACAATAAAATTGAGGATTATTGCCCTGTGCCTGAAGTCCCTGCATGGAATTCTGCCTTGTGAATTCCTCCTTGCTCATAGCTTCAGGGCAACCACATAAATACTTGTAATTTAGTTTGTAAAATATATGTCTCTTTGCAGGGTATTGGTTGGTACTTTGTAATATTTACTAGTGTTAACTCTATTATGATAGTTATACTAGAATTGTGTTTAATATTGTTGGGGTTCATGCTGTGAACTGTATTCCAAGTGAGGTTGTATCTAATATACTTACAATATTTTTGGTACTTAAGTTCCTTTAAGTGAGTTCTCAAGCCTCACTGTATTTATGTTCAACAATGGGAATGTTTTAGTATGTTATCAACATATATGTATTCATTTATCAAATGTGTAGCGAGTGTCTGCCTTATGTCAGGTAACATTTCTGGGCATTGTGGAGATAAGCAGTGAACAAGATAAAGTCTCTGCCCTAGTAGAGAAAACCAAAAGATATAACGTCACAGAATGATGTGTGTCATGAAAACAAGACTGTAAACAGGAGATGGCCTTCCCTCTCACTCGAAAATTACTCCCATCAACACACAGATTGTTGCTCCCTTCCCAAGAAAAGCTGCTCTTGACTGTACCTCTGCCTCTAGCTACTACCCCATTTCTCAGCAAAGCTCCTCAAAAGACTTGTCTGTCCCTGTGTCTCATATTAATCTCCCTCTGTTTTCTCTAACTTATTCCAATAATCTCTTGCTCTCAGTTCAGTAAAATTGCATTTTCAAGGTCACCAATGGCTTCCATGTTATAAAATTCAGTGGCCAGGCCAGTGCTCATCTTATTTGACCCCATTAGTGGTGTTTGACAGTGTGTTGATCACTCTTCCTCTTTGAAAAATTTTCCTCCTTTGGCTTCCAGAATGCCACACCGACTGGATTTCCTCCTTTTGCGCTGGTGGTTAGCCTTCATCTCCCTTTGCCATTTAGCATTGGAATGCCCTTGGTTGCGTTTCTTGGAGTTCTCCTTTTCTATCTAGACCTGCTACCTTGGCGACCGCATTTACTCTGAAAGGCTTAAATGCCATCTATATGCCAGTGACTCTCAAATATGTATCTTCAGCCCTATAGCTCTTCAGTTGCTTGTTTGACATCTAATGGTGTCAATATATATCTGACACATAATATGTCCACAATTGAATGTTTGATTCTCTGACTCAAACTTCATCCATCCATGTCTTTCCTATCTATTAATCCAACTCTTTTCCAGTTCCTTAAGTAAGAAAATCTTGATCTTTCTTTCATATACTACCACCAATCTACTAGTAAATTCTGTAGCACTGTTTTCAGTCTATTTCCAGAAGATGAGCACTGTTCGCCATTTTCTGGCATACCACCCTCATCAGATACATTATCATGTTCTACCTTTATTAATTATGGAAATAGTCTAACTGGTCTCTACTCCTGTCTTTTTCTCTCTACAGCCTATTCTCCATACGGCAACCACAGTGATTCTTTTAAAATAGAAGCCAGTCATGTTATTCTCTGCTCAGAACTCTGTAATGTGTCCTCATTTCACTGAAAACAAAAATCTAAGTCCTTATAGTTTCCTACAAAGCCCTTTATGATCTGATTTTCTGCATCCCCTTCCTCCTTCTGACCTCATCTCCCACCATTCTCCTCCTCCATCCCTTACTGACTTCTTTGCTGTTCCTTGAAAATGTCAGATATGCTCCCATCAAAAGGCTCCTCCTGCAATTGCTATTTCTTCTGCCTGTACAGATTGTTCTTTGGATATATGCATCATGGGGTTTCTCACTTCCTTTTAAGTCTTTGCTTAAATGTCAGCTTTTCTACAAGATCTTCCCTCACCATCTCGTATAAAATGACATCTTCTTTGGTATGCTTTGCGTTACCTGTTCCCTGCTTTGTTTTACTCAACAGAAAAAATCACCTCTAATTCACTACATCATTTACTTTTTTGTTTGTTTGTTTCTTTGGTTTTTGTTTGTTTCCCCTCAGTAGAATTTAAAATCCACCTGGCAAAGGTTTTCTATCTATCTTTCTTTCCTTCTTTTTTTTTTTTTTTTTGAGACAGAGTCTCACCCTGTCTCCCAGGCTGGAGTGCAGTGGCATGATCTCGGCTCACTGCAACCTCCGCCTTCGGGGTTTAAGTGATTCTCCTGCCCCAGCCTCCCGAGTAGCTGGGATTACAGGCATGTGCCACCACGCCCGGCTAATTTTTGTATTTTTAGTAGAGATGGGGTTTCTCCATTTTGGTCAGGCTGGTCTTGAACTCCTGATCCGCCCGCCTCGGCCTCCCAAAGTGCTGGGATTACAGGCATGAGCCACTATGCCCGGCATTCTATCTGTCTTTCTTATTGTTGTTTTCTCAGTACCCAGAACAATGTCTAGGACACTGTTGTTAAATGACTAAGAGACCTGAATGAAGTGGGAACTGAGTTTTATATCTGTCTTGAGAAAAGCATCTTAACAGGAGGAAGAGCAAGTGTGAAGGCTCTGGGGTGGAATTCCAGCAACAGCTGGAGGCCAGTGTGGTTGCACTTTGGGGATCAAAAGAGAATAGTGGGAAGTATGTCAAAGAACTAGCCACTGGCTGGGCGCACCGGCTCACCCCTCTAATCTCAGCACTTTGGGAGGCTGAGGCAGGTGGATCACCTGAGCTCAGGAGTTCAAGACCAGCCTGGCCAACATGATGAAACCCCGTCTTTACGAACAATACAAAAATTAGCAGGCGTGGTGGCTCACACCTGTAATCCCAGCTACTCAGGAGGCTGGGGCAGGAGAATTGCTTGAACCCAGGAGGCAGAGTTTGCAGTGAGCTGAGATTGTGCCACTGCGCTCCAGCCTGAGTGACAGAGTGAGACTCCATCTTAAAAAAAAAAAAAAGAAAAAATCTAGCCCCTGGGTAGTTCACTTTGAGGCTTACAGGCCCCAAATCCATAGGAAGGATTTTGGATTATATTTAGACATTTTCAGACACTCTAAAGAGGACCAAATTAACATCATTTAATAGTTGATACTGAGATACACATTTTTAAAATAATGATGTTTACACATTTCAGAATAGAAAGAAAATATCTTCCTAAAGCCACATTTCAAATGTACGAATTTCTCTAATATTATTCTGACTATACAGTAGACTTTCCAATTGTTAAATCAGAGATATTTGTCTTTTATGTCTCATCAAATATAACTCTGCCTATGAAAAATTTCTAAGTAAAATTTTCATTTTATAAAAGCCCCTAACACCATTAGTTTCATTGCCTAAAAGTGCTATGTTGAAAAATAACTTACAGGTTTAAATCTGTGTGTTTAATGAAATTTTGATTTCTTTTTTTGTGATGTTTTCCATTTCATTGAGTAACATTAGTTGGAAGTGTGTAGGGAAATATATTTTATTGGAAAGGATAGAATTTGAAGGCAAAAGACTTGGGTTTGAGTCACGGGCATGTTACTTCTTAGCCTCTTGAATCCCCATTTCCCATGTATGCAAAAGTGTATGTTACCCGCCCAACACCATGCAAATAGTTGCTATTAGGAAAGTCATTCAATAGAGAGATTAATATCAGAAAAGAATTTGAGGTTTTAGTAGATAAATATTGATAAGTATTTAGTTGAGTGGTTTCCTAATTAAAAATTGTGCTGTATCAAATGTACTTTATTTCAAATTTGTTTTATTGGATTATTTTGGAAGATAAGATTAAAAAATTATCTTAGACATATTCGTTGTTCAGAATTTTCTTTTGATATTGCTTTCTTTTTAGCTAATTATAGGCTAGATATATTCTTAGGATAGAATATTTATTTTTATTCACTCATTATAGGCTAGATATATTCTTAGGATAGAATATTTACTTTTATTAACTCATGCTTTTTTTTGTTTTTTTTCGAGATAGTCTCGCTCTGTCCTCCAGGCTGGAGTGCGGTGGTGTGATCTTGGCTCACTGTAACCTCCATCTTCCAGGTTCAAGTGATTCTCCTGCCTCAGCCTCTCGAGTAGCTGGGACTGCAGGTGCCTGCCACCACGCTCGGCTAATTTTTATATTTTCAGTAGAGGCGGGGTTTCACCATGTTGGCCAGGCTGGTCTTGAACTCCTGACCTCAAATGGTCCTCCCACCTCTGCCTCCCAAAGTGCTGGGATTACAGGTGTGAGCCACCACACCTGGCCTATTCACTCATACTTTTAAAATAGTTTTCCAGTTCTCTCTGTCTACCGGTTCCTTCATGACTTTGCATGCATGCATGGTGCATTTGCTGTTCCTTTTGTCTGAATGTCCTCACTCTGCTTCCCTTGTCTCTGCCAGCCCGTGCCTTCCCACCAGACTAACTTGGGTTCATCCTTCATCGCTTAGTTCTAGTGGTTAGTTACATTCTTTTTTTTTTGTCTTTTTCTTTTTAGTAGTTATATTCTTAAGGAAATCTTCCCTTAACTGCCGCTTCTAAATTTGGTGCTCATTTTCTCTTTTCACACAGCACTGTGTGTATATCTCCAGCATAGCCATGTCTCCATCAATGCTCACATCTCACCTTCCAGGGAAGAGGAATCCAGCCATGAAAATATAATTTCTGTGTATGAGCAGATTTGCTGAGGAAGTGAGGGCCTGGTGATATAGGAAGAATTGGATTGGGGCTTATATATCTATATGTATATCTATATCTATCTATATATCTATATGTATATATCTGTTAGTAGTAGGGAAAGGAATAACTCATATTGGAACTAAAACAAATAGGTATCTTAGTCTACATACAAACAAAATAGATAATGATGAAGTAAAATTGACAATGTTTGAAAATTTAACAACAGTATCAGCAGCTCAGAATTTCTACCAAATCATGGTGAAACATGATACAATGAAACAAGGCATCCGTTCTGAAAGTTTGAGGATTGCGACTGTCTACATGTACACAAGCCTAGTGGTAGAACAGCAAATCAGAGTCCTCAGAAAATCCCAGCAATAGACAGGGTTGTTTTAAAATACGTAAATAATAAATATTAGAAACATTACAACTCAGTTGGTAGGTTACTTACATAGACCACCCTTAGTATGTGAAAATGAAAGCCTGTGGGATTGCCCATTCATCTATACTACAACGAGAATGGACTGGCATATTTGGATCTGTTTATAGTCCATCAATAGGATCTCAGCAGATGGCACTTTAGAGGATTGGGGTCCATTGTGGGTGAATGGATGTTCTGCTCAATGATCGTGGGTGGCGTTGAACTGTGTGACACAGTTCTGAAAGATGTTTGCCTGCATATACGTGGTCGAAGAAGTATATCTCACCAGTGGCAAATCAAACAACCAAAAAATTGCTTTAGAATTAAAATTGTGTTTAAGCCCTAAAAGCTTTACTTAATGCAGCTCTTTGGATTTTAGAAGCCATGGCAGTACTAGATTTGAATTTGTAGTATAAATTAAATGGTAAATTTTAGAAATTTAAAATATTTGTGAATATACTAAATGTTTTACTTAACATACTATCACACATCTATTAATTTTTAAATGCTTTTGTATTTTTTAAAAGGACGATTACTGAGAGCCAATCAGATTAGTTTCAACTGGGACAGGCTTGCTAGCTGGATCAACCTTACTGAGCAGTGGCCATACCGGACTTCATGGCTCATATTATATTTGGAAGAGACTGAAGGTATTCCAGATCAAATGACATTAAAAACCATCTACGAAAGGTACCTTTTGTGACCTCTTTGTATTTTACTTTATTTTAGGTTGAGTTAAAAAAAAAAAAAAAACGCGTATAAAGCAGACAATACAAAATAATATGTATAAAATGTATACTCCTGGATTTAATCATTCTTATTAATTCCATTATAATTTTGGAGTTGTATTAGCACAGGTATATATCCTGTCATGTAAAATCTATGACTTTATTTGGACAAACTTTTCCTTTTTCAGGTATATAAAGTTTATTTAAAATTTTAAAAAATTTTTTAGAAACAGGATCTCTCTCTGTCACCCGGGTTGGAGCACAGTGGCACAATCATAGCTCACTGTAGCCTCAAACTCCTGGACTCAAGTCATCCTCCCATCTCAGCCTCCCAAGTAGCTAGGACTGTAGGCGTGCACCAGGACTCCTGGCTCTTTCTTTTTATTTTTTTGTAGAGGCGGGGACTTGCAGTGTTGCCCAGGCTGGTCTTAAACTCCTGGGCTCAAGCATTTCTCCTGTCTTGGCCTCCCAAAGTGCTGGGATTACAGGCGTGAAACACTGTGCCCAGCCTTAGTGTATAGTTTATATACACTTCTAAGATTTCAGATAACTTTTATTTCCTTAGAGTATTGTCAGTATATGGTTTTCCTATTTTTCTAGTTCCTATTTTTTATGTACACATTTAATGTTTTCTAAGTAAATAACTGGTTTTAGAATTATAGATGTTGTTGTATTAGTCCACAGATTTGAGCTCTTCTAGGTTTTGCTGTTTAATTTATATGAAAGTAGTTTAGTGGTTTAAACCTGTGTGCTGTATCAAGTAGGTGTTCCAGTAGATGCAGTGATGTATAATTACTGTCTGCCTATTGAGAAGTGGTACTGAATTGCATCTGGTCTTTGAGGTTTTACAAATCATCTTATTGTGAGATGCATGATTCGTTTTTCTCTTGGTTCTGTAGTACAATATTTTATTGTACATACAAGGTTTTATTTCGTGAATAAACGTTTGTATTATAATACAAGTGCTGTATAATTATGAACGTTTGCTAAGCGGTTAAAACTTAAGTTTTAAAAATATTTAAGTGCCTCGTAATAATTCATACCAATATAATGAGGTTTATTTTTCGCATGTTATATTTATACATAAAGCCCTATTTAATGTAAACAGGTAATCCCTTGACACTCTCATCTATCCTCAAGATTGTTGTTGTTATCATTTGTGTGTAAATAAAAATGTGTCATAAAAAAGAATAAGCCTTCGTTTAGGAACTGTGGAGTGATGTCTTAAGAAACAGTAGTGGAAGGAATTTGTGGCTGCTTTAGATTCTTAGACCCTGTCTGAATTGGTTTAGGAGTAGTATATTACTCCAGGAATGTATTTCTAGATTTCAAGAAATTTGTAAACTTGGGCACAGGAGAACTAGTTATCTCACATGGGTCCTTGCTTAAGGAGGTCGAGTCACTTAGTGTTACTGACCTCCTTCCTTCACGTCAGGTACTTTGCTAGGTGCCTTATGTATTCTTGCACTTTGGAAAGTGCAGAGGTGTTAGGTGGGGATAGAATGAGGGATGTGAACTTTGCTTTGCCATTAAACCAACTCATTACTTTAAACTTCGGCATTTGGCAGGCTTGCCATCTATGACTGGGCTGGATTTGGGGTGATTTTGAGATGCTTTTCTTCTCTTCCTGGTGAAATAGGTATATTTAAGTCTTAAATGCCTGCAACTACTTACAAAGAATATTTCGTAGCTAGTCTAAGGAAGAGAAAAAATATAGTAAGCAATCATTGATAATTCGTATGAATTGACTTAAAATAATTATATATAATAAGGATTTGGAATGAAAAACTATAGGAAGACACTTTGATTAACATATTGGAAAGCCAGATATTAAAGTATGTGAGAATAATCTAGATGATTATGTTTCTAGTTAACTGTAGTTGAGTTCTTTGATGCTATTGCTTGTCATTTGAATAAGAGAAAGTTTTATTTACAGCCGACAAAAAGCAGCAGTATGTAATTGATATTCATTTGTTGTACTAAAGAAATATGATTTGGTAAAAACAATCAGAAAATAGTATTTTTAACGCTAGTAGTAAAATTTATTTTTTTAATGCATAAAAAGCCTCGTTTATTTTTATAGCAATTTGATGACACATCTGCTGGCTTTATTCAGGTGAAAAAGAAAATGTTGGTTCTTGGTGTTTGGTGAAATTGTTAAATTATTTTCTAAATTGTTCAACTTTTAACAAATGACATTTGATACTAACACTGGAAAGCAATTTCAGCGAATTAAATAGACCCCTCTGTAAACCACGGGAACATTAAGATGACACACTGTTCATTCAAGATGGTTTTAATTGGTACAATTATTGTAATTTTCTTGCAATTATGTGTTGAGTTGAAAGCTTTTGTCTGGATCATTTGAGAGTTTTTTTTTTTTTTAACATACATTTAGTAAGAAAGGGAGTAAAATAAAAACTAAAAATTTTTTGTCTAGTTTTTATTGCAGCATTTTAGACAACCATTGAAATATTTTAATCTAAAACTTTATTTCTGGCATTTAAAGCAGAATGATAGTGGTTTTTAAAAAAATGAATTTAAGTAGTTTTCATGAAGATAGTGCTTTAAATTTCTGTTTTGACACTGCTCAGTCAATCTTTTACCCAGGCCATGATATGGTCAGAATAAGTTTGTGATAAGGATAACAACATTCTTTATTTTGGTACTTTATTTTGATGTTTAAAGAACAGTTGAATAAGTTCTAAGGGTGCTTCAGAATAGTAGCCATTTTCCATTTCATTGAAGTAGCAATTTGCTGTACAGACAATATGGACATCTAATTTATGACTTTAATAGACCTGTTATTTTTAAATTATTCAAGTAATGTTATTTCTATACATTATTTAGGACATTCTCATAATAAAACATCATATTTTATGATAACCTCTCCTGATATTCACCCAAAGCTTTCATAAGCTTCATTTTATCACATGTAGTCATCTCATACCTCTTGTAGCTCTCACTAACCTGCTTGCTCTCTCCATCATTTTCTGGGTGATGATCAGCTCTCCTTCCCTCTCTTCCCCGCCATCATTTGGCCTGGATTATTGCACAAGCTTGTTTCTTTTGCATGTGGACTTAAGTTATGAATGTGGATAGCATGAAAAATTTAACATTAGTTAGTTTAGAGGAAGTTGTTGCTTCACCTCCTTTGTAGTACAAAGTCCATCCTTTGTACTGATAATTTTTCTCTTTAGTTTTTGAGATACTAGCAATATTTATTCCAAAAACTGTTTAATGCATGCTATTTTGGTGTTTTTTATATATAGCTTAGAATCTTCATGAAATTCTTTGTTTTTGATATATGACTTATTTGTAGGTATTGGTGTTGTCATCATTCAAAATTTATTAAATTACTATCTTTTATATAATTATTGTTTCCATCTTTATTCTCAAAACACACTTGCTTTGACCGCAGAGGTTCAATATTTTATCCATATCTTTATCTTTTTAAAGATAAAGCCTGATCTAGTTATTTGTAAAATTACAAGATAATTCCCCATATAGGAGAGGAAACTAAGCAGGTTTTTACTGAAATAAAGATTGTGTCATCTATAATAGAAATCATGTTTTATCTGGACAGAAATAAATGACATTTGTATATTTGCCAAGTTCAGTGTGAAGAGTGAGCCTGCAAACCTTGTATAAATATAGCCATAATCAGATGTAATGTTGACCATTCAATGTGCATTTCTGGCTTTGCATTATTTTTATCCATGTCTTTGTGAAAATTGGACAATTGAGATTTCTAAAGATAAAGGTGAAGGGCATAATTTTTTAGCTTATTTTGATGTATCTTTAAATCATGCCTACTTTTGTTGTGTGGAGAAAACAATGAAATGCATTAAACTGACGTGTTTGGCTTTTTTTTAGTTTACCTATTTGTGTATTTTGCTACTTATTTATTTTGTTGTTGTTACTAGATTTCCAGCAACATCCAAAGATGTGAGAGAAATTAAGGGGAGAAAGCTTAAAATTCATTCATTTATTCAGAAAACAGTTATTGGACACCTATTATGGACCAGGCACAGTTCTGAGAGCTTGGGTGTATCCATGAACAAAACCAGCAAAGATCCCTGCCCCGAGGAGCTTGCAGTCTGTCAGAGAGTGATGGGTAATAAACAACATATATAATACATAATTAGCATGTTAAAGGCAGCAAGTGTGGTGGAAAGAATAAAAGGTAGAAGAGAGTTAAGGAGATGAAGAGTAGTGCAGGTTCTGCATTAAGTAAGGGGATCAGGATTGTCCTCATGGAGAAGGGAAGAGTTGAGGAAGGGTTGAAGGAGGCAAGACAGTTTTCCAGGCAGGTATCTGAGAAAGCATTTCCAGGCAGAGGGAACAGTTCCGGGCCAGAGAGCACCTGGAATCAATGTTGAAGGAACAGCAACAAGGGAGCTGATGTGGTGAGATGGGGTGCAGTGAAGCAAGTGAGTAGGAGGTCAGGTCGGGTCACCAGTGGGGTTCATGGACCCCTTTTGGAGGACCATGGTAAGGACTTTGGCTTTTACCCTGAGTAAGATGGGGATTCGTTGCAGGGTCTTGAAAAATGTGTGGCCATTACCCTGATGCTTCAGGGCCTATTTGCTGTATCAGTGCAGCTTGGCCTGAGTTAGGGAAGCCTGTTGATTCAAGGGAGCTTGTTTTGAGACTCTCACGGTGGGAAGGGAATAGGAATGAACCTGGGTGGAAAAATTAAGGTAAATGAAAAGTTCAGAAAGTAATTGGCTATCCCACAGTAAAGATGAAATGATTAATAGAGTCGGGCATGGTGGAGTACGCCTGTAATCCCAGCTACTCGGGAGGCTGAGGTAGGAGGATCACTTGAGCCTGGGAGTTGGAGGCTGCAGCGTGCCATGACTGTGCCTGTGAATAGCTACCACACTCCAGCCTGGGTGACTAGTGAAACCTTGTCTTTTAAAGATAATAAAAGTTGGGTTATAGAAATAGCACATTGTGGCATTTTCTATGTGAGCTAGGAAGTAAATAACCTCACCTACAGTCCTGTTGCAGGGTATTGAAAGAAAATTAGTTATTCTAAACATCTGCAAGAATTTATAAGACTAATTTCCCTTTGTGTCTCCCCTGTCGCAATACTTTCTTGTTTCTTAGGATCGTTTTATTCTTTATTTTTTAATGATGGATTTATAGCCAACTTTTTGTATCATTTAAAAAACTGCCTTCCTTCCTGTTTCTTGCCATGGTCTGGCTCTCTGATATACAAACCCCTGGTTGAGAGTGAATGAAAGGTGATTTTTGTGGCATTGAAGACTGCTAGGTGTAGGAAAGATATCATGGGCAGGAGAGCAACTAATGAGTTGCTTTTAGAATAATAATGATTTTGACTTATAGATAGTATAAAGTGCAAATGATGGTCTGTGCATATCAAATTGGGCTCTAAAGACAAAAGGATATAATTGGTCAAAACCTGTATTCAGGCACCAGGTTTCTGCTGGAGTTCGCAGTGTCCTCAGCCTGGCTCCGGCTCCTTCTCCCTCTTACTGTTTACTTTTCATGTGCTCTTCTCTTTGGCCCATCCCACCTCCTTCTTCTGGTCTCATCTTAAATATTACTGCCTTAGGAAGCCTTTTGTTACCAAGCCCCCCCATCCTTCGAGGCTTTATTAGATGAGTCCTTTATGTACTAGTGTGTTCTTTCATAACACTGGCCATAGTTACCTTCTTATACATATTTGCATTGCTATTTCTTTAATATTTGTCTCCTGAATGAGACTATACACTTCATGAACTGTAACTTTCTTAAACATTGCTGAATTTTTTTGCTTCTAGACAAGTGATCAGTATTTAGGCAGTAGTGGGTATTTCTGAAAGAATAAAGAAATCTGATGATAACTTTTGGATTGAGGAAGGCATGAATTGGGGAGGTGGTAGATGAGAAGCCTCACTTTATCTTGAAGAGAATACCGTCCATCCAGATACTTCATTCTTTAGGCTTAAATATGGGTAAAATGTTTCTTTTGTTATATACCAGTATATCCCTGGGCCGGACACATAGTAGCTTCTCAGTACACATTGACTGAATGATGACTGTATATTTCACCTAACACTTGGCGGCTTCTGCCTTATGTCAGGTGATGCTAAAATCACAGCAATGTTTTTGAAGGCATTCCCTGTAACTCTGAGTTCAGCTGCATTTCTAAGGTTTCTTACATTCATAATCCATTTATGAATGCCATGGTCTGGTGGAGTTGCTCTGTGTTTTTTAAAATTTTTATTTCAATAGCTTTTGGAGTACAAGTGGTTTTTTGTTGCATGGATGAATTATTTAGTGGTGTATTCTGAGATTTAGTGCACCCATTATCCAAGTAGTGTGGATTGTACCCAATATGTAGTTTTTTTTCCCTAGCCTTCCTCCCATCCTGTCCCTTCTGAGTCTCTAAAGTCTATTATTTTATTCTGTATGCCTTTGCTTACTCATAACTTGGCTCCCACTTATAAGTAAGAACATATGGTTGTTGGTTTTCCACTCTTGTTTTACTTCACTTAGAATAATGGCCTCAAGCTCCATCCAAGTTGCTGCAAAATATGTTATTTTGTTCCTTTTAATGGCTGAGTAGTATTCCATGGTGTATATAAACCACATTTTCTTTATCCACTCATTAGTCAGTGGGTACTTAGGTTGGTTCCACATCTTTGCAATTGTGAATTGTGCTGCTATAAACATATATGTGCAAGTGTCTTTTTCATATAATGACTCTTTTCCCTTTGGGTAGATACCTAGTGATGGGCTTGCTGGATCAAATGGTGGATCTGCATTTAGCTCTTTGAGGAAATCTCCATACTGTTTTCCATAGAGGTTGTACTAATTTACATTCTGGTGGAGTTGCTTTGGATTGACTACTTCTAGACAGGTTCCTCTCACTTCAGAGTCTTCTTAGAGACTCAGTTTCTTCTTAGAGACTTGTTGTCAGAATTGTTTTTAAAAGGCCATGTACTTAGATGACTCCAGTTCTGTTGTGCTAAACATTTTAATTGTGTTCATTTATTAAACAAATATTTATAGAATTTATTATATGCAGGGCACAGTCTAATAAAAGTAGTAGCTAATATATTATGTGAGCCCTCATTCTGTCCCATGCATTGGATTAAGCACTTTACCTAGCTTATCACATTTAATGCAGGTTGCATATCCCTAATCTGAAAATCTGAAATCTGAAATGCCCCCAAATCTGAAACTGAGTGCCGACGTGATGTTCAAAGGAAATGCTCACTGGAGCATTTGGGATTTTGGATTTTTGGATTAGGGATGCTCAGCTGGTACTGCCGAAACTCCCAAATCTGAAACACTTCTAGTCCCAAGCATTTCAGATAAGGAATACTCAACCTGTACTTCTAACCCTAAGAGGCAGAGAGCAGGAGTTACCTAAGACCTCACAGCTGTAACTGCGCTTCCCCAAGTCTGTTTCTTGGGGCCAGGAGCCTGTCCTCTGTAGCTGCCAGCTAGGCAGTGGGTCTGAGATACCAGAAATATAGAACTAAATATTTTAATTTCCAGATAGATTTTAACTTTTCATTGATATATCTATGAGTATTTAGAATAACTTATTAGGGTATCAATGGGAATGTTATAGCAGATAGAAATTTTTCTGCAGTGTTGAATTTATCTTTTCTGTTGAAAAACGCGAACAACTTAGCAACATATAAAATCTCAAATAAATGCTTTATTTAGTTCTAATTGTGTCTAGTAACTGTGCTAGGTTTTGTGTGGAAAGCTTTAAAAAATCACTTCTGATATTTAGCACTTAAACATCTGGTACATCTGTTTGTTTAAGCCTTTATACCATTTCTATGTCTACTATATGGCTATAATTTTTTTTAGGTAACTTTTTCAATAGGTTTTCTTTTCTTTTCTTCTTTTTTGTTTTTCTTTGAGATGGGGTCTCGCTCTGTCGCCCAGCCTGGAGTGCAGTGGCGCGATCTCGGCTCACTGCAAGCTCCGCCTCCTGGGTTCACGCCATTCTCCTGCCTCAGCCTCCTGAGTAACTGGGACTACAGGCGCCCACCACCATGCCCGGCTAATTTTTTTTGTATTTTTAATAGAGACGGGGTTTCACTGTGTTAGCCAGGATGGTCTCGATCTCCTGACCTCGTGATCTACCCGCCTCAGCCTCCCAAAGTGCTGGGATTACAGGCATGAGCCACCGTGCCCAGCCAATAGGTTTTCTTTTACTTTTGATTTTGAATGTATTTTCTCAGACTTTACTCTCATAATGCCATTTTCAGTGTTTAATGCAAACGTAGAATGAAGAAAAAATATTAAGTGTTCCAAAGTCATGTGTTTCTAACGTCAACATGAAAAACTCAGGTATATTAACCCAGATCTTCATTATCCAAAACCCTTATTGTACGAGTTATCTTAAAAGATTTAACATTGAAAAAGTATATAGAACATTCCAAAGTTCTACAGTGTTTGGAATTGTTGGAAACTAATACCAAAGACAATTTCTTGAAATATATGTTTTAATATGTAAGAAATACATGTTTAATATGTAAAAAAAATTATTACTTGTGCAGGTTTACAGTTTATTTTATAATATAGTAAGAGCATTATGTATAGTTATATTTTTCAAACAAGTCTGATTATTAAAGAATTCAATTTACCAAAAAAATTACATATGCCTTGACAGATCAAGTAGCCAACTTTTTCCAGAAGTTGATTTTTCCAGTAAAGGTTTGTGATTTCAGAATTTCAAATCAAAATATTTAAAGACTTTTTAAAATACAAGAATAAACAAAAGTGATTTGTAACAAAAATGCTAGCTAATTCAAATGCTAAGAAAATGTCTAGCTGCTGGTGTAAAACCATGCTGCAGAAGTGGCTCCTGTTAGCAATATTCAAAAAGTCCACAAGATGGGAGCATTTCACTACAAACATTATTAGCATGTTTGGCCAAAAATAAGATGTAATACATTTTGCTTTCCCCTTCCATAGAAAAACAAGTCAGAATTTAATGAAAGGTTGAATTTCCTTTTTTGTTGTTGTTAAAAAAAAAAATGGCTTCAGGACATTTTTCAGCACTGAGAATCACGATCCTAGGCAAATGAATGGGTATCTATTCATATGACATAGTTTTTAAGTGTTGTACTACTTTTGTCTCCTCAAATTAGTTTAAATTAACTTTTGGGAAAATAGTGGCTATGAAAAAAGAGGAGCATAAAGAAATCGATCTGCTTACAAATTTGCATTTAGATATAAAAATATTAAATCCTAAACATTGTAGAACTTCAGTTCTATACTTTTTAAACATTAAATCTTTTAAGAGAACTTGCATAATAAAGATTTTGCCTTAATCTGAAACATATTCATAGATCTACTTTGAGTTCAGAGCCTCCTTTCTCTATGCCTGTCATTCAGTTTTATTATCAAACATTTGCGTTCTATATATGATTAATGTAATACACTTTTAGATTTCTTAAAGACGACAATTGCATGGACAATTCATCACTTGGTAGCAACTTATGATATTGCTAGTGATGCCTAAAACAGCTATGAAAATTTGATCTCATGTACTTTTGTCGGAACATTTTAAAATATCAAGTATAAACTCTTGATGCCAAAAAGCAGGCTTTGCTTTTTAATGATAGACACTATTTTCACATGGAGTCAGTTATGAATTATTTTGCCTCTCTTACCACTTTACTAAAGTCTTCTCTCATTACCCTAGCTGAAAGTATTGCTTTGTCACCTGAATTACTAATATCTGATTACTTGCATGGTTGTAACTGGGTAAATATCATGCAGTAATACACTATTTTTTAGACTTGTACTCCCAGTGGAAGCCTGTCTCCAGATCTTATGCAAAAGTCCAATAAATGAAGCAGAATTAATACAAGTTTATTGATTCAAATTATAACATTTCCTAACAAATTCAGTTAGTGAGAAAAATGAGCTATTCTGAAGAATATTAAAATTGGAGAATTGTGGACAACTGTTACAATCCTAAATTGGTTTAAACATTTATTTATTTCTCTAATTAGTTTTGGGACTGTAACATTAAGAAAGTCCTAAATCATGAGTAGACAGAAATGTTACCGGTGTTTAAACTTTCTTTGTGATGACAGGATGTTTTCATTTAATCTGATCTAGAAACTTGAAAGATTGATTGGGAATATTGTTTTATAGGTGAATCACCAATAGTATCTTGGAGTTGTTCACATTTCTTATAATTATTTGAAGTGTTCTCTGCTTCTCTGACTAGGTGAAAGTCATGTCATGCAATTTTTAAATCATTTTTACAGTCTTTGCTCAGGCTTCTAGGCTGTTGTGTAGTGTACTGGTTTGCATAATTTTGTAAACAAAAAAGTGCTGATCTGGATTCTGAAAAAATGATGAAGGAAATTAAATATGTGCATGAAGATGGAGGAGAAGCTTTATTTCAGTCTGCAAAAAACTGAAACTAAAAGAAAAACCCAGGATGACTTATGAGCACAGCTTATTTGTTGATCTTCTTCAATTTGTTAAAATGTAATATGTAACAGCATTCTTTTCTATTATAGTTTTAAGGAGTTAAAAACGTGTAAGTCATTACCTGAGGGATTTTGAGCCATGTCTGTGGCTCCTGTTTGAACTGGTGCAGTGAGCAGTCAGCAGCTTTTGAAGCAGTCAGGAGCAGGTACCCGCTCTGCTGCTATGTCTGTGGTGGTGTTGCATCCATTGCTTACCTCTCTGAGCCTCAGTTTCCTCATGTTAAAAATGGAAATAATAAATACCTTATGGGATGCAGAGAGAGAAGTTAGATAAACTAGGTAAAGCACCTGCCTCAGAGAATGGCAGACAGTAGGTATTCAGCCACTTCGTTCTTCTTAAAATTCCCTCTCAATTCTTCATAACTTTTAAATATAGTTTCCCTGTTAGAGTTTATATAAGAAGAGGGATACAGAGCCCCTAAATGTACCTTCCTCAGAACATTCGACGTCGTAGACATGAATGAAGACAGTGCCTTACCAGTATTGTACTTGAACCTAGGCAGATACCCCTTTTGAGTTTTTATCTTTTACCCTCCCTGGTTGTTGATTGTTTTTTCATCCATCTAGTTGCCAGAATTGCAGCCTTAAAGCCAAAGAGAGTTTTTGTATATGATGACATTCTACTGAGTTTAAGGGTTTTTTTAATCCTTTAAATTACATGCGTACAAGTTTCCTTCCTTCATATAAAAACATAATCTTGGGCCCTGATGTTCTGGCCAAATAGGTCATCTTGGAGATATACACCCTCGGTGGGAAATAGTTTTTGTTTAATGTCGAGTAAACTCTTCTAGTAAGTGAAATAATAACTTTGTTTAGCTCTGCCAATGGTTTCCAGGGCAGCTTATACAAGTGCTTTTATGGTTTGCACTATTTAACCCTAATCACACCGTCCTTAAACACATAAGTCAAACACATTAGATACTTGCAAATGTCTTCTTTTAAACCAGAAATAGACAAACACACTTGAAGAAGGCATGCCATGATGATCTATTTGGCCTGCAGAATATATAAGCACTTCGTTGTTTCCTAGTGTAGTTACTCAATAAGATGCCTAAAATGCAAACTTACTTTTGTAGACCTTGAAAAGTGAGTGTCAGTGAGAACACCTGGCACTGTTCGCATTGTTGTCTTGAGAATATTCTGTGACCACCACACGAGCATAGATGCCTCTTTTCTCTTCTGGCAAGTTCTTTTCTCTGTTGAGAGTTGTTGTGTACTTAATGCAGTCTTCTGCATGTGGACAGCTTCAGCTCTTAGTACTTTTATTACTTTGGCTGTGGCAGACAAAGTGTCTACTTTCTGACCCCCTAAGCTAATGTTCTTTCCAACATGGTAGGAAAGGTGACTCATGGAATAGTTATGAAAATACTTTTACAAGAATATTAGGAATGATTAAAACTTATGGGATGCAGCAAAGGCAGTACTCAGAGGGAAATTTATGGCTGTAAATGCGTACATTAAAAAAAGAGAAAGATATTAAATTAACACCCTAACCTAACACCTCGAGGAGCTAGAAAAAGAAGAGCAAATTAAACTCCAAGCTAGCAGAAGGAAGGAAATAATAAAGGTTAGAGTGGAGAGACATAAAACAGAGAACAGAATAACAATAGAAAAAAAGCAATGAAACCAGAAGTATTTTCCTTGAAAATACCAGCAAATTGACAGATCCAGTGTGGAAGTCCAGGCTCAGAGGCAGATCCAAAGGCCAAGGTGAGCAGAGGTGCCTCGAGTTGGAGTTGCTGCTGAGACCAGGATCTGTTCCTGAGGATTGGTGAGGGTGAACAGGGCTTAATCATGGTAGATTTTTCTCAAGTATTTTTTCCAGTGTGTTTGGAACCTGGGAAGTGAGGATTTTAATTTGGGGATTACATAGACAGGAAAAACCACAATTTTATGCAGATTACAGGTTGGAAAAGTCATTACTAACATTCCTATCATCAGATTTAATGTTGAGACGGCAACTTATAAAAGCCATACAGGGCTGGGCGCAGTGGCTCACGCCTGTAATCCCAGTACTTTAGCAGGCCGATGCAGGCAGATCACCTGAGGTCAGGAGTTCGAGACCAGCCTGGCCAGCATGGTGAAACCTCGTCTCTACTAAAAATACAAAAATTAGCCAGGCGTGGTGGCTGGTGCCTGCACTCCCAGCTACTCAGGAGGCTGAGGCAGGAGAATTGCTTGATCCCAGGAGGCAGGGGTTGCAGTGAGCCGAGATTGCACCACTGCACTCCAGCCTGGGCAACAAGAGTGAAACTCCATCTTAAAAACAAAACCAACAAAGAAAACATACAGAATTCCAAGTCCAGGATTTAGGAGGACAGAGCCATACTGAAGATGTTATTATTCAAACACAGATGCTGTGGAGCAGACAGTTGTGACCGAGACCGAATTGGCATTTCCAAGTCAGTGTTAGTTGCCATGTTGATGGAGAGCTGAGAAAAGCCATTTTAATGGCATTTGCAAATAAGCAGGACATGGAACAGGCCATGACTCCCTCAGAGATGCACATTCACTTGGGTTATCTGCCTCGAAGGACTGAAAATGGCAAATATTCAAAACTTCAGCAACCAGAGGTACTGGCCTTCATGAGACAACGGAATGGGTAGTTGAAACATTAAAGAGCAAACAACAGTACAGTCACTTCTGCTCCTCTGAAATGAAGACGGCCTCACATATCCCTTTGGAAACAATCAAGTGTGCTTCTCATGACTAAAGGTTAAAGCTGTAAGACTGTTGGCATTTACTGAACTGACTGTGACATTAGTAATAAATATAAAAAATAGATATTTAGTTGAAAGGGTAATTCATCTTGATTGAGCCAATTGTGTTCTATGTTGTAGGACATGCTGCTTCCCTGCTTTCTTAATGTTAAGTACACATTCCATTTGTATGGGATTTTTATTCAAATAGTCCTATTAAAGTATGCACTTTTGTTGGGAAAAAACAAACCCTATTTTTTGAACTAATGGTTGCATCTTGTTTGTATAAACACTAGTAAATATCTTAACTCTTTTTTTTTTCCTAAAATGAATTTGCAAAGATTGGACTAAATAGAATAGACTAGGAAATAGTGTGGGTAGCATAGTCTTCATTTTCTTAATTGATCACTTTATATTAAGCTGTTTTGTTTAAAAGCTTTTGGATGTAGGCCTGACATTGAGATCATCATTTTAGTGGTTAACTTTACTGACTTATCTGCAGCTAACATCGTACTCCGTGGTGAAAGACTGAAATTATCCCTCCTAAGTTAAAAGAACAAGACAAGGATGCCTGCTGCTATGTACGAATGTTTGTGTCCTGCCAAAATTTTCGTGTTGAAGCCCAAACCCCCAGTATGATATTATTTAGAGTTGGTGCCTTTGGTAATTAGGTTTAGATGAGGTCATGAGGGTGGAATCCTCGTATGGGATTAGTGCCCTCCTAAGAAGAAACCAGAGAGCTTCTCTCTCTCTCTCTGTAGTGTCCTTGATGTCAGGACCTAGGAAGAAGATCATTTGCAAACCAAAAAGAAGGCCCTTACCAGAACCTGACCATCTGGCACTTTGATCTCTGACTTCCAGCCTCCAGAACTTCAAGAAATAAATGTCTGCTATTTAAGCCACCCAGCCTATGGTATTCTGTTATAGCAGCCTGAGTTAACTAAGATACCCACTTTCACCACTGCTATTCAACATTGCACTAGAAGCTGTAGCCATTGCAATTGGACAGGCAAAATAAATAAAAGAATCCAGATTGGATGATTCTTCTATATATAGAAAAATCCCAAAGAGCCCACAGAAAGCTATTAGAGCTAATTAATCAGCAAAGTTTGCAGGATACAGATCAACACACAAAAATCAGTTGTGTTTCTGTACACCTTCAGTGAACAGTCTGAAAGGAAATTAAGAAGGCAGTTCATTTTACAGTAGCATCTAAAAGAATAAAATATTTCAGAATAACTTTAACCAAGAAAGTTAAAGACTTGTACACTGACAACTTAAAAAAATTGCTAAAAGAATTTAAAGAAGATCTAAATAAGTGGGAAGACATCCTGTGCTCATGGGTAGGAAGACTAAATATTAGGATGTCAATACTACCTGAAGTGATCTACAGATTCAATATTATACCTATCAAAATTCCAGTAGCCTTGTTTTGCAGAAACAGGAAACTGATCCTTCAGTTCATATGCAATTGCAAGACACCTCAAATAACCAAGCAACCTTGAAAAAGAAGAACAAAGTTGGAGGACTGACACCTCTCAATTTCAGACATACTACAAAGCTACAGTAATCAAAACAATGTGTCACAGGCATGAGGATGGACATATAGAGCAATAGAATATAATTGAGAATCAAGAAAAACCCATACATCTATGTCCAGTTGGGTTTTGGCAAGGATGCCAAGTCCATTTGATGGGGGAAAGGACAGACTCTTCAACAAGTGGGGCTGGGATAACTAGATTTCCACATGCAAAAGAATGAAGTTGGACCCCTACCCCACACCATGTACAAAATTGACTCCAGATGGATCAACCTATGCTTTCCCAAGCACAAGGTTTTGTCAGTATCAGAAAGGACAATTAAGGTGAAAATTATTCTATTTTAAAGGGGTAGAGTTCTTGAGGAAGAACACCTTTGTGTGCATGTGTAGTTTATTCCTTCTACAAATATTTATTGGACAACAGTGTTGCGACAGTATTCTGTGCAGGCCACTGGAGATACAGTGGTGGAAAAAACTAAACTTGTTCCCAGTTTTAATGGAATTTCCAGTCTAGATTGGGAGATAAACATTAAGAAAGTAATTCCACTAGTGCAGAATTATGATACATATTATGCAAGAAAGTATATATGCTCTGGGGGCTTGTAATGAAGGAACATAAGTTGGTCTCCAGGATGCTCTCTGAGGAGGGGGAAATTGCACCGAGCACAAAGGATGGGTAGGAATTAACAGGGTGAAGATGGAAGGGTGTAGCCAGCTCCTGAGGTATCCAGGGCTTTTGCCTTTTCACAGATGGCAGTGGGTGTATAAATGGACTCCATTTTTTCTTTGTTTCTGACTTTTTGGCTGCAATGCCAAGTGGCTGTTTTCTGTCTGTGTGTTCTGTCTGTCTCCCAGAATCTCCAAAGTGTTCTGTTCATGGATGGTATTTAATAAATGGACATTCACTGGTAGAAAGTATTTGAGAGTCTATTAGAAGTTAAATTTGTTTCAAGGCAATAAAATTCTAAGGCATTTAAGAGTTTTCTCTGTTTAAATTTTTAAACAAATTGTGTCTTATTTTTTAACATCCTACTAAATAATGACATTATTAGGCAGCTACTTTTAGATAAAATGTGATAAATAATACTTTCTTCATAAATTCTGCTCTAAGAATCTGTTTATATTTTGATTTAAAATAGAAATCTTTTATGTAATTTAAAACCTCATTTTGAATGGAAGTGATATGAATAGTTTATGCAATTTCTGCCAAGGAATTAATATGGACTTTGTATAAACCACTGTCATTTATAATCAAAATGCTTTTAACTTACATTGATGTTGGCATTAACAAGTATTGCTAGATTGGTAGCATAGAAGGAAATTGCATTTAGACTTACTAGGAGCTCATTGATGCCTGAGGTTTTATAATGCTTTCTTTGGGCCATTTAACTGCTGGCAACTTTAATTCACATGATTCATAATGCTGGAAATTCAAATTCACTCTTAACTGAAAAGTGAAGTTACTTAAATTCTTTAAATGCTAACCTTTGGAAAAATATCTGAAAAATAAAGGCACATATGATTTTGATGGCCCACTGCCAAAAGATTATCATTTACATAAATATCTCTTTCAGCAGAAGAGTTTAATGTATTGAGCTCAGAAGGTTAGAATAGAGACTTCAATCTGGAAGCCAGCAGTAGCCTGTTGGCTTGTGAACAGCAGCATTGTTCATCATACTGAGAACACTGTTGCATTCAGGCAGAAGCAGAGCTGGCATTAAAATGCAGTTAATTTGTTTCATGTGACTTGTCAGCTGTGTGTTTTTATCTAAATCTTTCTAGCTTCTCTTTTTAGTATTTTGTGTTCAACTCCTGCAATAGATGAACTACCTATTTAACTGTTTAAGCTCTGATTTTATCACCACTTGCAACCATTCTCCAGGTTTTCCATTTCATTTTAAATATATTTAATAATCAGTTTGAACACGATTTTAATGTATTAAAAGTAACCCCATCTCAGAGGGCTTTTCTGTCTTGTGCATGTGTCTGTGTCTGTAAAACGGACTTTCTGAAGTTAATTAAGAGAAAATTGCTACCCTTATTTTCTCCCCAGCACCCTATTCTCTTCTTGTTTGCTAATTGTGTTCTCTGGGTTTTTCCCTTAGATGACTTTCAATATTTGGCTACTAGCCAAGTATTGGGTCTGAGCAGTAAAGTGCTAGTCCCAAAGAAATGATATAACTGTTACTAACATTAGAATAAGGTTCCCATTTCACTTTTTGAAGGGCGTGAAAATCTTACTGCTCCTCTGCAACTGTGCTCACTTAGTATAATCTAACAGTTAATATTCTTGTTTAATTGGAAGGATATATCCAGTGATTTTTAAACAACTTTTGGAGGTGTAATTGACATACAATAAACTGCCATATTTAAATTGACCAATCTCACGAGTTTGATAAATGTATATACCCACAAAGTCATTACCACAATCAAGAGAGTAAATGTTTCCATCAGTTCTAAAATTTTCCACGTCTTCCTTTGATACCCTCCCTTGTCTCCCTCCTGCCTCACATTCCTAACTTCACAGCAAACCTTGCTCTGCATTGATACTTTAGATTGGTTTGCATTTTCTAGTTTTATACAAATGAAAACATATTGCTATACACTCTTTATTGGTTGGATTAATTTATTGAGAGATTCATCCATGTTCTTTGTATCAGTAGTTCATTTTTTTTTTGGCTGAGTAGTATTCCGTTGTGTGGATATACCACTATTTATTTATCCTTCCATCTGTTAGTGGACATTTGATTTGTTTCTAGTTTTCTCATCTACCTCTTGTCTTTTAACTTCTCTTTCTTTTTCTTTCCTTTATCCCTCGGTGATGCGTTCTTGCTTACTGCCTTAGATCAGGAATTGTCAACATTTGACCATTTTTGACCTACAAAAACTACAGTTTCATACAGTAGTGTTTAATAAGTGTTTTTAATTGAATATTACTTATTTTTACATTCAAGAGTCTCTGCATGATACAGAATTGTTTACATATTGCTTGAACTCAGTTATACAAAACATTCTGCATAATAAAAGACTAAGTGACATATTATATTAGGAGGTATTGTGTCTGATTGGTTAAAGTATGTTTTTTCCTGTCTGTTTTTCTATCTTACGTATATACATATATAGTAAGCATATATTACTTTTACAATAGGAAACAAAACCCTTTTTAAAAAAGGAAAAACTTAGCTTTTTTTTAATCTGTGTAATTTATTTATAAGTTCTTGATTTCTTGTTTTCTTTGCAAAGGAGAAACTGTGGTATTCTATTTAAAACATGGGTTTCAGAACCAGTCAGATTTGCTTTCGTAGTTGTGTGACTTTGGGCCATCTGTTTAATTTGTCTGAGGCCACTGTCCTCATCTGTAAAGCAATAACTCAATGAATCTTCATTGAGGGGTGACCCTTAGCCAGCTTAGGTGACCCCGAGCATATGACACACCTGTGCATGTGCGTCTTTCCTTCTGTTTTCCCACCCAAGTCCTGCCATGGCCAAAGGCAGTAGAATTCTGGCCGTACTCATTGTTACCTTTTTTTGTAACCATACTACTTTTTTGAGTTTCTTTCTCTTTTATTAAAAAAAAAAATTTTTAGACTGGATGAGGTGGCTCATGCCTGTAATCCCAATAGGGAGGCCAAGGTGAATGGAATGCTTGAGCCCAGGTGTTCAAGAGCCTCCTGGGCAACATGGCGAAATCTCGTCTGTATAGAAAAATACAAAAATTAGCCAGGCATGGTGGCATGAGCCTGTAGTCTTAGCTACCCTGGAGGCTGAGGTGGGAGGAAAGCTTGAGTTGGGAGGCAGAGGTTGCAATGAGCCAAGACTGCACCACTGCACTCCAGCCTGGGTGGCAGAACAAGATTCTGTCTCAAAAAAAACCCTAAAAATTAAAAATAGATTTTTTGGCTGGGCATGATGGCTCACACCTGTAATCCCAGCACTTTGGGAGACTGAGGTGGGTGGATCAACTTAGATCAGGAGTTCGAGACCAGCCTGGCCAACATGGTGAAACCCCGTCTCTACTAATAATACAAAAATTAGCTGGGCATGGTAGTGCACACCTGTAACCTCAGCCACTAGGTAGGCTGAGGCAGGAGAATCGCTTGAACCTGGAGGCAGAGGTTGCAGTGAGCCGATGTGTAATTAGACCAAATCCATCAGACCAAGATGTGTAATTGTTGTATAAGTAACTTCAGGTGACATGCAGAATTTACCTTTCTAATAGTGACATTAATAACCTTTTTCATTGATTTCTTATTTGAAGAATATCAAAGAATATTCCAACAACTAAGGATGTTGAGCCACTTCTTGAAATTGATGGAGATATAAGAAATTTTGAAGTGTTTTTGTCTTCAAGGACCCCAGTTCTTGTGGCTCGAGATGTAAAAGTCTTTTTGCCATGCACTGTAAACCTAGATCCCAAACTACGGGAAATTATTGCAGGTGGGTATTAGTAGTAAATTTAATTTTTCATCTAAAGTTCTAAGAATTTTTCATGTTTCTAACTTATTTGTGTACATTTCTCCTGCTCTATGAAAAACCAAGAGGTATTGAACTAAGCACTACACAGAAAAATTCATGAAATTAAAGATTAGGAGTCTTGGCATCCTTTTGAGAATGTTAAGAAAAACAAAAACAAAAAAAAAAAAAAAGAAAATCCTGTTAGTATTTGTGGATCTCACTTTATTATGATCCCTGTCCCCACCCCTCCCGCCCCCACCCAAGTCCTTCCTTTGGAACTTTGGAATTGGATTTCTTTTAACATACAGTCATGACTTCATGATATCCATTCATTGTAATTTGCTTGTCACCAGTCTTTGGTTCTTAACAGGGATCTCTATCCAGAGAAGTAAGAAAATCTTTATATTACTTTTCAGATATTAACTTAAATCTGGGGACTAGAGCTTCAGGGTAGTGACATTAAGGCTTTGGAATAAATGAAGTTCTGGAGGTACCACTCTGTGCACGTGCACACACATAAAACCTTCATTGAAACAGTCTTTTGTATGACATGGCTCTGCTGACCTGCCTTTGAGTTTTCCAGGAACTGTGAGGAGATCGCCTTAAACTACTTCTGTATTCTATTTTCTAGGTACCTGTTACAAGGCTGATGTCAAAGGGTATTACATGGCTGTGGAATTTGTTGTTGTTCAGAGGTGGATGAGTCTCATAATTTGCAAACCCACAGTCTTTGCTAACATTATATGTGTTAATACCCAACAAATATGAGTTATTAATACTTGATAACGTTATGAATAAAAGTAATTGTTAGAATATCTTAAATCCTTTAAGAGTTAGAGAAGAGTCAATTGTTCCAATAACTGAAGAGAAGAATCCAGATATTGGTGACTTCGAATGGTGAAAATGCTTTTTTGCAAAGTAGCTGGGCATTTCTCACTAAAAGGCCTGTGAGTTTTCAAGATTTTCTGTCTTCTTTTTTAATCTAGTTGGAATCCGTGGCAAGAGTGATAAAGTCATGTTTCTGCCTAGTAACTAAAGAAGAATGTGATAATTGGACTGATTCCTAATGTCCTGTTTTCTCTTGCCTTCTGGGGTCTGATTGAATCTTTCAGATGTTCGTGCTGCCAGAGAGCAGATCAGTATTGGAGGACTGGCGTACCCCCCGCTCCCTCTACATGAGGGTCCTCCTAGGGCGCCATCAGGGTACAGCCAGCCCCCATCCGTGTGCTCTTCCACGTCCTTCAATGGGCCCTTCGCAGGTGGAGTGGTGTCACCACAGCCTCACAGCAGCTATTACAGCGGCATGACGGGCCCTCAGCATCCCTTCTACAACAGGGTAAGGAAGTTGGAGGCAGCTTTATTTTTAAGAATTTGTTACAGGGAAACCTCAGTTTTCTGCTTGTGGATTCTGTTTTGGTTTTAAAGCTGTACTTTGGCTTTAGCATAGGAAAAATGTAAAGTTTGAATGTAAAATATAGGACTTTTTGGAAATCAAAATAATTTAGAATTTTAATGTGTTCTAGGTCTCAAGAGAGTCTGAATATTAGATTTTTTTTTCTTTTATTTAGTTTCTTGATAAGTAAATGGACTCCACAGGGTCAGCAGTGACTGTCCTAGCTTCAAAGGAATCTGTTTTTTGTTTGTTTATAAACAAATGTTCTATTTGTTATATCTTGTATAATAGTTTATATTGGCATTTAAAACAATGATAAACTTAAATTCCTATAGTAGTTTAGTAAACCTATACTTAATATACCTTTGTCTTTTAAATGTGAGATAATAATGGGAAAGTACTGCTGTGGAACTCAGATGTTTTTCCAAATAATAGCACTGTAGCCCATTTTTAGAGTCTTATGTCAAGTTATCTTCAGTCATCTACAATTTTTTAGTTAATATAAATAGGATAATTTCCCAGATGAAAAGATGAAATGCAACTAATTATCAGTGGTATTCAGGCCCTGTCAAGTTTAGTAGGCCCAAGCTATATTCTCACTTTAATGACCTCAAACACTAATATTTCCTGTAGGAAAATGGAGCATGAACCTGGGGTTACACTTTCTGGAACTGTTCTCTTAAGGTGCATTGCAATTTCTTATTTTTGCTATCTCCCTCTTTAGTCTAATTCGAGAAAACATAGGACCTAGTTAGTCATAGAAGCCTAGTGCCTAAACTGCCTGTGTAAATACATCTCATATGAGCTGGGAAGAAAGAGAATTTAGGATAAATGTGACAAAGAAAGGATTCTAGAATTTAAACTTTCAGTTTTTGAAAAATGGTGGCCATATAAGTAATTAGGTACTGTTTAAAGAGTCCCGAGAAATGTTACTCCGTTTTTCTATTTGGACAAGGAGACAAAGGTGGAATAATAGCATTTTATCATGTATTCCATCTTTTAAAATTTAACTGTGTGGTAGGCAGTGTGAAATGCAGGTTTTTATTTACCAGTCTTAAAATCTGCTGTGTAAGTTTGCATAAAATAGCTCCGTTGATACCAACTGAAAATTTGAAACTGAGAAGCTTATTTTAAAAAATGAAAGATTACCTTACCATCTAGCCTGAAATACTATGTTCACTAATTTCATGAATAACAATAATGTAATCATGCTTTTTAATAGTATTTTATCATTTTTAAAAACATTTACAGTTTTCTCTTGTTTTTAAATCTAGCTACTTTTTGCTGTAGTTATTTGAGATTTTTTAGTGTTAAAAGCAGAATAATTCCTCTAAGCTGGCAGGAGTAAAAAGGGTGGGGAAGGTTTCACCTCAGTGTAACAAAACCTTATGAACTGCAGTCTTTATGTTTAGCCTGTATAATTTGATATCTTCTGTTTATATGAAGCTGGTTACAAATGTATGCCATTGTTATAAATCTCACATAAACAGTGGATTCCCCACGTTTTTTAAAAAAAATATGCTTGCTTATTTAGGTTATAAACTCTAGGGTGTAAACTAGAGGTGAACTCCAGGAACTTGTAATAACATTATTCTTGGAATTTGTGCCAGGGTGTTTTCATATATTCCAGACTTTTTGGTCTTATTTAGGCTAATCTTTTTTTATTGGTAAGGAATAGTATTAAGATTCCAGTCTGCTTCTTTTAAAAAGATTATGAGTTAATATTGGTTAAACTGCTTAGAACCTGACAGATGGTAAGCTTGTAAACATATTAAATATAGAGAGAAACTCGTGTCAAACTGTAAAGTGCAAAACTTTAGTTGCTCATTTTTCTGAAAAAAGCTTATATGAAATGACCAATATAAAAATGTAAGTAATATTTCTTAAGTTTGAGTTTAGCATCTTATGGAATATGAGTGAGGCTTTTTTTTCTTTTGTTTTGTCATTTGCATTAAAGTTTTGGAGTTGTATCTTATTGGTTTCATTTGAAAAATCTCATTACACTTTCATTTCTGTAATTGTTTACCCCTTTTTTGTTACATGTTTTTCCATAGCCATTCTTTGCCCCATACCTTTACACGCCAAGGTATTACCCTGGCGGCTCCCAACATCTCATCTCACGTCCATCAGTAAAAACGAGTTTGCCCAGAGATCAGAACAATGGCCTAGTAAGTATATAAAAGGGTAACGCAAATATTAATTTAATAATAAACATAGATAGCATTTGAGGTTTGGTTATTTCCTTTACATAGTAAAAGAGTGCAACTGATTTTATACATAGTTTTAAGAAACAACCTATTACTAACATAAAATGTATTTATTTTCATTTCTGGTAAATATCTATGGAAGGAAAATGACTAGCAGTCTCAGCGAAGAAATGTTGACTTGTTTATAGCCAGAAATTTCTGGCTTGTAATATAGTGTTTGCTACCAAAACTTTTAAAACTAAGCCTTTACATTTGGTAATTTCTAATATCTTCTTAAAGAACATGTGTATACAGTACCTTTATAGTATGTAAATATTAGCACCATGATATAAAAAATAGAGGATGTATTGAAGGAAGAACATTTCAATCAAATGGCAGGAATTAAACAAGATAAGGGAAATTCTTCCAATGAACTATTGAATCTAAGAAAGACATTTGTGCCCAAAATATTAGAGGTTCCTGATGATAAAAGTAATAGTTTAAAAAAAGAAACTCTCTATTAATATGTTTTTATAAATCAGGAGGCAAAAACATAAACTGTTGAGTTTCAGTGTTGTATATTATTTTACCATCATGTTCATTTGTCTTCACAGTTTGGCTCCCCCCTTCCCCTTTTCACCCACACTCTCCTGTTTTGTGTTGTTAGGAAGTTATCAAGGAGGATGCTGCTGAGGGGCTTTCTTCACCCACAGACTCCTCGAGGGTAATGGAGTAGTCCTGTGGTGTGGATCGCTGGCATCTCATTGCTTCTGCCTCAGTAATGACTGTCTTAATTGTGATGATAGCAGCTCACTAACTCTGCGTTTGTGGTGTGATGAGCAGCTAGTGTAGAGTAGCTGAATGCTAATAATTATGGTTCCTGAATTAATTAAAAAGCGGATGTTTAACTTCACCCATTATTTCCTCCTGCTTTTCCCCTTTTTCAATACATGGGATGGGGTTTTTTTTTATTCTTCAATAAGGAAGGGCTTTTTCTATCAGCTGTCAGGGGTGTTCCGTTGGTAGTATTTGCTCCTCAGTGTGAGCTCTAGCTTTGCCTTTGACTGTTTTTGTTAAGCCTGTGGTTGCTATTACACATGTGGAATATTTTAGAAAAGTATCCAGTATCACCCTTGAGACTACAAAAAGACACATAAGCTAGATGGTGTAGACTAAAAATGCATCTTTAATAACTCAATCTAGGTGTCTACATTTAGTTAAGTCTTAGTCTGAGTTTTAGTGCAGTGTTATAATACTTTTCTTTGTCTATATATTTGTTAAAATAAATTTTCCAGATAAACAGAAGATCGTTCAGCATGTAAAAGAAATTATTTATTTATTTATTTATTTTTTGCCAACACCTTAAGGTAGGTTTCTTTAAAAAAAAAAAACAAAAAGAAAAAAACAAAAAATAAACAGAAAAACCTTGTAGAGGGAATCACCTCATAAATTACTATGTAAGTGGCCAGGCGCGGTGGTTCACACCTGTAATCCCAGCACTTTGGGAGGCCGAGGTGGGCGGATCACTTGAAGTCAGGAGTTCAAGACCAGCCTGGCCAACATGGTGAAACCCTATCTCTACTAAAGAAAATACGAGAATTAGCCAGGCATGGTGGTAGGCACCTGTAATCCCAGCTACTTGGGAGGCCGAGGCAGGAGAATCGCTTGAGCCTGGGAGGTGGAGGTTGCAGTGAGCCGAGATCGCACCGCTGCACTCCAGCCTCGGCAACAAGAGCGAGACTCGGTCTCAAAAAAAAAAAAAAAATTACTGTATAAGACTTCGTACTTAATAAGAAATAAGTTTGTGAGGAGCTTTAAAATCTTCATTTAGAGCCTGGGCGACAGAGCAAGACTCCGTCTCAAAAAAAAAAAAAAGAACCCAGTTTGTATTTTAACTTTGGTTGTTTTATTTACAGACTATGTTACACCCATGTAATATGGTCAGTTTAGCCTATAGCTGTGTTGAAATGTGGCATAGCAGTTAGAATTAACATGGTGAAATATTACTAAGTTTATCTGTAATTTTTAACTTAAAACTTGCATTTTAGCAGGCAATAGGTTGTTTTTCTTTTGACGGAGTTTCGCTCTTTTGCTCAGGCTGGAGTGCAGTGATGCCATCTCAGCTCACTGCAACCTCAGCCTTCTGGTTTCAAGCGATTCTCCTGCCTCAGCCTCCTGAGTAGCTGGGATTACAGGCTCCCACCACCATGCCTGGCTAATTTTTGTGTTTTTGTAGTAGCGATGGGGTTTCACCATGTTGGCCAGGCTGGTCTCGAACTCCTGACCTTGTGATCTGCCCGTCTTGGCCTCCCAAAGTGCTGGGATTACAGGTGTGAGCCACCGTGCCTGGCCAGCAGTAGCTTTTTAACTTTAATTTCCTTTGAGTTAATGTTAATAGGAGAGAAAAAGAGAACCGTTGTGGTGCTTTCGTTGAGAGGTTGATGATTATTTTAAAGTCATTTTAACATTTCAGCTGAAGTGTTTCAGTGACTTCAGTTATCCACAGTAAACCACAATAATTCTCTTCAGTGCTTACAGGATCTTTAATCCATGGGTCATCATCACTATATGCAAGAATGACCTTTAGTTTAGTCAGAGAGCCTTTAACATACACATTATTGCATGCAATTCAATTCTCTGAGCTAAAATTCCTGAGCAAAGTTTTGAAGAAAATCAGATACTGTGAAGAAGTTAATGGCCTTAATGACACAGACATGCTGACATAGTAGCTATTCCCATGCTCAAGAATGTAGACAAATACATGTCATTAAAAGGTGTCTGTAGTTTCTTTTAGGGACCAGTAAAGGAGCATTAGGCAAATTTTGAAATGAGTTTTTGGAGAAGGGGAAATCGTGTGATTCTTGAGATGTGTTTAGAAGCTCAACAAAGGTGCTCTGCATATATTAGTGACTTTGTCTAGTAGAATAACCATATCATTTGCTTTTATTTTACTATGAAAAGATCATTTTATGATTAGCATAACAAATAATAGATGCTTACTAAGCTTCCTTTGCTTTTAAGAAATTAACAACGACAATAGAATGTAAAATTTGTTTTGTCGAAGCCTAGAAAAACTAAGTAGTCACTTAGTTCAATGCCAAATTGAAAGCTGTGGTGGAAGGTAAAGAATCAGAACATGGGAACATTGCCAGAACTTTGTAGCTGGACCAACAGAGAGTACCTAGCAGAAAAGTATGTGTAGCCCATCGAGCTCTGTAGCAGAAAACTCTGTGTTTCTGGACAACGGGATTTCCCATTGGTCCCATCTCTGCTCAGTCAGCCGTCTCTATACAAAGCCTGCAGAAGAGTCAAGAACTACACAAACGTTTTTGGACAAATTGTCATGTCACAAGGTAATGTGTTAAAAAAGCCAGGCCATAAGGGGTTAACCAGCTATGGTCTTTTCAAAATAGAGATGATCCCATATATATATATATATATATATATATATATATATATATATATATTATATATATATATTTTTTTTTTTTTTTTTTTTTTTTTTGCCATGAGGAACATCTGAATCACCTTTATAAATTAGATCCTTATAAAAATCATTGAGTTTTCTCACATTAAGGAACACTGTAGTGCTTATAGCTTGTGATGTCCAGGGAGGGACTTGTCAGATAAATTATAGATATATCCAAGTGTTTCACAGAAGTGAGGTTTTATATAAATTAATAATATATAATATAAATAATATATATTATAAAATAATTATATTAATATATAACATATTTATATTATAAAATATATAATATATTAATGATATAGTAATATAAAAGATGTTAATATAAAATATATTAATATATTAATAAAACAAATCCTCACTTCTGTGAAACAGTTGGATATATCTATAAGCCTCCATGCTAGCTTTTTAAAAATAATTGTATAATAGAGAAAAAATATATGCCAAATCTTGTGAAACCAGGTTAAAAAATTAGTACTATATGCAAGACATGCTTCCCAGAATATTAGGGCTAGAAAGGAACAGTGTTTTTCAAAGTTCCAAAGCATAGAAGCTTTTAGAAATGAACTCTTAATCAAAACTCCAGTTTGTAAAACCAATAAAAGCAGAATCCTGGAACCCACATTACACATGCCTTTCCTCTTGAGGGTCCCCCAGGAGTGCTAGTCTCCACATGGCACAGATAGAATGTGTGAGACTTACCTGAGGGACACAGGAAAGGGGTGCCAGATTTGGAACTAGAATGCAGGAGACCATGGCGCTCACCACCATGCTGGTGGCTCTGCCCCGTTCGTCCTGAACACGACTTAGTCAGGTATTTGGTCTTTTGAGTTAAACAGACCCTGGTGATGAGCTCTTTGCCTTGGACAGATTACTTTACCCCTCTGATTCTCAGCTTTCTCACTGGGAAAAGCAGACCTGCCTCAGGTCTGATTCAAGGATTAGTCAGCCTTAGCATACTTTAAGTACTTCATTATTATTATTACTACTGCTACTACTGCCCAAAGGCCAGAATCCGTGGAGCCTTAAAGACGCAGAACTCAAACTGTTTTTGGTTAAATCATCTTTGTCTCAGTCATGGGAGTGGTGTACAAATACTCCAATCAGTTTAGATTCATGCAGCCTTTTTATCTGTTGATGCTTCTTAGCCCTAAAGTTGTTAATCGGTTTGTTTTCTTAGAATTTAGAGGAATTTCTAGGTTATTTGAATACTTTAGATACTTTAAAATTTTGAAAGCTTTCCAGGGATGTTTTCACTGGTGCCTTTACCTTCTTTGAGTCCAGTTCCCACTAGGAAATGGCAGCATTCACATGATTCTGTGACCCCAGTGAAGCAAAGGACCTAGTATTGAGGCCCTGTGTCTGGCCAGGTCTCCTCAGTGGCATGTTGTTCTGTCATCTCAAAGAGTTGCTCTCGAAGCTCTGTAGTTTGGCTTAATTTAAGGTATGCTGCTCCTGGTGGTAACTGTGTTTCATTGAAAAGCACATTTTCAAAGGAGCAATAAAGCATTTCTTCATCCTTTCATTTTTCCCTGAATTATTTTACATTGAGTACCACCGATGCTTGTGTGATCAGCGATTAGTTCAACGAATATTTATTGAGTGTAAGAGGCGCTATTCTAGTGGGACACAGCAGTGAAGAAAACTGATGAAAATCTTGCTTCACAGAGTGTGGACCTGAAGGCCACCGAGGGAATTATCGGTTTTATGAAGTCATTCTTTCTTGACCTCCTCAGCTACAGGGTTTACTCGTTACCTTTGGACAGCTTTATTTAGATCACTTTTATAACTTGTTGAAAAAGCATGACAATAATTAGCACAAAGTTTAATCATAAAGAATTTCAGAACTGCAAAGGCAGTGTTAACACAGCTCCAGTGTGCTGTTACCTTTACCTTTAGATGTTGATGAAAACTATTGAATGAAGATATTAAAACTGAAAGTCTTGGTTTTCATTAAACAGGGTCCAGTCAGTGGAGTGACCAAGTAAAAAGTGAAAACAAGTCCCCATGGGATGGCCCATGCAGTAAGCCTGCACTTAGGAAGGCTGAGGCAGGAGGATGACTTGAGCCCACAAGTTCAAGACCAGCCTAGGCAACATAGCAAGACCATTTCTTTAAAAAAAAAAAAAAAAATTAGCCAGGCAGGGCATGGTAGCGCACACCTGAAGTCCCCCTACTTGAGAGGCTGAGGTGAGAGGATCAGTTGAGTGCCAAGATCACAGCACTGCACCCCAGCGTGGTGACAGAGCAGACCTTGTCTCAAAAAAAAAAGTGGGGCTCACCTGTGGACAATTTTTATTTTCACCACTGGTTTAGAACTTAAGCTGTCTCTCATTGTTCAGGAGAAGACGTGGACAAGAAAGTTAAAGGTGCCATAGGTAGGGAGTCGAAGGCGTTTTAGGTTGTGTTTAGGCTTCAGGCTCAGGACAGGTCCTCCCTGTCAGCTCTCAGCGACTTTGCACAGTAGCCTCAACCAGCTTTAACACCATTCACACTTTTTAAAGTGTCTTAGAAGTGGATTTGTACTATTCTGTTTGAATTTGGAAAAGTATTTACTCATTTTTGCCTCTTATTAAAGTATAGTGAAAAATTGTCTTCACTTCCCGCTTGAAAGTCTTTGTGCCAGACTTCAACTCAAGAAAACTTTTTTCCTAAACAATTTTCAACTAAATTGATTGGGATATTTTCACAGAAATAATATTACAGTAATGTTATGAAATCCTAGAGTACAGTTAAAAGTTTAAAAACAACAAAATTATGTTCATTGCAGTAGTTTAGTACTTGTGTTTTTATTTTGTTTTGTTTCATTTTGGTTTTTTTGAGACAGAGTCTCGCTCTGTCACCCAGGCTGGAGTACAATGGCACAATCTTGGCTTACTGCAACCTCCACCTCCTGGATTCAAGTGATTCTCCTGCCTCAGCCTTCCGAGTAGCTGGGACCCAGGCGTGCACCACCGCACAGTGAAAAATTAGCCCAGCTAATTTTTGTACTTTCAGTAGAAACAGTGTTTAGCCATGTTGGCCAGGCTGGTCTTGAACTCCTGACCTCAAGTCATCCACCACTGTGGCCTCCCAAAGTGTTGGGATTACAGGTGTGAGCCACCACACCCTGCCAGTACTTGTGTTTTTTAAAAGATTGCTCTTAAAATGTAGTGTTATGCCTAATTTGTCAGCTTTGACCTAGTATTTCTTAAGTAGCTTGAAGAGTAAGTTATATTTTCCAATCAGGTGAATAATAGCTTTCTTTTGTGTTTTGGATGTCTTGTAGTAAACTGTAATTTCCTTAGCACTCCTATTTTGGTATTTTTGCAAATCTCTACAGACAGCTTTTTAAAAACCTATTTATAATAAGGTCGATAGTGTAAACTAGAAAACAGGATTTCCACGAAGTGCCCCAGATATTGAATATGTTAAAAGAAAGACATCAAACGTCAGGCTAGCAAAAACCCTGCCATTTAATATACTAAAACAGTGTTGTAAATTAACTTTGGTACAAATTGCCAGTCATCTCTAGATCATTTTAAGCATTTTAAGAATATTTATTATCAATCTAAGTACAGAAGAATAACTGCCAGCAGTGATTATTTGCTTTGGATTAGAGTTTTTAAAAATCCACCTCACTGAAATGGTTATGTTCATCACAGTTTGCAAGGTTTGTCTGTTTCTCGAGCTAGAAGCCTCTTGGGGCCATTCTTATGAAATGGTATTTAGTGCATCTATTATGTGCCACATACCCAAAGAAGCAAAACTCAAATTTGAAAGTGTATTTCTGAACATGACCTACAGTGTGGCTAGATATTTTATGATCATGTGATAGTCTAAGTAACTAAGCCTTCTTATTCAATGTTTTTAAATTAATGTTAAACTTGCATATATTACGAATATTGACTTTTCATAGCCAATCTGATGTACCTCATTTTCTTATTAAATGTATGGCTCATGATTTATTCTTTCAATACAAAAAATATAATTTTTTTTAGGAGTATAATTGTAAGATGACCAAGCACATGTGAATGGAATGCAGCTACTGTGGTTGGGGGTGTGTGTGCATGCATGTGTGCTCCTTGCTGTGTGCTGTTGTCCGTGGTCCGTTCAGAGTGAGGAGGAAATAGGAATGATGAAGCTCTGCCTGTGTATGTTAGACATTTATAGTTGTGCATCGGATGTGTTACTTTATGCTCTTGTCCTTCACTGTGTTTTATTCCTTCCTTAAAGCTGTGTGACTCTGGGTTTAACAAACAGAGACAGGTACAGAAACTCTCAATGAAATCTTACTTTTCTTATTAGACTACTAGAAGCAATCATTGGCAACTTCATGCTGGGCTGTCTATAAATCTGTGCTCACTAAGGTGCGTTCGGTTTATTAGTTGCTTCCAGCCATTGCATGGCACTCATTTCTGGCTAATCAGTTTTGTGCTTATTTAATAAATTTACCAAAGATGATAATGTGTCAGAGTGTAGTTCTAATCTACTTACAATACACAGTGATATAGTTACCTCAGGGTAATTTCAGTATTTTGATAGCTTTACTTTTACCTGGAGAAATTCTGATCTGTGTAAATTTTGTAGTTTATTTTTAACAGTTTAAACACACTAATATCTTCTGCATTCAGCTTTCTGATTCATAAAAAAATTTTAACAAATTCTGATGTTAAAATCAATACGCTAAAATGGTCTCTTCTTGACTTAGATAATTTCAATAAGAATGCATGATAAACATTAAAGTATTATTTGAACTAGTCTGTGTATTCTCAAAGTAATATGCTTATTTTCTAGTAAGAATTTACCTACTGAATTATTGAATATGCTTTTTGCCCTTTCCTTATCATTTTTGCACTCTTTCTCCTCCCTTTTATGAGATTTCCACCCCCAAATTATTATTTTGGTTATAAGATTCATGTGGTTTCAAAATAATTTTCTTATGTATGATTATTTTAGAAAAGGTCTAGCAGGTAATTACCATTTCTTCTTTATTCAAAGAAGCATATTATAACATATTTTCATTAATTGATAATTTAGCTCTTGTATAAAGCCCAACTTATAATAAGGGTCAGACTATAGTTTTGATGGAATTACAAAGATCTTAATGTCCCTATGTGTCTGTCTTTTCTTAAAAAGCTTTTAAAAGTAATTCAGAGGTAACATATATATTCTACATAATCCCCAATGAAGGATAAAATATGCTTGAAAGTAACTGATAAATTGTAGAAGTTGTAAAAAGATTGTGAAAGTAACATTGGGTAGAGCTTTTTGCTTTAAAGGAAAAGGGCGGTGTCTTTATTGACATGTCTCTGTTGCTGAATTCTCAGCTTCTCCATAGACATAAAATTCTCCTCAGTATTTTACATTTTTCCCTCCAAAGCTGACAGGATTAATTTGATCCGTGTCTATTATACTTGTCGTTTTTAGCACAATCGGAAGTAGAGAGATTTCGGGATTTTTGAAATAAATTTTTTACTTTAAAATAATTTTAACCCTAAAGAAAAGATGCAAAAAATGCTATTCTGTCAATGTAAACATCTTTCATAACTGTAGTATAATAATCAAAAGCAAAAATTAAAATTGGCATAATACTATTAACTAAACTACAGACTTTATATGAATTTCACCAGCTTTTCCACAAATGTCATTTTTCTGGTCCAGGATTCAATTCAGTTGCATTTTATTTCTCCTTAGTCTGTTTTAATCTGTGACAGTTTCTTGGTCTTTCCTTATCTTTCATGACCTTAATTAACACTTTTAAGGAATACTGGTTAGTTATTTTGTAGAACGTCCCTCAATTTGGGTTTGTCTGATGTTTCCTCGTGATTACAAGGGGACTGTATATTGCTAGAAAACTGCAGGAGTGATGCTATGCCCTTCCCAGTGCATCAGAGTTGAAGGTTCTTGATGTCCATAAGCCTTCCCACCACTAATGCTAACCTTGGTCACTTGGTTAAGGTGGCATCTGCCAGGTTTCAGCCTGTAAAGTTTTATTGTTCCTTCTATAACTAGTGAATATCTTGGAGGAGATACTTTGAAACTCTGCAAATATCCCGTTTCTGCTTATACTTTTGCCCATTAATTTTCACTTCCGTCTGTGGATCATGTGTGCACTCACTGTTACTATGTTTGCCTAATGGTCATTTTCTGCTTTCCTGTTCTACATTTATTAATTGGAATTCTGTAAAGAAAAGCTGTCTCTGCTTCCTAATTAATTCACTTTTTTCAATTATTTAGTTATATTACTATGGACTCATGGAAATTTATTTTATCTATGAGGCATAATCCAGTAAGATCATTAGTTATTTTGTTGATTAAACTATTTTTTTGTGATTTTTTTGAACAACAAAAAATGTAAACAATTGTAACTGTATCCAGAGCAAGGAGACTGGTTGAGGAATAAAAGCATTTGAAAGATAGAAAAGATAAATATGACTCAGCAATAAGAAGAAATGAAGGACTGGCATGTTATGACATGGTGGACCTTGAAAACATTATGTTAAGTGAAAGAAGTTGGAAAAAGGAAAATAGGAAGTTATAAGACCTGATAAGTTACAGTTCTGGTTCAGGTTTACTACTAACTAGTTATTTGTTCTGTGACTTTAAAGTCCTGATTTTGACCAGGCTGATGCACCCTCTAAACCACAATGAGCACATCTGTGCTGGGAAGATGCATTTATCATTGACCACGGACAACTGGTTTGTTAGTATCCACATTCCGAAAATGTTTTTCTTCTAAATAAATACTAGACTTTTTAATTATTTTGACTTTCCTTTTAAATGAGAACAAATTTTAATAGATGGTATTTACTTTCACATGTGTTAAGAATTAATACTGTTGTTTTGTATTTACATCATGATTTAACAGATGCTAAAGGAAGTTTTAGATCCCTTGGATACAATATGATGAAGATCTGAAAACTTCAGCTCTTGTAACCATTGAGGTAGTCTGTAGAAACACTCAAAGTTGCTTAATTGTCTAGTATAGGTACTTTAAAATTATTTTGTAGGTTTATTTTTTGTATTCATATAATATTGGCATCAGTAGTTTTCCATCTTTTTGCGTGTGTGTTTTTTTTAACCTCTCTTCTTCCTCTTATTAAGCACGGCACCCTTCTCTCTTGAGATTAGGCAGTAAACATTTGAGAAGTTGACCTAGGCTTTGTTCATGAAATGTTCTGTTTTCTTAGAAAAAATGGTTTTGACCAGGCTGTATCAGCTGTAATAAAAGCTACTCATTAGGTTATAACAGTAACTAAATCTGTTCCCTAATGGTATTTCCTTACCATGCTAAACATATTTGTTTTTTTTTACTTTACTTCATGGTATAACTTAATGAGTTTTTCTCTGTCACATGACCTCATTATAGATGGCATTAAATGCTTATTCATACCTGTATTTTTCCTTGACTTCTCTAGGGGTCAGGCCCAGCCCCAGGCCCAGTGGTATTACTGAATTCACTGAATGTGGATGCAGTATGTGAGAAGCTGAAACAAATAGAAGGGCTGGACCAGAGTATGCTGCCTCAGTATTGTACCACGATCAAAAAGGTGAGGCAGCCACTTACACACGGACCAGAGACAGCGCTGGGGGCGGAAGACAGGACTGTGTGGGTCGTGTAAACTTTATGTATAGCTTCCCAAACATGCATTCCCTGTTAAAATGGGAAAGCTCTAAATGGAAAACATAATTCTTACTAGTTTGTATTCTAAAATTGCCCTGTTTTCTCTTATTTTATAAATGGATAAAATAAAATAAAGTAGCTGTCTTACCATGTTCTTTTTTAAATGACGTAATACAAGTAAAGAATGCCTTGATGAGAAAGAGAAAGCTCTGAGGGATTCCCATTGGGATAAACAGAACTCATCTTTCCAGTGTGGAACCGAAAACCTTTGTGTTACATTTTTTTCTAATTGTAATATTTGTTAGTGTGATTTAGTGATTATCAAAGTAAGCCACACTTGCCTCATTTTCTCCAAATTCTCATTTTCATGTCATGTAGGACTTAGGATCATGTCACATTTGATGAAACCACATAGGTTTGGGTTTGCAAGGTTAATGCATTTGCATAGTTTTTTTTTCTTCTAAGATCCTATTGCAATTCTAGCAGCTATCAGGAAGTTGGCTAGAGATGCCTGAGATTTGGGGGAAGGTTTTAACGAAGTCTTTATAGTAGGTATTTCACTAAGGTATACTTTTTATATCAGAGTACTGTGTAATAAAGTAGAACGTTAATAACCAGCCTCTAATATTTATATACTTGAAAGAATGACATCTGAGAGAAGTTTTTTAAAGAATTATGAGCATATGTAGACACCATTTTACTCATCTCAGCCAATTTTAGAAAGGTTTCAGATAATGTCAGTTTCCTTACAGAGCTGGCTCGTGCTAGTCCCTGTTTGCATGAGTCAAACACCGGCTTTTCCATGGATAAGCCCCACTTTCTCCTTCAGGCAGCTGGTTGGTGTCAGGAAAGAGCGGGGTCTCCCACACGAGTCCTTTGTGATGATTTTGTTCCCATCGGGGTAGTGGTTTTCTCCCCACTCAGCTCTTTGCTCCTAGACCCCGGCTTTCTGAAGCCCCTCAGAGCCGCTGGCCTCCTCCGTGCTTAGGGCTCCGCGGCATTGTTGCAGCAGGACCTCTGTCACAGACTTGCTGTGTATACTGTTTTCTTCAGGATTAACTTGGAAACTGAACATTCTATTGATTATAAACATAGCTATTTCATAAATTTGCCCCAGTTAATAAAGTCAGGTTTTACATTTTATAAAAGCAGTAAGCTACCTATTATTAATAAAGAAAATGCTGTTGTTTCATTTAGGGGAAACTAGAATTACAGGGAACCAAAAGTAATAACTTCCTTTTTTATGATTTTTTTTTTCTTTGAGATGGAGTCCTGCTATGTCACCCAGGCTGGAGTGCAGTGGCGTGGCCATGGCTCACTGCAACCTCCCGCCTCCTGGGTGCAAGCGATCCTCCTGCCTCAGCCTCCCAAGTAGCTGGGACTACAGGCATGTGCCACCACTCCCAGCTAATTTTTGTAGTTTTAATAGAGATGGAATTTCACCATGTTGGCCAGGCTGGTCTCGAACTCCTGACTTTAGGTGATCCACCCACCTCAGCCTCCCAAAGTTCTGGGATTACATGCGTGAGCCACCGCGCCGGGCCTTGTGAATTTAATAGACTGGAAAATTAGTGGGTGGGCATTCTTCATATCTGTATCTAATATAACGGATAAACAAGTTTGCCAGGCCTACTTCATTTAGAACGTTGTTAGTGACCAACACGCTTATGAGAACAGATGTCTTTGTCCCCTCCCAGCAGCTTGTGTTCATGTTCATATTTTCTAAGATTAGAAAACAAAAACTAACAGTTTTGTTGTTGCTCATGACAGCATAGGTAGTTTTGGAAATAGGAGGGTTAGTTCTTCGGTTGGTCCCAGAAAATGCCTAAGACATTTGGGAAAATATGAAGTGGCTGATGTTGTTCAAATTCAGCTTGTTTATTGTATTATTATATGGGATGATAACCTTTTTTTTGGTCAGCCTTTCTGGTCTCTAGAGACTTATTTAAAACTAAATATAAGCATACTTGGCAATCACTAGTAATTCAGAATATTTCACATTCTGTCTTTATACCCATAATTGTTTTAATTTTTACTCAGGCAAACATAAATGGCCGTGTGTTAGCTCAGTGTAACATTGATGAGCTGAAGAAAGAGATGAATATGAATTTTGGAGACTGGCACCTTTTCAGAAGCACAGTAAGATATTTGTAACATTGTGATGTTTACAACATTATTTTATGATAACATTCAAAATTATTTATAACATTGTAGAAAACCAGTATCAATAAGTACTGGCCTAAACTGGTATTTTTTTCATATTTTTTTAAATTTAAAAACTGCTTCTTACACTTATGTGCAATCCTGTGTTGTGGAAAATACACACAGCAGCACTTGGCAGCCTTTGCCTTTTTGGGCATTTCACTCAGAGATTTGGGGAAGAGGCCGCCTGCCGGTTCTTCATGCTTTCACCTGCCTTAACTCTCATCAGGCTCCTCAAAGCCTTCGAGGCCTTGACCTTCAGCATTCATCCTTATAGGGCTTGCATTGCCCAGGTTTAGCAAGAATCCTGTTAAGTCAGTTTACATGTGTGATCACCCTCAGTATTTGATCAAACGCCTCACTAACCCCCCCACCCCCAGGTGATGTCGGCTCACCCTGGCCATCGGCGTACCAAGAGTCCCCCACTCCTGCTGCCTCCCCTTAGTAATGTTCCATCCACGACCCCCACCCTGCCCCTTGGTGGTAGATCCCCACTCATTCGTGCTTATTCCGAGTTGGACTCCCTTCTGTAGTGAGACTGCTTACCCCTGTTGCCATAGTTCTGAATAAAATCTGGACCTACCGCCCTACTCCTGGCCAGCTCTGGTTTTGACACAAGCCAGCTGCATTTTTCTTTGTCCTCAAGTTAAGTTTTAAACAGAAGTAATAATTTAATGGACAAATTGCAGTGTAGTATATGTATGGTGGTTTCTACCATTGCTTCCTTTAGTATTAATGAACATGAAAGATAAGCTGATGTATAAAACAAATTCACTAGAAATTCACTTACCAGAAGTATGCTTTCTCATTGCTGTTGCAATAGCTTTATAATGTTTGGTATTTCTAAATATTTCTAAAGCTTCTAAAATATGATTTGTTAGTGTAAATATTTATGTTTTTCTTCTGTTAAGGTACTAGAAATGAGAAACGCAGAAAGCCACGTGGTCCCTGAAGACCCACGTTTCCTCAGTGAGAGCAGCAGTGGCCCAGCCCCGCACGGTGAGCCTGCTCGCCGCGCTTCCCACAACGAGCTGCCTCACACCGAGCTCTCCAGCCAGACGCCCTACACACTCAACTTCAGCTTCGAAGAGCTGAACACGCTTGGCCTGGATGAAGGTGCCCCTCGTCACAGTAATCTAAGTTGGCAGGTATTTATTGAATGGCATTTTTCATATTATTGAAGAATAAGCACACCGTTCAGTTCACTGAGATTATATGGGCATTTAGACAGTCATTCAGAAAATGCTTACTGAATACCTAAGTGAACAGGAGACAAGATGGAGGGCTCCCTGTACTCAAGGAGCTGCATCCATGTGGAGAGGGGCAGTCAGTGAAACAAACAAAAAAGTAGCTCATGTAGACATTGATGAGAGCTGAGATATCCATCAGGGTCACAGCATGCAGAGTCAATAGGGATTAGGCCACTTGAGCTAGGGTGGTCAGCAAATTCAGCCTTTCTCAGGCGATCTTCCTGTTGCATTCAGTAACTGTTGGTTGAAGTACATCTTCATTGGAACACTGGCCACATAGTGTCCCTTTGAGCACCATCCTTTGGTTTTCCAGGACGCCTGCACACCCTTCACGGATATTGGTTTCTTCTGGTCTGGCATTAGATGTAGGCGCGTTCTTCCTTTGGAGATTCTTAGAAGAAGGAGGCCAGGTGAGGGGTAGGGGTAGGGGCAGGGACAGAGCAAAGTGAGAGATGCAGGAGGAGTAGCGGGAGTGAGGAGAGCGCAGGAGGAAAAGCAGAGCAGGGTGTGGAGAACAACGGGGGAGGAGGCACAGCGGGCGGCAGCGAGTAACACTGAGTGGGCAGGGCAGGGCAGCGGTGAGGAGGAGCAGCGCCTTGGGGAAGGAAGAAAATGTCCTATTTCCTTGAGAAGGTCCCCAACAAATTCACTTTGCTCCTTCTTTTTTGTTTTAGCCTTTGCTCTTGACCCTTCTTAAACTTTCTTGATTCTTCTCCTTCTTTTTCCTCATCTGTACTTTTTGCTCCTTGTTTCTTAGCTATTCTGGGATCTGAAGCAAATTCTAATTCTAAAACTTAATATTGGAAATAAACTTGTAAAACTACTTTATTTTTCTGTTTACTAAGGCCCAACTATTGGCCTCATTGCATTTTATATTTTATCAATGAAGTTGACTTTGGCCTTAAATAAAAGCTAAACGTTTGAAGTTATAAAAACAAGTGCTGTGGCCGAGCATGTGGGACATGCCCATAGTCCCAGCTGCTCAGGAGGCTGAGGCGGGAGGATTGCTTGAGTCCAGTAGTTTGAATCTAGCCTGGGCAACACAGCAAGATCCTGTCTCTTAAAAATGAAATAAAAACCAGAAACAAGTGCTAAGATTATTTGTTAATACAGTGTTTAATCATACTTTTAAATATTAACAATAAACTGATTTTATTAAAATTTATAGAAAGCTTTCTAGTAACAGCATTATAAGGTCACAGCTTTTGTTAATCTGTGTTATGTAGAATTCTTTTAAAAGAATTTGATGTTTTGATGACTTTTTAAATGGTTAGTGTACATATATATTTCCTAAGCTGATGTTTATGCCTTTTTTCTTCTTATTTGAATTTTTAAATTATTTTTTTTCTGTCTTCACAGTCACAAACTCGCAGAACCCCAAGTCTTTCGAGTCTCAATTCCCAGGATTCCAGTATTGAAATTTCAAAGCTTACTGATAAGGTGCAGGCCGAGTATAGAGATGCCTATAGAGAATACATTGCTCAGATGTCCCAGTTAGAAGGGGGCCCCGGGTCTACAACCATTAGTGGCAGATCTTCTCCACATAGCACATATTACATGGGTCAGAGTTCATCAGGGGGCTCTATTCATTCAAACCTAGAGCAAGAAAAGGGGAAGGATAGTGAACCAAAGCCCGATGATGGGAGGAAGTCCTTTCTAATGAAGAGGGGAGATGTTATCGATTATTCATCATCAGGGGTTTCCACCAACGATGCTTCCCCCCTGGATCCTATCACTGAAGAAGATGAAAAATCAGATCAGTCAGGCAGTAAGCTTCTCCCAGGCAAGAAATCTTCCGAAAGGTCAAGCCTCTTCCAGACAGATTTGAAGCTTAAGGGAAGTGGGCTGCGCTATCAAAAACTCCCAAGTGACGAGGATGAATCTGGCACAGAAGAATCAGATAACACTCCACTGCTCAAAGATGACAAAGACAGAAAAGCCGAAGGGAAAGTAGAGAGAGTGCCGAAGTCTCCAGAACACAGTGCTGAGCCGATCAGAACCTTCATTAAAGCCAAAGAGTATTTATCGGATGCGCTCCTTGACAAAAAGGATTCATCGGATTCAGGAGTGAGATCCAGTGAAAGTTCTCCCAATCACTCTCTGCACAATGAAGTGGCGGATGACTCCCAGCTTGAAAAGGCAAATCTCATAGAGCTGGAAGATGACAGTCACAGCGGAAAGCGGGGAATCCCACATAGCCTGAGTGGCCTGCAAGATCCAATTATAGCTCGGATGTCCATTTGTTCAGAAGACAAGAAAAGCCCTTCCGAATGCAGCTTGATAGCCAGCAGCCCTGAAGAAAACTGGCCTGCATGCCAGAAAGCCTACAACCTGAACCGAACTCCCAGCACCGTGACTCTGAACAACAATAGTGCTCCAGCCAACAGAGCCAATCAAAATTTCGATGAGATGGAGGGAATTAGGGAGACTTCTCAAGTCATTTTGAGGCCTAGTTCCAGTCCCAACCCAACCACTATTCAGAATGAGAATCTAAAAAGCATGACACATAAGCGAAGCCAACGTTCAAGTTACACAAGGCTCTCCAAAGATCCTCCGGAGCTCCATGCAGCAGCCTCTTCTGAGAGCACAGGCTTTGGAGAAGAAAGAGAAAGCATTCTTTGAGAAAAACAAGCAAAGGAGAAGAGTGTTACTGTACCTTTATGACAGAATTGTCCTGGATTTTGACTCCATCCACGCCCATCACCTTTCTACATTTTGCTGACAGATAACTAACCGATGATGAGGCCGAGGTAAAAGAGACATCTGCAGTGTGACAGAAGGGAGCATGAGAAGCATGGCTCACCAGCCAGCCTCTGTGGTCTTTGTAATTAGAAGCTTCAGAACTCACTAATACTACTGTACCTTTCATTGGCGCATTACCCCATAAAACTTTTTGAGACGAGGTGAGATCTGAGTATAAAGATAGGTCAGAAGTATTTTAAAGGGCTTAATGTGCCAAAAAGAAAAAAAGCTAGAGACCCTTTTTGCAAACATTTGGTGACCACACATTTGAGGGAAGACGTGGCGTTAGGTGAAGCAGAAGCAAACCCTGCTCTTAGGGGCTCACCTAGGTGAGTGCACAGCCTGTGACGCTACAGGGAGAGGCTGAGTAAACCGAGATCCAGCGTTCTGTATGGCAGGGGTATTGCTTATCACAGAGGTTCTGAAGAGTAGGAAGTACATAATGAAGAGGGCTTTAAAAATTGCCAACAAAGTGAGTCACCAGGGCTGGCAGTAGTGTGACGGGGCTGTCCTGAGCTGTTAGGAGAGTAGATGCGGGGAGGGCTGGTGACCTCCGTGGGTTTATATGTCGGAAACTCTTCTCTCCAAATCCCAGGCCTGGCTTCCAGCACCATCCAGCTGTGCCCAAGAAGCCACCCTGGTCTGTTCTCCAACTCTTTTAAATGGTGCCCAACTTTTCTAAGTGAGCTTAGCAATGAGAAGAAAAAAAAACATGAATTCTTTTTCTGGAAAATCAGGGAGACATGGGTAATAATAGGTACTAATAAATATTTATAGATGAGTGAATGAGGAAATAATTACATCAAAAAGGTCAGTGACAATTGATAAATGACAAGGAAATATTTAATTAGGTAAAACTAAATCATTGCTCTCTATACTAGGATAGACTTTATCTACTTCATCTGTTCCTAAGTCAGCATGTTAGTTCTGGGGAAGGATCATAAGAAAGGAAATACTTTTTAAAAAAAAATTTGGAAACATGTAACAAAGCAAGGGTAAAATATATATATATATCTATATAAGTGCTGTGACTGTAAAAGTGTACTTTCCATTAATTATTAGCCGAGTTAAGAGAATGGTCACATTGAAGTACTGTGTGGACTAGAAATGTACCCTGTCATCATGCAATGAAATATTGTTATCGTTTTAACATAGCTCATTTATGTAGAATGAATTCTGGTGGTTTACCCCAAGTCACAGTTAGGACGGTAGATGGTGAGATCGCAGATGCGCTATTATCTAGATTCAGTGTTACATTTTCGATGTTTATCACTCAGTGGGTTTTTATTAATATGCTGATTAAGTTATTTACTGGGCCAGTCATTGTGCTAAATAGTTGCTCTTTTGTGTTTCATTGCCTTGATGTTTGAGTGTAATCTAGCATTTTAATACAGTGTTTATTTTGCATGATCTTTAACAAATGTTTTAAGCAATTTTAAAAAGGCAGGATGTTATTGACATTATACACTGAAGTCTTAACATTTTAACATTTATAGTGCTTATTTGCAAAATTGTATAATTAGGAATTATTTCAGAGACAATGTTTTCTTTTTCAGGTGAGTAGTTGCCGCGTAATATCATTGGAGTACATTCTTTATACTGTTTGTGAAATTAATACTAGCATATTAAGTGTACAAATAGATTTAGAAAACAATAAAAAATTGCATGCTATTCTGACTCATGAATTTTTATTCACTATGATGATTCACATTTTGATTAAAAATAAAAGTAGTTTGTGTGTTTGTTTTGTCACATGTCTGAAGTTTGTTAAAGACTTTCAGGTTCATGTACAGTCATGCAGTTGGCAGAAGTGTTCTGAACTGCTCCCAACTAGTCTTTTTAAGAGAATGTGGCTCGTAAGTCCCAGTGCCTCAGTGGTGCTTTATGAAGCGTTTGTGCCCACAGCATGCTAGCGCCCAGCAGCGCTGTGCAGTGCGTTCCTGTAGATAGAAAAGGTAGGTTATCCAGAACCTGGAGGATATCAGTTTATTCCATGAACTTCCTGGAAAAGTTTGCTTTTTCATACTGATACCGAAATTGACAAACCAGATGAGTTATTGAGTCATAGACCATCTCCCTTGAACCTGTGCGTCTATGTGTGTGTGTATCTGTTTATAGCTCAGTCTGATTCTCACACATGCAAAACTCTGCTTTAAACTGGGTGCAAAATGATAGAAAAAGAAATTGGTGCTCTAATCTTGCCCTTAGATTCTATCCATTTAGAGTCCTGTGGGGTTTTTTGTGGTTTTGTTTGTTTGTTTGTTTGTTTGTTTGTTTGAGGCAGTCTCTCACTCTGTCATCCAGGCTGAGTGTAGTGGCGCCATCATGGCTCACTGCAGCCTCGACCTCCTGGGCTCAGCCTCCCGAGTAGCTGGGACTATAGGCACGTGCCACCACACCTGGCTAATTTTTTATTTTTTGAGGAGATGCAGCCTTGCTATGTTGCCCAGGTTGGTCTCGAACTCCTGGATACAAGCAATCCTCCCTCCTCGGCCTCCCAAAGGCCTGGGATTATAGGCATGAGCCACCATGCCCAGCCGAGTCTTGTGTTTTATATACCATTTTGCCTTCACTGTAAGCCACAGATAGTTCTGATAATGTATCAAATGTTAAGCCAGATTCATTCACCGTGGCCTTACGGAGTGCTGCCTGTGAGTACAGGCTTTCTGCAGGAGAAGACTGGAAATAAAAGAAGCTGTTTTTCTCTTTCAGTTGAAATAACTTCCGCAGTGCTGGGTATTTAGGGATCAGCTCTCCAACACTGGGAAATTTAAGCATTCATAATAACCAACATTTTCAATATTAAAAGCAAAATGTGTTTATGTGTTATATTTTACTTATATGGGTTTATATAGTGGTCAGAATGATTTTGATTGCCTAGCCAAGTAATTTTAAATGAAACTTACTTGCGAAAATGCTACTCTCGAGACCTTTTTAGAACATTTGCATGTTAGACTGCTGCAGTAAAATACATTTGTAATCATGATTTTTTTCTTACAAATACTAACCATTAGAAGATATTTTTTTGAATGGAAGTAAATCTTATGGGTAAAAGACTAAATTTAAAAGGTGATTTTTAGTTACACCCGGAATTCTCAGCCTATTTAGAAGTATCCCATAGTTTAAAAATCCAGGAATCTCTGAATTCCTGGCTAACTCCTGAGTAAAATCAACCTATCTACCAGGAAAAGCACTAGAAGGCACCGTGCCCCTTCATGGGCGAGTGACTTGAGGGAATACGTGGGTAAAAGGGAAGGTGCCATAAGTTAACTTCTTTGGCCAGCACTCCAGACTGAGCATCGAGCCTCCTTTATTCCCACCTTCTCTTCCAGGCGCACGCCGACACTGGGCGGAAGGGAAGAAACCAGTGGGGATACTGTTCTTTTGCGGGGGCAGCATGAGCAGACTCAGGTGGGCTCTCTGAGACTATCGCGTTTTGAGTTTCCAGGCTGTGGTACTCCCTATCCTTCCCTACCTCAGAATTCTAAGCATAGGCCATAATTATGCAACTGAATTGAAAAATAGAAACGTATAGACAACAGCCAGCACTGGATAGTTTTTTTAATGGCTTATCACAAAGGTTGAGAATCCCTGGTTGAGACTGATTAAATAGAGAATTTACAATCTTACATAATTTTAAACCCTTTCATGCCTAGGAAGAAAATGCTGGCCTTGAGATAGATAGCTCTTCAGAGGATCCAGATTAAACTAAGGTATGTAAAAAATTAGTTTTCGAAGTCAGCTGCAGTCATATGCCACGTTAGGACGTTTTGGCCAACAAAGGACCACATCTGTGACAGTGGGCCCATAAGATTCTAATACTATATTTTTACCGTCCTTTTTCTATGTTTAGACATGCAGATAGCATGGTGACAGTTGCCTGCAGTATTCAGTACCGTGCTGTACAGATGTGTAGCTAGGAGCAGTAGGTTATGGCACACAGCCTAGGTGTGTAGTGGGTGCCACCATCTAGGTCTGTTTAAGTGTGCTCTGTGATGCTCCCACGACAAAATCGTCCAACAGCGCATTTCTCAGAATGTACCCCTGTCGTCAACTGATGCATGGCTGTAATTTTAAGCCAGCTGTTCAAAAAAGTTCTCACCAATTAGAGAATTTATATTCTCACCACTTTAACAAACGGAGTTAAGTAAGAAACCTCTAAAATGGTTGCTAGAAATTAAATATTGTCACCGACCTGGTCAAAACCTTTTAAGTAAAATGATTAGCCAATCACAGCCTTGGCTTACACTGGCATCAGAGTCTGGTGTGTGTCGCACACACGTGCTGTAGGTGGAATGTTTCATGACGAGGACTTTCTGGAACTCAGAAGCCCTTTTTGAGTGGGGCCCGGGTAGCTGTAGGATGGGCAGATCTGAATTCCCAGTACAGTGTGGCATTTTGAAAAAGAAAGAATGTATAAGAATAAAAGGGTCAGTCAAGAAGTAGGAGCAATTATTACCCAACTATTCGAAGGATGACCCTTTAAAAATCAATAAAAACCTATCTGGAGTGAAAGACCAACTTAAATGAGCAATAGCATGAATTACGTAATATAAAGACAAGCGTTCCTGCTTCAAAGCACACGAAATATTCTGAGTCTGCCTGCGGAGCTTCAGCTGCAGTCATCTTTTTACCAAGATTGCACGTAAGTCCATTTTCTTAGGTTAAATGCTTTTTGTAGTGTTATTTACACTAGTGGTATGTGCTAGGAACCCTTTCTTCGTTTTTCTGAGATTTGACAGAACATGGAATAACATATCAAACTGAATTCTTAGAACGTGAGTAAATGAAACTTTCCTTTTAGAAGCAATGTAGAATTACATGCTCCATATTATTCAAATTAAGAAGCTTTTGAAATAATACCACCTTGATTATCCATGATCATTTTCTAATTTTAACATTTTGTACACATTTACCTCGTTTTCTTTCAAGGCAACAGGCGCTGTAGATCTTAGTACCCTGCCCATAGACCCAAGCACTTTTCTCATTTCTTCTGACAGTTCGAGTCACTTCTCACAGTTGACTTCCTCACCAAATAATAAGGGGGTGAAGAAGACTCGGCCTACCTACTACTCAGTAATCCTGCTGTCCAGTCGACTGGAGAAGAGAGATTTGTTCACCTCTACTAGTTTTATTTGTTCTTAGTAGTTGTAGAATTTAAATTGGTTTTAATGAAATGTTCCTTTTATGAAATTTTAAATAAAAGCCATTTAGTGTATATTTAGTATAGCAAGAAGCATGTGAATAAGCTCCATATAACCTGACATTGCGCATCTTACAGCATCCTCTTGGTCAGATGTCTAATAAAAAGATTGTTATTTTCAAATTTATCATAGTTCCTGCAACTTGCACTTTTTAAAGCTGTGTTTGTGAGAATTTATAGACTGCATATCGCTATACTTGATGGAAATTAAACTATTTTTATTTTGAAAGAAGTTAATTTATATTTTAAGTTCTGTATGTTTTTCTCCTTTTACCTGAGTTCTTTTCAGTCATTTTGTGTTGTTAAGTTTTTTTTAGGTTGTCATATATTTTTCTTTTTTAGGTTACCATCCTAGTTTACTGTAAAACATTTCTTAGAGCAATAGATTGGGAAAGAGCCTCGAGATATCTTTTAGACCAAATCCTAGATCTCAGAAAGCCAGTGGACATTCAGTAAATACTTGTTGGCCAGGTGCCGTGGCTCACGCCTATAATCCCAGCACTTCAGGAGGCCAAGGTGGGAGGATGGCTTGAGCCCAGAAGTTCAAGACCAGCCTGGGTAACATAATGGGATTCCATCTCTACAAAAATAAAAATAAAAAAATTAGCCAGGAATGGTGGTGTGCACCTGTAGTCCCAGCTATTCGGGAGGCTGAGGTAGGAGGATTCCCTGAGCCTGAGAGGTTGAGGATGCAGTGAGTGGTGATCACACTACTGCACTCCAGCCTGGGTTACAGGGTGAGGCCCTGTCTCAAATAAATAAATAATTAAAACTTGTTAAGTGAATGAATAAACTAGGGGGGCAACTCTGAGAGTGTCTGCCCACAAATCCTACACAGTGCCTTCAAATTACTGGGTGCAGTGGCTCACACCTGTAATCCCAGCACTTTGGGAGTCTGAGATGGGCAGATCATCTGAGGTCAGGAGTTCAAGACCAACCTAGCCAACATGGTGAAACCCCGTCTCTACTAAAATACAAAAATTAGGCGGGCGTGGTGGCAGGTGTCTATGGCCCCAGCTACTCAGGAGGCTGAGGCAAGAGAAGCACTTGAACGTGGGAGACGGAGGTTGCAGTGAGCCGAGATCGCACCGCTGCACTCCAACCTGGGCGACAGAGTGAGACTCCGTCTCATAAAATACTGAATGTAAATCCCTTAACATTGTGCTGTTGTGCCACAGCTCCTTACAGGTCCCACCTTCCCTCTCACTTTCTGCCCACCCTGTCACCTGCCTGGCCCCTGTAAGCTTTTCTGCTGTGCTTTTGGAAATCTTTCAACCACAATAGCATGCTTTGTTGCAAACTCTTAGGGACCTAAGCCAGGCATGGTGGCATGCACTTGTAATCCCAGCTACTTGGGGAGGCTGAGGCGGGAGGATCACTTGAGCCCAGGAGTTCAAGACCAGCCTGGGCAACATAGCGAGAACATGTCTCAAAAAGGAAAAAAATGGGGGAAAAAACCCTCCCAGGGACAGATATCCACAGCCAGTCTTGATAAGCTCCATCATTTTAAAGTGCAAGGCGGTGCCTCCCATGTGGATGATTATTTAATCCTCTTGTACTTTGTTTAGTCCTTTGTGGAAATGCCCATCTTATAAATTAATAGAATTCTAGAATCTAATTAAAATGGTTCAACTCTACATTTTACTTTAGGATAATATCAGGACCATCACAGAATGTCTGAGATGTGGATTTACCCTATCTGTAGCTCACTTCTTCAACCATTCTTTTAGCAAGGCTAGTTATCTTCAGTGACAACCCCTTGCTGCCCTCTACTATCTCCTCCCTCAGATGGACTACTCTGATTAAGCTTGAGCTAGAATAAGCATGTTATCCCGGGATTTCATATGGAATATTTTATACATGAGTGAGCCATTATGAGTTGTTTGAAAATTTATTATGTTGAGGGAGGGTAACCGCTGTAACAACCATCACCAAATCTAATCGACTGAATACATTTGACGTTTATTTCTTGTTCACCTGACAGTTCAGTGTTACCTAAATTTACATGAAGACCCAGAGGCCCACGCTCCTTCATTTTGGGCTCCACCGACCTCCAAGGTTTCAGGGCCCTCTGCCCCGCCTTCTGCACCCACAGGGGAAGAGAGTGGAGGATGCACACGCCCAGGCCTGGAAGTGACGCATGTGGCTTCCCCGTCCACAGACTTCACCCACAGTCCATTGGCCTTCTTAAGTCATGGACTCCTGCTGAGCTGCCAGGGTGCATGGGAAATCCATGTGACTGTGTGCCCTGGAGGAAGGGGAGCGTTTCGGTGAGCACACAGGAGTCTTTGCCACTAGACGCTGATGAGGATTCCCCACAGGCGATGAAGCATGGAGACTCATCTTGTAACAAACAGATGAGTTGTTGACATCTCTTAAGTTTACTTTGTGTGCAGTTTTTATTCAGATAGGAAAGGCTGTTAAAATCTTAACACCTAACTGGAAGAAGGGTTTTAGAGAAGTGTGGTTTTCAGTAAGCCAGTTCTTTCCACAATCCAAGAAACGAAATAAATTTCCAGCATGGAGCAGTTGGCAGGTAAGGTTTTTGTTGTGGTCTCGCCCAGGCTTGAGTGTAACCGGTGTGGTCATAGCTCACTACATTCTCAAACTCCTGGCCTTAAGTCATCCTCCTGCCTCAGCCTCCCAAAGGCAAGTAAGGTTAAGAATAGGGGAAAGGTGAAGTTTCACAGCTTTTCTAGAATTCTTTTTATTCAAGGGACTCTCAGATCATCAAACCCACCCAGAATCTGCTCAATTTTCAAGATTTGCTTATAAATATTTATAATATAAACACTCAATTGCTATCTGTTTTTTAGGTTCTCCTCTCTCTCCCAGAACAGTGGTAACAGGAACTCTTGGGGGCTTCTCCCTGTTCTTGCAGATGTGGCAGGATGTGTTCCTGGGGGGCTCCCATGCCAGTCCACACCCTCTGTGGTGTAAGCAGGGATTGGTAATTAATGAGATGCTAAACCCTCCAGAAGTGAGCGCTCATGTCCCAGAAACACATCTTCCACCTCAGCAGCCAGTGGGAAAACTAGACTTTGTGTCTGCATATTTGTTCTTAAACACACTCTTCTGCAGTCTAACTCTGCTGACCACTTTCCAGTTTGCTCATATCAGAATTTCTTCGGTTCTAAGATGCATATTTTCTTTTTGTATTCTGACTTGTTAGAAATTAGAATATGTCTTGCAGTCAATAAAATCTATGACAACATTTTTTTTTCTTAATGGTTCCTAAAACTCCTGTAGTTGATGGTGTCTTGCTTAGGTTTAATGAAAGAGATTTTAATATATGGCGTGGTTATGTGGAGTTGTATCTCTATCAGTATTAATGGGCTCGGGATGATTTATATTCAACTGAACCCCCAAATTCAACATTTTGTGTTGAATATTTATTTTATCAGTTATTCTTTATCCTGTACTCATTTTGGATACTTACTAAAGTATTGTATGTATTTGTTATAATAAAATGGCTTGCCGTGTTTGAACACACTGTGTATCTGACAATGTTCTAAGACCTAATTTGATCTTCATGACAACTGCATAAAATAGTTACTATTATTCTCAATTCACAAATGAGAAAGTGAGACACAGAGATGCTAAGGAATTGCCCAAAGTCACACAGCTACTGAGTGGCAGAGCCAGGGTCTGGGCCCAGCCAGTGTGGCTCCAGGTGCCGCCCACTCTTGACGTGATACTTACCGTCAATGCTCCTTACCAGTTAGGGATGAGCTGATTCTCATATTTTTCCAAGATACATTTTAATTTTAGCTTTATTTGCTGTATCATCATCATCAGTATCATCATCATCATCAGTTTTCTTGTTTTAAAATAGGGTTTGGAGTCTCTTCAAGGCTTTCTGTTTTGGAAAAGTAAAACTTAAAAATCTATAGCCATGTGAATTATACTTATGGAGAAAAAGAGTCTTGTTTTATTAACATCAGACATCTTTGTTCCTACTAATTATTTTGGAGTAATGTTCAGTATCGGGCTAATGATCGATGGATATCACTCATCCAATTATGATGCATGGATTAGACCACGGCCTTAAACTTTGTACATAGTGTTGAATAAATTCATCTTATTTGCAGTCTTATTGTCATCTAGCTTTGATACACTTGCCCTTTCATATGTCTCTTGTCACTATTCTGTGTAAGATTATAATCCCAAATACCACTATATGTATTTTTCTTCATATTCTATTATTGAACAGTATTAATGCTTAATGTTAATATATAAGTAATATATACATTTTAAAAATTATTACTGCTGTAGAGTTTTTTTTTTAAATGATTGTGGTCTCATAAGGAAAAAAGAAAATAGGCAAAACAGGAGCCCTTTTCCCTTTCATAACGACAAGTCAGTCACCAAAGCCAAAAGCCAATAAATGCAACAGTAACAGTGGACAGTGGGTTGAAATGGCTGGTGACATTTCTGTGTTATGTAACCAGCTGCCTACCGATTGGAGTGCTCGCTGCAAGCCAGACACTGCTATCAGCATTTCACATGGATTAACTCATTAAATCCTAATAACCCTACACAGTGAATACTGTTACTTTCCCTAGTTTACAAATAAGGAGGCTAAGATGCAGAAAATGTATAACTTTTACACAATAGCATATTTGATTTTTATAACTGTCCTTTAAACCATTGACTATTTTTATCTATTTTTGAGAAAACTGAAGATTCAAGAGTTGGAGACCTCTCTCTCCCCCAAAGCCACCCAGCTAGTGACAGAACAAAAACACCAACTCCAGTTGTCTAAGTCCAGATCTGATGCATTTTCCACGCACACCGCGGTACCGGCTTCCCCCAGTGTCCACCACTCTCGGCTGCGCAGGCCTGGGCAGCATTTGTCTCCATCTTCCCTCGTAGACAAGGTTGGTGGAGAGCATAAAACACGTGCTCAGCCAAGGCAGCCCCAGCTTTCCCCGGCTCCTTCCTCTTGGCTCTTCCTTCGAGTCACAGCAGCCTCACTGGTAGACAGGAACGGAGTCCGGATCTGCAGGTGATCCTGGTCCAGGAACTCATTGGATCTTTGAACCCTTGTCTCTCTCAAAATTCCTGTCGGGCTACACCATCCTCACTGATGGGATCTCGCAAACTGAACTCTGCCTTTTGGTGTAAGCATAACTAATTTGAAATAGATTTAAACTGGTGCTGTGTGTGTGTGTGTGTGTGTGTGTGTGTGTGTGTGTCTGTGCGTTTAAATTTCCCATTGTCAGGTAGCTGATTTGATCAAACCCATCTCTGAATTGGTGAGTTCTTTGGTTAATAAATTGTAAGTTGAAAGAACAGCTGAGTCACACGGCTTGCGTTATGGGCCTGACTCTGTTATTTATGAAATGGCCATTGACTTTTCAGTCTCAGTTTATCTTTTAAAAATACAAATGATGAAGGAACAAGAATTATCCCTTTGAAAACTGGTTCTACCTCCCCTGTGCTTATTGCGTGTTAGTCACTTCGCAAATATCAGCTCCCGAATCTGTAGGGAGACAAGGCTTCAAAACCTTCCCCAATGCTTCGCAGCTGGTACATGTTAGAACAGGGATTTGAACTCACACCAGATGCCAAAGCCAATTAATATATCTCCTGCTGTGCCTTCTGCCTCTCCAGCAATGTAGATGAACTCAGTTTCCAGGCTCCAGGGGGTGTTAAAGAGACAGTCACAGGCATGTGGAGTAAGAAGAAAATGCTGCAGTCATTTCATCCAGCTCCCTCATGCTTGCCGATGAGGAAATCATGAAGTGCTTCTATCATTACAAATGATACACAGGAGGGTTGCATTCATCCCACTTTTGGCTGCATTTGATCTCTTCCTCTGGGTCATCTTCTGGCTAGCAGAATACAGCTTCTTGTCATTAGACTTCTTGGGTGCTAATATTCCTTGTTTTTTAGACACTTAAACTCATTTCTTTTTTTTCTTTTTTTTTTTTTAAGACAAGTTCACCCTGTTGCCCAGGCTGGAGTGTAGTGGCGCCATATCGGCTCACTGCAACCTCCATCTCCTGGGTTCAAGTGATTATCTTGCCTCAGCCTCCCAAGTAGCTGGGATTACAGGTGTGAGCCACCACACCCGGCCCTCATTTCTTATGAAATTAGATGTGAGTTATCAAGTTTAACTGCATATCTGGAATGGCACTATACCCATTTTTCAGAAAATATCCTTTTCTCTAAAGAGTCCCAGGATGTCAAAAATGCTCAGTGTCTTGACCTATTTTCCAAAAAAAGTTTGCATTTCTCATAGGGAAACTATTCTATGATTAAAAAAGAATTGATGATCTCTTAAAGTTATTTCAAAGTACACATTTTTGAATTGAGAGCACAGGTAATTCATTCTTATCACAAAATATTTAAAATGCCATGTGTGTGTATTGTGAAGAGTTTTAAGTTGCTTTGGGAATACAGCATTTGCATCTTGTATTTTTGATAGTTTAACAAGACATCAAAGCTGCATTGCAGATGTCTCAGCAAAAATATTTCCATTAATAAGCAGTTCCTAGGGTTAGCAAATTAACATGATCACAAATAGCATGTCAGAAATTTGTATCCCATGTTTATGGAAGTACTTCTCTAACATTTTCCAATTAGTTTATTTTTAACCTCTTTTTTTTAGAAGATTAATTTTCTTTTAAAGATTTTATCGATTGGAAGTTACAAAGTTCTTGATATTTCAAATATAATTCAAACTCATCGGTTCTGTTTTGTTTAGATTTTTTGAATAGTATAAATTTAGTTACAAACTGCATTAGAATATTATGATTCCAGAAATTATATGCGAAAGGCAACTAACTCTTTTTCAGCCTTGGAGTTGGTCATTAAAAACACTGCTCTAGGTTGGGAGGGTGGCTCAGGCCTGTAACTCCAGAACTTTGGGAGGTCAAGGTGGGAGTATGGCTTGAGCACAGGAGTTTGGGACCAGCCTGGGCAATATAGTGAGACCCTTCCTCTACAAAAAAGTAAAAATAAAATTAGCTGGACATGGTGTCATACAGCTGAAGTCCCAGCTACTTGGGAGGCTGAGGTGGGAGGATCACTTGAGACCAGGAGTTTGAAGTTGCAGTGAGCTGTGATCACATCACTGCACTCCAGCCTGTGTGACAGAGTAAGACTCTGTCCCAAACAAAACCAAAAACTGTTCTAAATATCATAATTAATTTAATATTTTCTATAATTGAAAACATTGTTAGATTAAGATTTATTCTATTTTAGCTGTTCTGCTTTATATTTTTTTACATAAAATCTACCTTGTTAGTAGCTGTATTGAGGTTCTCCAGTGACAGAGAAACAATAAAATGTAGATAGACAGACAGACAGACAGATAGATACCTAAGAGGAGATTTATTATGAGAATTGGCTTTTGTAATTATGGAAGCTGAGAGGTCCCACAATCTACTGTCTGCAAGCTGGAGAGCCAGGAAAGCTGGTGATGTCACTCAGCCCAAGTCTGAAGCCCTGAGAAATGGAAGGTGAGGGAAATGCGGCGGGCGGGGAAGCTGGTGTGTGAGTCCTGGAGTCTGAAGCCTTGAGAACCAGGAGTTCTGAGGTCGAAGGGCAGCAGATGATGACAGTCCCAGCTCAAGAAGGGAGAGAATTCACCCTTCCTCCACCTTTTTGTCCTATTTGGGCCTCGGCGGATCAGGTGATACCCACCCACGCTGGCAAACGTGCATCTTCCTCACTCAGTCCGCTCATGAAAACTCTGACCTCTTCTGGAAACACTCTCACAGACACACCCAGAAATACTGTTTTACCAACTGTCTGGGCATACCTTGCCCAGTCAAGTTGACACATAAAATTAACCCTCACAATATCCATTCACAGATGAGGAAAGTGTGCTAGTGTTTTCTGAAACAAAGGCAGGCATAATTCAACTAAACAAAAAGACCAAGTGGAGGGCTGGCATTGCCCAGGAACACAGACAATGGAATCCATCGCAATGGGAGGGAGGCAGAATACATGGGCATAGATGTCAGAGGAAAGCAACACTTTCCACACCCAAAACTACTTTAAGTGTAATACAATTAAAACAAGTCAGTTTTGGGGCATGTACATCATACCTCAACACAACTGTTTAAAAATATTTAAAATATTATTTTATTTAGTATTATTGAAAATTTTATGAACTTTATTTTACATGAAGGAGAAGAAGAAAAATTTTCCTCATAAACCCATAAACAGGGAGATAGGCAAATACAGGAGAGTGGCTGGGGTGAGAAGGCAGTCATCCTATCTGAGCTCAACTGAACATAAAATGACAGTAACCCGGATGGTGTGGGACTGCCTTAAAAGTAGACACGCAGATCAATAGAACAGAACAAAGACCCAAAATGTCAACCCCCAAATACATTTTGACAAAGGCACAAAGCAATTAAATGGATGGATAAAGGATAGTATTTTCAGCTATCCTTTATATGGATAAATGGTGCTAGAACAATTGGATGTCTATATGTTCTCCCCCATCCCCAAGAGATCCTATAGATCTTAAACCTTACACAAAAATTAACTCAAAGAATCATAGATCTACATGTAAAATGCAAAACTGTAAAACGCCTAGAAGAAAACATCAGAAAAAATCTACATGACCTTGGGTTTCATGGGGAGTTTTACGTGCTATACCTAAAGCATAATCCATAAAACACGGTCATGGGCAAACATCTCAGTGCTATAAATCTCGAGATACCCAGCAAGCCCGAGAGAGAAGCACAAAGATGAATGGAGATAAAAAGGAAAAGAGGATGAAGAAAGTTGATGTCATCAAATGAGAAGGGGAGCAGCCTCTACAAGCCCCCTTTCCCATCAAATCGAGAATGACTTCCACCCAAGCAAGCCAAATCCTTGGCTTCCTGCAAGCCCAGCCTCATGAGACCTTTTCAGGCTACTTTGATCCTATTTTCCTGCTTATTTAAAAAAATTCTGCTGCAATTAAAGTCACTAACACATAATCACACACTTGATTATACTCTGCCCTCTTGTATTAGCTTCTAATTTTACATAAGTGTTGTTTGCCAGAAATTTTGAAATTCTTTCATTTAGGATTTATGTTTCCATTGTTTTTAATCCCCCAAAGTGCAAAGCTCAGTACTCAGGCACCTGCAAGGAAAATACACACACTTTAAAAATGGAAGTGTATCAGTCTATTCTCACTCTGCTATAAGGACATAGCAGAGACTGGGTAATTTATAAAGGAAACAGGTTTAATTGACTCACAGTTCTGCAGGGCTGGGGAGGCCTCAGGAAACTTATGATCATGACAGAAGGGGAAGCAAACATGTCCTTCTTCACAAGGCGGCAGGAAAGAGAAGAATGAGTGCCCAGTGAAGGGGAAAGCCCCTTATAAAACTAACAGATCCCGTGAGAACTCACTCACTATCATGAGAACAGCATAGGGGAACCACTTCCATGATTCAATTGTTTCCCACTGGGTCCCTCCCACAACATGTGGGGATTATGGGAACTACAATTCAAGATGAGATTTGCATGGGAACACAGCCAAACCATATCAGGAAGAAAGAAAACTGAATAGAAAGGAATCTAGAATAGGAGATGGGAAGGAAGGAAAAGATTTTTGGGCTCTCATGCCATTGGAGAGGCCCCTCCATGAGGCCACAGGCTTCCAATCTGCAGAGCTGCCTTTTGTGAGACGAAGCACCAGTACTGCATGACCTATTTGTTAATTTCTAAATGGATTCCTTTTAGAAAGCAGGAGAGATAGTCATAAGAAGACACCTAGCTTTTTTAAATACATTCTTTAAATAAAAATAATTTTAACAAAGGCAAGTTATTTAAGTTCTTCTCTGTAGCCAGGGGTCAAGTTTAAAGCACAGGTGGAAAGAAGTACTTAGTATTTTTTCCTTTAAATTATTTTATAACCCCTATTATGTTCCAGAAATACAAAATAAATCAATTAATAGGTTTGAGGTAGGGAGAAAATTCACATAAGTCTGAACCAAGAGGAGAGGAGATCATAGCAAGGAGAGAGTAGAAAGTTGGTTGGTTAGAAAAACAAGGATCACCTTACAGCTCCTCCAGAGAAGTCTTCATAGTGTCATCTTACCTTGGGGCTTTCTTGATTGTATTGTGAAATTCTAGAACAGCATACATAACTATCACAAAAATTTTTAAAAAATCAAAAGTCTCATCTTTTATAAGTGACTTTTAGATTCCTTATTTTTTTTTTTTTTTTAAGGCAGGATCTCGCTCTGTCACCCAGGCTGGAGTGTGGTTGTGCAATCACAGCTCACTGCAGCCTCGTACTCCCGGGGTCCTGCCTCAGCCCCTCCCAAGTAGCTGAGACCACAGGTGTATGCCACCACACCCAGCTAATTTTTAAATTTTTGTCGAGACCAAGGTCTCACTTTGTTACTCAGGCTGGTCTCAAACTTCTGGGCTTAAGCAATCCTTCCACCTCGGCCTCCCAAAATGCTGGGATTATAAGCATGAGCTACTGGGCCTGGCCAGCTTTTCAATGATTTCTGCCATTACTCCCCTTCCCCTCCTTTACCAGTAGTGAGCATGAACATAAAGCATGGCCTGGAATTCGGTGTGGTGGTTGATTTTACACGTCAGCTTGACTGGGCCATGGGGTGCCCAGACATTGATTCAGATGTTATCCTGGGTGTGTCTGTGAGGGGTTTCTGAATGAAGTTAACATTGGAATGAGGACCGAGTGAAGCGGATTGCCTTCCTTTGCAGGGGTGGGCCTCATCCAATCGATGGAAGACCTGACTAGAACATACAGACTGAGTAAGAGGGAACTCCTTCCTGCCTGCTGAGCTGGGACATTGGTTTTTCTGGCCTTCGGACTTGGATTAAAATATTGGCTCTTCTTGGGTCTCGAGCCTGCCAGCTTTCAGACTGGAGGGGACACCACTGACGGTCCTGGTTCTCAGGCCTTCGAGTCCGGCTGGAACTCCACATCAGCTCCCCTGGGGCCCAGCTTGCTGGCTGCAGACGCTGGGACTTTTCTGAAGAACTTTGACTAATACAGACTTCACTTTAGAGTGGCTAAAGGACAGGACTTTAAAAATAAGTTTCCCAAATGGGTTCTGAGGTTTCTGGATTCCCACCCCCACCACTCCCTTTGCTTCTAGGCCTAGAACTAGGCCCCGGTGCTAGCAGGTCCCTAAAGGTCAGGCACAGTGGGAGCCAGGAGGAGGTGTGCCACACTCCCAAAGAATGCCTGCGTTTTCTCGTGTATACAGAAAGAAACCTGGGAAATGGGTGTGGATGGACATCAAGAGTGTGAGATGATGCTGGGAGGAGCCGAAGGCCGGAGCAGGCTGAGTTCGTTGTGAGTCCGGCTGGCAGAGCTTCTGCATTTGATGCTGTAGCTAAGCAAGCTGGAAAGCCTCTCACAGTCTGGTTGGTGATTGGCTGAAACATGGACCAAAAGATGACCCACAGCGCGCATATTGGAAATGCTGGACCAAATCTATATTTTCTTATTATGTTACAATAATAAAGCCAGCATCCATGTAACCAGAGCAAGGTTAAGAAACCAAAATTATTGGCCAGGAGCGGTGGCTCATGCCTGTAATCCCAGCACTTTGGGAGGCTGAGGTGGGTGGATCACCTGGGGTCAGGAGTTCGAGACCAGCCTGGCCAACATGATGAAACCCTGTCTCTACTAAAAATACAAAAATTAGCTGGGCGTGGCAGCATGCATCTGTAGTCCCAGCTACTCAGGAGGCTGAGGAAGTAGAATCACTTGAGCCCAGGAGGCAGAGGTTGCAGCGAGCCGAGATTGCACCACTGTACTCCAGCCAGCCTGGCAACAGAGCAAGACTCCGTCCCCCCCCCCCAAAAAAAAAAAGTGCTTTCTTTGGGAAGTGCCAAAGACAGCACCACTGCCTTGACTTTGTGACAATCTGTATTAGGCTGTTCTCATGCTGCTAATGAAGACATATCTGAGCCTGGGTAATTTATAAAGGAAAGAGGTTTAATGGACTCACAGCTTCATATGGCTGAGGAGGTCTCACAATCTTGGTGGAAGGTGAATCAGGAGCAAAGTTACGTCTTACATGGTGGCGGGCAAGACAGCGTGTGCAGAGGGACTCGCAGATCTCCTGAGACTTAGTCTCTATGATAAGAACAACACGGGAAAGACCTGCCCCAAGGATTCAATGACTTCCCACTGGGTCCCTCCCACAACACGTGGGAATTATGGGAGGGAGCTACAATTCAAGATGAGATTTGGGTGGAGACACAGCCAAACCGTATCACAACCATTTCCTCACTTACCTTTATAATTTCACCAGTTATGTGTACGTTCTTGAACAACTTTTTTTTTTTTTTTTGAGATGGAGTCTTGCTCTGTAGCCCAGGCTGGAGTGCAGTGGTACCATCTCGGCTCACTGCAACCTCCGCCTCCCGGGCTCAAGTGATTCTCCTGCCTCAGCCTCCTGAGTAGCTGGGATTACAGGCGCACGCCACCATGCCTGGCTAATTTTGTATTTTTAGTAGAGACGGGGTTTCACCATTTTGGTCAGGCTGGTCTTGAACTCCTGACCTCGTGATCCGCCTGCCTTGGCCTCCCAAAGTGCTGAGATTACAGGCGTGAGCCACCGTGCCCCACCTCTTGAACAACTTTATCTGGTTTTGATCTCATATAAATAATATCATATTGTTAGTATTTATCCTTGACTTATTTCTGTCACTAAACACTATTTGTGAGGTTTATTCCTATTGATGTATAGCATTATAATTCACTAATTTCCACTGCAGAATAGTATTCTGTTGTATAAATATTTATAATTTATCTATTTACTTTATTGGATATTTGGATCATTCTCCATTTTTATTGCTATGTTTGTACAGATATGTATTTACATGTCTCCACATGTATGGATGCGTGATTACACGTGTTTACGTGTTTACATGTGCAGGAGTTTGGTCTTGGACTTTTTGTGTATAAATTTCTGGGCTTGAGCTACTTAAAAGAAACGTGTATTTTTATAATCAGAAAGAATATTGCAAAAAGAAAAGAATCTTTCACATTTGTGACGTCTCTGGGCCTCCCTGGGCTAAGTCTATAACTAGAGTCCTGTGGTGCTCATGAAACCTGACGAAGGTGCCAGGAGCTGAGGGTGAGGGACGTCCGTGAGTGGAGGTGAGGAGATTGTGCTTGGGAAACAGACTGAAATGGGGACCTTTCAGTTTGGGACCATGCGCAGAGAAAGCAGAGGCGATCGGAGGCACGGATGTCGAGGCCAGTGTGCTCGGCAGGGCCTGGAGTTCCGGAGCTCTCAGACCTTCTCCTCCTCCGCCCCCAGGTCAGCAGTCCCCTCCCGTGCAGCATGTCTAACACAGAACTCAGAATCGTCCCCAAACCAACTCTCCCCTCTGCGTTTTCCTTCTTGTTGTTGGCACCATAATTATCTGCGTTTCGGGCTCAGAAATGGAGCGCTCTTCACTTCCCCTCCCCACCATTCCCTCCTCCCAGCAGTCACCAAGCCTTCCACACTGCAGCAGCCCTCCCTGGAGGGTGTCTCCTGGAAGTTAGCTCTCACTATCACCTGCCTCCAGCCTCTCCCTCTTCATTCCAGTTTCCACACAAATGCCAAAGACTTCGTCACAGCCATCTCCTGCCCAGCGGTGTTCAGTGACTCCCCGTCCCTTGCAGAATCTGATTCTAATGAGCTTAGGTGGACAACCAAGGCCCTGCGATATCCCACCCCAACTTACTCCCGCACAAACTCCATTTCTCAGCTGAAGTTGTCCACTTAACGAGTTTTTCCTGAATATTCTGAAGACCTTCAGTTTCCTGAAGTAACAGACAGTCCTTATCATTGTGTTTGTCCTCACTCCTTCCTGTGCCCAGAACTCCCCCTCCTTGCTTTCTTTCTTGCTGAAATGCTGTGCCTCTGGACATAGCATCTTCCCCTGAAAGGCAATTGTCTCGGGGGTAACACTTGAGACTTAAAAACTTACCACAATCCAAGGAAGTGTTAATTCACGCAGCCACTGCTGTCATCAAGGTGCTGGGCCGAGGGGCAAACTTGAGCTTGTTAACAGAATTTATTCCTGAAAGAGCTGCAATAGGCCAAAACATAATTGGATCTCAAAAGTTTTTGAGAAGAATAATGAATGATGTTAAGAAGAATGTTCTTGTGTAACTTATGGAAGCAGAAGAACCCTTGAGCTTAGTAATATTCAGAGGCATGGAGTCTAGTCCAACAGTTTTAATTTGCAAATTTAAAAATCCAGGCTCAAAGTGTTCTCCAGCATGTCACAACTTGTTTCAACGTGCAGCAGCATTAATCTCAACATTGTCTAAACTAGTCTTGTTCTAGAAGGCTACAACTTAGGAGAATGCATTAATACGCATTAGCCAGAAAGGAAGTAACCGTGACTTGAAGCAAAGAAATTAGTATCAAGTTTATGTGAAGTCTAATGTTCAGGGAAAATTTAAATACATAAAAAAGGGACTTTTGGAATGAAATGACATCAAACGTGAGTGTGGCATGAAATTAAAATTAAACAAGATCTAGAAGATATCAGAGACAATCCAAGGGAGAAGTCAGTCACTTACAGAACCCTGAAAAAGGTAAGATCCGTGAATTTAGCCAACTGCTAAGTACTGGGAGAAGGACGGAAGGGTTAACTTGAGAGAGTGCATGGCGTGTGCTGAAGGACAGCTTGAACCCAAGGTGAGCTCTCTGAGATCTGTACCATGAAGCTGAGTGACAAGTGGAGAAATCATAAGGCCGAGCATTCGTTCTGGTCTTTCAAAGGAAACTGGACAAAAATAGCCTGCGTTTGAGGAAAACTAATCGGCGATGAAAGGTGGTGTTTTCTCTGTGACCCCGAAACAAAGTGTCAGAGTTTTCCCTGGAAAATTACAACATTCCTAAGATCCCCAAAACTGCACATGTCAAAATCCTAAATAAAGAGCACATGGCTTTGTTCCTCTGACATCTGTGTATTGCTCCATCCAGGAGGTGGAAAAGTCCATCCCTGCCAACGTGCTCATGTCCTGGAGGGTGTGAAGGATGCTTCACTACGCACAGCTGAATGGGGCCCACCGGCTGCTGGCCTCCCATGGTGGGGGCCTGGTGGATGGGGGGTTTCTGAGAAACCATTTCTGGCCAAAATCTATTAGCAGATTTATCACTTAGCTCATGAAGATGTTAGCAGGTGTTACACACAAAAACTAGATTGTGGTCCCGTGACTTTAGAAAATCCAACCACATCGGTTGCTTTGTTACATAATTTATTAGAACTTTCAATATAAAATTTGAAACAAACCCCAAGAAGAGAAAATGTGCGTCTCCTGCAAACAGATCCGACCCCAAAGCCTATTCCCCTGAGCACCATTCAGGGCTGGTTCCATAGAACGTCCCGCCAAGGGCCTTGCTTAATGAAGGCCTTCATCCAAACACCTTGGGCAATTCCAGTAAACCCAACCCACCGTTGACTGTCTTCAAAACACTATGCTACCACTGCTTAAATCAATTCCGAAGGAGGAGCCACCAAGGTTCTTCAGAGTGCAGGACACTCATCTCGGTCAATCTACGCAAATAACCCTGTCTGCCACGTAAGGACGGGAGAATGATCGCCTGCGTCTCTTTCCTCTCTCTGCTGACACAGGCGTCAACCTACAAGGACAAAGGGCATAGGAAAGGCGGGGACGGCAGGTGAGAGGGTTCAACGCTACTGGCTCAGCAGCCTGGAAGGAGACGAGGCGTGGCTAGTGTCTCAGCAGAGGAGGCAGCTACATCCCAGAGGCTTGCAGAAGGGTTCTCCAGAGAACAGTTGATGTGCAGGGCCTCTAAGGCCTGCAAAGGACCTGGAGCCCAGGGGCGTCCCCTTGAGGAAGAGGGGAAAGTGGGGATAAGACAAGGTAGGGTGACTCAAAGTCTTCACCTGGCCAGAGAGAGCCCCTGCTCCTGCCTGCACAGCAGGTGGCCATGCCCTTGGCTCCACTGCAGGGAGGAGTGAGGACGGTGATTCTTTGGAGAACTGGAGGACTTGGTTATGTGGCTGAAGGGTGAGGCACGAGTTTTAAAACAAAGGGATTAAGTAAAATTCTGCAGTACTGACGAGGTGGGAGTCCTGCTTCCCTACCCTGCGTTCAGGAAGCTGACAGCCAGCCTTCATCCCTAAGGCAGAAGACTAGGGGGTTCTACTCAAGGAAAATGGAATAGTTCTGAATAAGACTGGGCCTGGGATTCAGGGTATTTCTCCCCAGGCCTCAGTGAGGCCCACCAGCTGACAAGTCCATCTCATCAACACAGCTGCTGTGTTTTCTATGGAGCTGATTTGGCTACATGATTGAATGTATCCAGGGGTCATCAAAAATTCTAGGAAAGCTTCTAATATAAAAGGGAATGCCTAAAACAAACAAACAGGGGAAGATAAAGAAAGAAATGACATTTGAAGGAAACAGAGGCAATGCAAAGAGCAGAAGAAAACTTTAAAAAAAAATCCAATAAATATTTTCAGGGAGCTAAGAGAAGATGCTACACCCCCAAACAGAATACTATATATAAAAATGGAACAATTAGAGAATAAAAATAAATTTTGGAAATCAGATAAGGTAGGCAAAATTTAAAATTTAATAGAAAGGGTAAAGGATGATGTTCAGAAAATCTCCCAGAATGTGGAATTAAATCACAAAAGAAGAATAGGAGGGAAACTTTTTTTTTTTTTAAGTTAGGCAATCTAGGAGATCCAACACCCAACAAATTGCAGTTCTAGAAAAGAGTAAATCGAGAGGATTTAGAGAGAGTAAATTGAGAGGAGGATTTATCCCAGAACATTACAGGAAAAGTCCCCAGACTGAAGGATGTGAGCCTTCATATGGAAAAGGCCTGCTGAATGCCCCACATAGTGAATCAAAACAGCCACACCAATGCACATGATCAAGAAATTTCAGAATCTCCAGAATAAAGAGAGGATTCTGAAAGCTTCCAGAAAAAAAAAAAGGGTCACACAAAAATAATTCACAGGGCAGGGTATGGTGGCTCATGCCTGTAATCCCAGCACTTTGGGAAGCCGAGATAGGTGGATCACCTGAGGTCAGGAGTTTGAGACCAGCTTGGCCAACATGGTGAAACCCCGTCTCTACTAAAAAATACAAAAATTAGTTGGGTGCAGTGGCAGGCGCCTGTAATCCCAGCTACTCAGGAGGCTGAGGCAAAAGAATCACTTGAGCCTGGGAGGCGGAAGTTGCAGCGAGCCAAGATTGCACCATTGCACTCCAGCCTGGGAGACTGAGCAAGACTCTGTCTCAAAATAATAATAATAATAATAATAATAATAATTCAACTACAAATAAAGGAATCATCAGAGTCTTCTCTGAGCAACACTGGAGGCTGGAAGATGCTAGAACAAGCCTTTAAAATTTGGAGGGAAAAGTGCCATTCAACCTAAAATATTCTACTTGTTAACAACACACCAGGGGTTTGGTCTGGGTCCTGCTGCTCCCAGCACAGAAAGTCAATCACTGAGACAACAAGTATTGCCAGGGAAGAAGGCTCTAACTGGGTGCTGCAGCTGAGGAGATGGGAGCTCATTCTCAAATCCATCTCCTTGATTGACTAAAATTGAGGGCTTACATAGCGGGGAAAGAATGTAACTACAGGCAGCTAAACAGGAATTGGGGAGAGGTAAGGAGATGAAAAAGAATGAGGGGTCTGGCTTTTCATTGTCTGGATGTGGTGATCTGGTGAGTTTCAGTTCCTTGATACTATCTGGGAGGCCTGAGAGTTGGCTTCCTGGGGAAGGAACTCAGATAAGATGGATGGAAGTTGTCAATTATAAAGGTAATTGACTGTGAGGGTGGATTTCTATGTTTATTTTAAAAGACTGTGAACTTCAGTTCTCTGAGGCAATTGAGTGTGGTTCAGACCCAGGAAAAAGTATCAGTCAAGTGAGAGGGTACAATAATGGCATTTTTAAGTGTGCATGACTTTAATAGGTTACTTTACATGGCCCTTTCCTAGGAAACTGCTGGAGGGTACACTGTAGCAAAACTGGAGAGTAAACCAAGAAAGAGGAAGACAAATTATCCAGGAAATGCGATCCCAAAGACAAGATAATCAAGCACATCAAGATTATAGCAAGGAGAGACTTCCCATACCAACAGCCAGGAATCCAGGCTGAAGCAGGAGGATGGAAATCTTTCTGAAAAACAAGAAACTGGTATGTTTGCGTGCATGGAAATGTATTGATAAACAGGTGATGGATTGGAGAACTGGGGCAAATATTTTTTAAAGGTTACAGGAAAAAAGACAATTGAGAAAATACGACAATCAGCTTCAGAAAAATGGAAGGTACACGGAAGAAAAGAGGTATGGACTTGATTTGCTACCTTGGTTCAACCTGTTTTAATGAGATAAATGCTAATGTCTGACAACAGCTATGATTACAACCCTGGGAAGGTGAGAGAGGGGATGTGTATGCGTCTGATGATGGGGAGGGCTAAGCTCACCTCACTGTGGTGGGAGGAAAATGCAGGACGCCTAAGTACGATCTGCTGAGCAAGAGCAGTGGACACTATTGATTTAGATGCTCGGAGGGAAATCCGGGGAATGGCCGCAGCTCTGAAGTTGGTTGCCTTTGGGGAGCGAGACTGATGGGTGCAGAGGGATGGGCCAGAGACTGCTGCTGCTTTTCATTCTGGGCCTTTAGTGGTCTTTGGATTTTTAAATTATGCTCATGTGTGACTTTGTTTAAAAATGAAAATGAAAATGAAGACATATGCATCTAAAGCTGCCCAAGCTGCGTTTCTTTATGGTTACTCCTTAAACCCCCCAAGACTTTTTAGGCTGTTTGCAGAAAGCACACTGCTCGTGTCTTCCCGCCATCAGCAGATGCTGGGATGAACAATTAATACTCCAAGTGGAGCCTCCCTTCGTTCCGAAGCAAGGCTCTTCAAACTGGAGGCACACAGGCAGGAAGGCTCGAGGGATCCGTCTTCAAGCTTCTGTTCCTCGTTCTCTCCCAGGAGCTGGCTGTCCTGGGAGCACCCCTGTTGCAGGGATCCCGCCCTCCCCTCACCTCTCAGGCCCAAATCCCTCTCTGTGTTCACCTGAGGTCAAACCCCGGGGCCATCAGACAAGGCTACAAGGCTGGCTTGTATACCTTTCCTTTCAAGATGCTCCGAAAGCTGTGGCAGGACTTGTGTCTCTCCCTGCCTCAGTCACGCTTCTGTTAGAGGAGGGCTACTTTAGCCTGTGTCAGGACATTCTGAATGTAGATACACTACTGAGGGACAGCAGGAAGGGTGACGGTATTTGTGTGATGCCCTTCCCGCCTCCTTCCCTAAATTATTGTTTGAGGAAGAATCCCCCGTGAGCAGAGCACCAGTGAGAAAGGCTGGGGCCCTGGCTCTGCCTGCACCCATGGGCGCTGGGCTCCTTCCTGACCCGGCGTTCCGTGGGGATTAGGATTAGACAGCAGCAGGGCTGTCAGGAACGCATCACTGACTTGTTTATTTGAATATTGAATGGAAAAATAAAGTTAGTTTTTTTAATAGCGAAAGGTAAGTCTGGCTTGGTTGATTTGACAATGAGGACTCTACCAATTTGTTTTTATGGGAACATTTTGCATAATAATACAAACTATTTCTGTGGCTCCAGTTTTGACAAAATGTATTTCAAGCCCATAAGACAAAAAGCATTCTTTCTTTTTCTTTTTTTCTTTTTTTTGAGACAGGGTCTCACTTTATCACCCAGGCTGGAGTGCAGTGACGTGATCTCGGCTCACTGCAACCTCCGCCTCCCGGGTTCAAGTGATTCTCAGGCCACAGTCTCCAGAGTAGCTGAGATTATGGGTGAGCGCCACCACACCTGACCGATTTTTGTATTTTGTATTTTCAGTACAACGGGGTTTCACCATGTTGGCCAGGCTGGTCTCGAACTCCTTCCTGACCTCAAGTGATCTGCCTGCCCTGGCCTCCCAAAGTGCTGGGATTAGAGGTGTGAGCCACGCACCTGGCCTAAAAAGCATTCTTTCAAAAACAGTCTTTGGGAAAAGGCTTATTGACATGATTCGGTGTTTCCATTTTCTCAATCCTTTCTGAGCATAAGCAGCTAGACAGGGGCCTTAAATAAGAGAGTAAAAGGTAAAAATTAATATTCATTTGATAAATCTTGGTAAGGCCTTTTTACAATGATTCCCAGAAGTGGAGAACATGAGTGACTCAGCCCTGGGGAAAGGATGGGTGTCCAACCTTTCGCTTCCCTGGGCCACACTGAAAGAAGAATTGTCTTGGGCCACACATGAAACACACAAACACTCACGATAGCTGATGAGTTAAGAAAAAAAAAAAAAAGGTCTGTGCATAATTTTCGTGGTATCCACCACCACAGATAAGCAAAAGAGTCCTTGCATTCCAAGGGTTGGACATGGGTGAAACTTGAAACCATCAATTTCAAATTCTTTTACTACTCAGTAAAATTGAAGGCAGGTGTACTTGAGTTGTCTTTGGATAGAATTGAAATGGTGATTGCTAATGGTTCCCCATGTGATTTCTAGTACATCATTTGGAAGAAGTTGGAAGAACCAGCGACATCGTCCCATCAAAGCTGCCTCCATTTCCGTCTCCTTGTTTATGTGGGTAAGTTGTCTTGACATTTATATCTATACAAATAAAAAAAAAGCAGGGATAAAATTCATGTTGAACTCTGGCTCATTCTACAGAAAAATAATATTCATCTATGGATACTTAAAATAATAAGCGAGACTTAAAAGTAAATAACAGTCTTACTCATCTCATTAATGGACTTATTGCCTATAAAATATTATCTTAATGTTTATAAAAACTGTAAGGCATTGAAGAATAATTTGTGATCAGTGGAAATAAGAACATCTATAATTTCTGTATATTTATATATATTCTTTTTACACAAAAGTATGATAGGGTAATCAATAAATGATTTTCAAATATAAACATGTATTACATTAGAATAAAATCCTATGGAGGAGATGGAATAGAAACACCAGTTCAGAGATTAAAAAACAGTATGAAATTTTTGACTCTTAAGGAAGAAATGGTTCTTGTATTTTGAATATGGGCGATCACAGCTATCAAATGGTGCTGACATTAAATGGTTAGTGCATTTAAGACACTAACGTAATGATTTTGCATAAAATTTTCTTTTGCATACATTGAAAATAACAAAAATTTTAGATGACAACTTGTGGCAGGCCAGGTGTCACTAACGCAGGCCTCCATAACAACTGTCTCGGCACCGACTGAGTGGTTCAGTCAAACATTAAAAGCTGAGAGAGCCAGTGCCCTCATACAAAGGCTGGAGTGTAACAAAAGCCCACCAAGAGTTTTGCCTAGACCTTTCCTGGGCCTTAAATCATGACAAAATAATGAGGGAATTCTTAACAGAAACCATTTAGGATTAAACAAGTTTTATTGGTGGTCTGAAAAAACTCCCCAGGCCTCCAGAAACAAGTTTATTGGGGGTCTGAAGAAACTCCCCAAACCTCCGTAATTTAGCAGGAGACAAGATAAGGGCAATCATCCCAGCACCTGGACCCATTTAGATTAAGTAAGTTTACTGAGGCGCCAGTGGAAGGTCTTAAAGACTCAGACCTTAGTTACAGATTAAAAGAAGTGAATCACTCATGTCTTTAGATAAATGCACACTTACATGTATACATATAGCTTAGAAGGTATATAAGCTCTGGAAAACTCTGGAAAACTCTGTAATTTTGAGTTGGCTTGGAGATAATTTCCAGGCCTTCTCCCTGTAACTGGGTACAGAAATTAAAACTCCCTTCTCTCCCAGTTCATCTGCATCTCATTATTGGGCTGCAAGAATTAGCAGCCCGACCCTCGGTTTGGTCCGGGAACAAACTTAAAAACGTGGGAGCAGATATACGGTTTTTAAAAATCCTATAAGGGGATTACATAAACAAAAATGTTTGAAGAGTATAATTCTAAACTGTTTGATCTTTTACCTTTTCAGATCATGTTCAGGTTATCAGTTGCTGTGTAAGAAATATAGAATGGCATAAAACAACAAGTACATATTTTATTGTAGACAGTTATTGTAAGTATTTTTTCCTTATAGTTCTACAGTTCTGGGGTCACTGGCCTCAGCCAGGTGTTCTTGCTCAGGTCTTTTAGGCAGGTGTGGTCAGGTGGTGGCCAGGGCTGGAGACAACTCAAAGGCTTCCTCACACAGGCGTCTGATGGGTGGCGGTGGCTGTCAGCGGGGATGGCAGCTACTGGTGGCAACCCCTACTCATGGTCTCTTTCTGCAGCCTGGGCTTCCTCACAAAATGGTGTCTGTATGCCAAATAAACGATTTTTGGAACGTCCAGAGAAAGAGAACCAGGCAGAGGTCATATTACCTGTTAAGACCTAATCTTGGAAGGCACAGAGGGTCACTTCCTTTCTTTGCATCTGTGAAAGGGAAATACATCTTGGGGCCTCAGAATCACTAAGCTAAAGGGAAAAGTCAAGCTGGAAACTGCGTAGGGCAAACCTGCCTCCCTGTCTATTTAAAGTCACCTCTCTGCTCACTGGAATAAATGCATATCTGACTGCCTCCTTTGGAGAAGCTCATCAGAAACTCAAAAGATGCGACCTTTTGTCTCTTATCTACCTATGACCCGGAAGCCCCCTCCCCGCTTTGAGTCATCCCGCATTTGCTTTGAGTTTTCTCGCCTTTCTGGACCGAACCAATGTTCCTCTTAGGAATGTGGGTTGATGTCTCACGTCTCCCTAAAATGTATAAAACCAAACCATGCTCTGATGACCTTAGGCACATGTCATCAGGACCTCCTGAGGCTGTGTCATGGGTGCACATCCTCAATCTGGGCAAAATAAACTTTCTAAATTAACGGAGACCCGTCTCCAATATTCGGGGTTCACACATCCTAGTGGAGGCAATCACGAAGTCCAGCTCGGCTTCAAGGGCAAAAGACAGAGACGCCTCGCTCCTGTTGCAGGAGTGGTGGCAAGGTTCTAGAAGAGCATGTGGGGCCAGAAATATTTTTGCAGCCACAGATGTATAAACGGCCACAGATCACTGTAGGGAGAAGGAAGACAAATGCCTCCTACGGACTGATTCCCTCGTGGCAGGAAATGAAATGGAAAAAGACCTCTGCTCCACGCTGGATGTGTCTCAGCTTGATTTTCAAGAGCTGCACATCTAGGGCAGGAGAGGGGGTTATAGATTGCGGAATGGAGCTGAAAGGATCCCTTCTTTTGCTTCCAGTGAGACTGAGCGCCAGGTTTTGCAAACGCTCGCTTGCACCTCACAGGGAACAGCAGAGAAAGGGGTAAGATGCCAACAGCCGCGATCGCTACCACCGCTGTCACCAGCTTTGTGTCTAACGTTGCTTCTGTGGGGTTAGCATAGGGCAGGAAACTGTCTTGGTGGAAAACATTTGAAATCAAGTAGGAATTTTCCTTCAACACTGAGGCCTTCAGCTTCTTTTGGTATCTAATTGCCTCCATTCACCTCCCCCAACCCACAGTGATTTTCACTTAGTTGGAAAATGTCAGTTAAAATTCACACCCTTACTATAGTGAAAGAGATGTAAAAAATAGAAATGGCGTTCTTTCCCGACACTGTCACCGTCTCTTGCATGTGGCTTCCAGTAAGAGTGTTTTTTTCTTTCTATTTCACTGATGATTTGGCTGTGGAATCTCAGAAATCTTGGGCTCTTGCCTATAACTAAGAATATAAAGGCCTTCCACGGAAAATGTTGAAGTATATAAAAATCTTCAATATATGCTATTTTTGGATTGCATATCAACATAAGATTTAGGATTCAAGTGCCTCGCTTTTTCTATCTAGATGTTACCAAAAGACGACCACCTTCCTAGGCTGAAACGTGTGGAAATGGCCCGTGGCATCTTCAACATTTCCAGAACGTGGCTTCTTTTGTCCACATTGACCAAGCACTAGGCGTGAAGGTGTAACCTTCAATTGTGAGATTGAAGAATGCCATCAGCTGCGTGTATGCTTCCAGTAATTAAAAGAATTCCCCACAAAAAAGCTTCATGCATAAGGCAGGGAGGGGTACAAAACTCCTGAACTGTATCCTTGGCATTTAGACCTCGAAACTCATTTCACCTTTTCATTCTGCTTATTCTTAGGATAATCATTTCAAGAGCAGAACTTGTTTTGTTTTGTTTTGAGTGGGACAGGGTCTCATTCTATGACCCAGACTGGAGAGCAGTGGTACAATCAGGGCTCACTGCAGCCTCAACTTCCCTGGGCTCAGGTCATCCTCCTACCTCAGCCTCTTGAGTAGCTGGGACTCCAAGCACACACCACCATGCCTGGCTAATTTTTGTATTTTTTTTTTTTTGTAGAGACAGGATTTTACCAGGTTCTCCAGGCTATCCTCAAACTCGCTCAGGATTGCTCAAGCAATCCTCCCACCTCAGCCTCCTGAAGTGCTGGGATTGCAGGCATGAGCCACCAGGCCTGGCACAAAACATTTAATAGTACGGTTTTCTGGCCAGGTGCAGTGGCTCATGCCTGTAATCCCAGCACTTTGGGAGGCCGAGGCAGGCGGATCACGAGATCAGGAGATCGAGACCATCCTGGCTAACACGGTGAAACCCCATCTCTACTAAAATTACAAAAAATTAGCCGGGTGTGGCGGTGGGTGCCTGTAGTCCCAGCTACTAGGGAGGCTGAGGCACGAGAATGGCGTGAACCCAGGAGGCGGAGCTTGCAGTGAGCCGAGATCGCGCCACTGCACTCCAGCCTGGGTGACAGAGTGAGACCCCGTCTCAAAAAAAAAAAAAAGTATGGTTTTCTACATAGAAATATATACATTCTATTTACATATGTATATACATTTCATAATGGCAAGGAGAATTTGGACATATCTGATAGACTATATATGACAAAATAATATATATCATATTTAATAATATAATATATATTATATATAATATATAATAAAAATACATATCTTCTAGATACGCCAAAATTCTCCCTGCCATTGTAGAAGCAGAAATACTATATTATTATCTACGTCAGCTCAAGTTCCCACGGATAGGTGTTTCAATCAGCTGGGATAATACTTGGAAAAAGTAAAAGGCTCTAATGAGTTATGATATCCACAATATGTGGTCACTTAATATTGCTAGTTTCTTGGGTTAAAAAAACCAAGTTAATTGTGATCTAGTAGATAAGTTTGAAATATCTTGGCTATAACTAAAAAAGACACATATAAACCATTGACATCTAGACATTTCAGCAGCTGGAGGGAATGCCAGCATAATTCCTAAATCGAGAGTTTTAGTGACAAAGCAAGATATGCCTGGAGGAGTTGCATGGCCAAAATTATCTCTGCCATTTCCACCAAATGTTTCTGCAGAGCATTTAAAATGGTGTCTGCAGTAGGAAGTTAGCCATTTCTTAAAGAGGCATTTCCTACTTGTGAGACCTACGGGATATAGCACTTGCTCGTGATTATGGGGTGTCTAGGCGGATTTCCATCAGCAGTGAAGGAATCCAGGACATCCGGCCTGGTCCTGATTCCATTCCATTCCATAGCCCGACGTTTTTCATAAAAATACCTGTGGTGGCCAGCCTCCAAGATGGCCTCCCTGTCTCCTGCTGTTCACAGCCCACACCCTACATACCACGGTTGGTCTGTGTGACCAACAGTGATGGCAGGTCACTTAACTTCTAAGATTAGGTTATAAAAGAGTACAGTTTGGGCACAGTGGCTCATGCCTGTAATCCCAGCACTTTGGGAGACTGAATTGGGAGGATCGCTTGAGCCCAGGAATTCAAGACCAGCCTGGGCAACATGGTGAGACCTTGTCTCCACAAAAAAGTTTAAAACTTAGCCAGGCCGGGAAGTTGAGGCTGCAGTGAGCTGTGATTGTACCACTGCATTCTGTCAAGGGCGACAGAGTGAGACCCTGTCTCAAAAAAAAAAAAAGGTGGATGAACTATAAAGAAAAAAAAAGTGCTTTGCTTTCAACACACACACACACACACACACACACACACACACACACACACACACACACCCAGGCATGTTTCCTCAGGGAAGCTGCATGAATCAACTCTATTGTGGTCTGTGGACTGGAATATAAGCATGGGCTTGTAGCACAGGTGAGTCTGGAAAGACTGAGCCCAGATTCACCTGGACCTCTAAGGCCTAGAACACTCACGTGAGAATCTCAGCTAGCTACTGTGCCAGCCGTTATGTGTCTGAAGCAAGGTCAAAACCAAACTCAGGATGAATCACCCATGGTCCACATTCTTGCAGCACAGTCTTTACTCCTGCGTGGCACACACGCTGACTTGCACGGTGCTCAGTTGTGGTGGCACCTCTCCCCGCACCTGAGCTCCTTATGCTCATCTTACACCAGCACCCGGGGTGCACAGTGTTTGCTGGGCTCCAGGACTCATTCGAATGTCACCTCAGGTCATGGCAAAAATCTCAGGTGGGCTGTGCGGCTAGAATTTGGATGGAAAGGGCCTTGAGGAGTGAATTGGAGCTTGAGCTTCCATCTCGTGCAGGAAGTTCTTCCTCTGCAGCATCCCTGATGCAGGACCCTGTGGCCCCTCCTGGAGCCTGTCTAGGGCAGGAACTCAGTGCTCATGAAGGTCTGATCCAGTCCAGTGCATTTATTCACACACTCAACACATGTATTGCCTGCTTACCATGTGCCAGGCACTGTGCTAGACCCTGGGATACGGCAGCCTGTTAGGCAGACCAAACTGCTGTCACCTGTTAACCCCAGTCAGGCATGGAACTTCATTGCTGTGGCCCATCTGTGTCCCCCAACACTCATGTGTTGAAAATTTAATCCCCAGTGAAGCAGTGTTGAGAGGTGGGACTTTTAAGAGCTGATTAGGTCATGGGGACTCTGTTGTTATTTGGGAGGAAGCTTAGTGGAGGGTGGGTTTGTTATCCAAGCAAGTTTGACTTGAATTCACTCTCTCTTGCTCTCCTACTGTATAAGCCCATTCTCACATTGCTATAAAGAACTACCTGAGACTGGGTAATTTATAAAGAAAAGATGTTTAATTGGCACATGGTTCCACAGAAAGCTTGGCTGGGGAGGCCTCAGGAAGCTTATAATTACGGCAGGAGGTGAAGGGGAAGCCGGCACATCCTATATGGCTGGAGCAGGAGGAAGAGAGCGAAGGGGGAGGTGCTACACACTTTTACACAACCAGATCTTGTGAGAACTCACTATCACAAGAACAGCAAGGAGGAAATCCACCCCCATGACCCAATCACCTCCCACCTGACCCCTCCTCCAACAGTGAGGATTACAATTGAACATGAGATTTGGGTGGGGACACAGATCCAAACTATATCATCCACCTTCTGCATGGGAGGACACAACCCTTACCAGATGCTGGTGCCATGCTGTCGAATTTCCCAGCCTCCAGAACCATAAGTCAAATAAATTTCTGTTCATTATAAATTACCCCATCTGTGGTATTCTCTTATAGCAACATAAAGTGGACAAGATGCTCATTATGAATGCTTAATTTGGGAGAGGAACATCTTCTGTAGTTGAGGGAACTCCCAGCTTCCGTGCTTCCTCGTGGCAGTGGAAGATAGCCCATCACATTCCTGATCCTCACTTTAAAAAGTGGCAGGTCCTCAGGCCACCCACCTCGGAACCTACAATGCCTGAGGCATTGGGAACTGCCCACCCTTCCTCTAAAGTAAGCCCCAAAGTGTCACAATCTGCAGAAACATTCAGGACTTAAGAGACACACTGCACTGTGTATGGATGTCAGGCCAGGTCTTTCCCATTACTCAGGGATCTTCATGAGAACTGGCTGTGAGAAACCACTTCCAATGTCCTCACTGACTGTGCAGGCTTGGTTGCATTTCCCTATGAGCAGGGGCAGTCATATGCATTCATTCTCAGGAAGAACACAGCCTGCATTAGTTTTCTGTCACTGCCATTATAAATCACCACAAACTGAGCAGCTTAGAATGACACAAATTTAGTGTCTTACAGTTCTGTAGATCGGGAGCCTGACACAGGTCTCGCAGGGTGTGGGTAGGGCTGTGCTCCTCCTGGAGGCTCTAGGAGAGAACTTGTTTCCTTGCCTTTTCCGGCTTCTAGAGGCCGCCTCCCTCTATCTACAAAGCCAGCAGTGTTGCAGTCTCTGACCCTTCCTCTGTGGCCTGCTCTAATTATGGACGAAAAAGGTCCTCTGTTTTTAAAGACTCCTGTGATTAGACTCAGCCTGCCTGATAATCCAAGAGAATCTCCCCAACCCAAATCTATGCCCTTAGTCTCGGTTGCAAAGTCCCTTTGTCATGTGAGGGGAACACATCAGGAGGTTCTGCAGATGAAGCCATGGACATCTTTGGGAGGATACTTCTGCCCGCCACACATGATTGTTTTCCTACCTCTCTCACTTGTCTCTGCAGCTTCACTGCTCAGGTTTTACTCCAGAATCCAATTTACTCCTAAATCAAAATTCAGGAAGTTTGTAAAGGATCACTTTCCCTGCACGGCATGGCCGGCTTTGCTCCTGTATGTCCTGCGAGCCCATGCTGGTCTCCCTCCTCTTCTATCACTATTGTGTTGCCTCCTCAGGCTTCTGCCCCTGAAGTTCCCATCTTTTCCTTGTCCAATGATCAGCCAGATGCCAGAGCCGCTCACTGGGCTCTGCCCCTCCAGCTCAGTGCTTTGATGCCACTCACCTGGCGTTGTGTGTTTCGCTGTGTCCTCCACTCCCAGTGGTTCCATTGAGGCAATTCTTGCTTCCTGCCATGTAATCATGGGTTTCAAGGCTGAGAACTTACATTCTCTCTCTCAATGTAGCACGGGGCACATAAATCCCTGATATTTGCTTTACTTTTTGACTGACTAACCAAAAAAATGATGAGAAGAGGACAAAAGACCTGGGGTGGAGATTCCGAGGACCAGGAATCAGGTTATGTAGGGGCTGCCTTAATGTTCGTTCCTCATTCAGTCGATCAGTGCTTGTGGTTAATTTTAGTACAAAAAATATTGGTTGATTATAAAATAATGCAGGTTAAATAACTTTTTTTTTTTTTTGAGACAGGGTCTCACTTTATCACACAGACTGGAGTACAGTGGCACGATCATGGCTCACTGCAGGCTCAAGTGATCCTCCCATCTCAGCCTCCCAAGTAGCTAGGACTACAGGCATGCCACCATGCCTGGCTTTTTTTTTTTTTTTTTTTAAATAGAGATAGGGTCTCATTTTGTTGTCCAGGCTGGTCTCCAACTCTTGGGCTCAAGTGATTCTCCTGCCTTGGCCTCTCAAAGTGCTGGGATTACAGGTGTGAACCACTGTGCCCAGCCAGGAATTTTTAGTAAACATTAAAATGGAAAAAAATCACCCACAGTCACAGCAAAGGGACCACTATTAGTTTTTCTTTCTTTCTTTTTTTTTTTCGAGACAGAGTTTTGTTGTTGTTGCCCAGGCTGGAGTGCAATGGTGCGATCTTCGCTCACCGCACCCTCTGCCTCCCAGGTTCAAGCGATTCTCCTGCCTCAGCCTCCTGAGTAGCTGGGATTACAGGCATGCGTCACTATGCCCGGCTGATTTTGTATTTTTAGTAGAGATGGGGTTTCTCCATGTTGGTCAGGCTGGTCTCAAACTCCTGACCTCAGGTGATCCGCCCACCTTGGCCTCCCAAAGTGCTGAGATCACAGGCATGAGCCACCGCGCCTGGCCACTGTTAGTTTTTAAAAATGTTTTCCTCCAGTCATATCTTGCTCCTACCCACATGTGCCCTCGCTGTATTATACACAGAAAAAAAGTGTGCATTTATTTAACAAAAACAGACCATTTCATGGGTAATTAATGAAATGAAAGGTGGAATAATGTATAAGAGAGTGCTATTGCAAGATATTTTAAAACTGAAAATGTGTATTTTGCAAAGGGAAAAAGTTCTGAGAAAGAGAAAATTGAATTATTTTTGAGTCCCTAGGATGACAACAGAAATGTGTGGTCAGGCCGGGCGCAGGGGGTCACGCCTGGAATCCCAGCACTTTGGGAGGCGGAGGCGGGTAGATCACCTGAGGTCAGGAGTTCAAGACCAGCCTGGCCAACGTGGCGAAACCATGTTAGCCGGGTGTGGTGCCGCGTGCCTATAATCCCAGCTACTCGGGAGGCTGAGACAGGAGAATTGCTTGAACCCAGGAGTCAGAGGTTGCAGTGAGCCGAGATAGTGCCATTGCACTCTAGCCTGGGTGACACAGAAAGACTCTGTCTCAAAAAAAAAAAAAAAAAAAGAAAGAAAGAAATGTGTGGTCAATGAGACATTCAACTTTGGGGTACATTGCAACGTGGTCATGATGACAGTTCTAAAATCCTAAGAGAAATAATCCAAATCAAGTATGGAAACAAATTAGCCTAATACGCTGAGTTTGTGCAAACAATACTTACCTTCAGTTTAGGAATGTGGTCTGCTTTGCAACAGCTTCTAAGAGTTGTGAAGTATGGCTTTTTTCTTCCTTTCCTCCCAGAAACTGCCCATATGATTGCTTAGTGAGTCAGTCCTCTGGGGAATGTCTTCATTTTACTCAGCCCTTTTGATATAGCGCTCCATAAAAAAGCAGCAGGGACAACCCGTCCCTCTATAACAAACGGGGTAAGCACTGGCGGAGGTACCTCTGATGCACACCATTCTATTCGTTTCCTTAGTTATAATATTTAGGTTGGTGCAAAATTATTTGCGGCGTTTGCCATTAAAAGTGATGGCAAAAACCACAAATAATTTTGCACCAACTTAATAATTACTACGAATAATTTCCGTTGCTGCAAAGCGATTGTGATAAAACAGGTTGTGATTAAAATTTTATAATGTGAAGTTTGGGTGCCGTGATTTTGACAACTTTATCTTGACACAGTATTATTAAATCAATAATAATAACAACAAATGTGTAACCTATAAACGAGAAACATTAAAAGAAATGTGGCTGCTAAATAGTTTGGTTCCATCACTCTCCTGCGCAAAGCTCTCCAAGGTCCCAGTTTACACAAAGTAAAGGCCAAAGCTCTTAGCGCGGCCTGTGAGGCTGGGTGTGATGGGCCTCCCCCATCCTGTCCGTTCTCCTCTCCTCGCACTGGGCCCCTGGCTGCCTTGCTCCGGCCCACTGTCCCCCACCATGCCCCACCGCTCCCCCACCACCCACCGCTCTCCCCCAGCCCTCTCCCCCACCAGCCCCCATCCCCCCACCTCCCCCCAACAGCTCTCCCCCACCCCCGTACCATCCCCCACCGTCCCACCACCCCCCAGCCCCCTCCCCTGCCCCCCATCAGCCCCCACCACTTCCCACCAGCCCTCCCCCACTCCCCGCCAGCCCCCACTGCCCCCACCGCCCCCCATCAGCCCCCCACCAGCTCCCAGCCCCCTCCACCCCCTCCCCGTCACCACTCCCACCGCCCCTCACTGCCTTCAGGTGGGACTTCCCTGGATGGCTGCTGCCGCCGGGCCTTTGCACGGGCCGCACCCACTGCCCGATTCCCCTTCCCGCAGATTCTGCGTGTTCGGCTGCTCCTGTTGTCCACGGTGCTCTCATGGAGCCTGGGGTACCAGTCAGGGCCCCGTCAGGAGACAGAAACCCCCCGAGCTCTCAGAGAGAGAGTAAGCTTGCTAACTAGCTAGAATGTGTTAACTGGGGAGCTGAACAGACAGCACTCCAAGCTGTCACCGAGGCAGTGCCGCAGGCAGCATGCCCCCCAGGATGAGGGAGCAGAGGGGAAAGGCGGGAGTGACTGAAGCTCAGAAGCTGGAGGAGGGTCCCTGTGCCTGGGACGTAGAGCCTCTATGCAGGGGCCGCAGGCTCAGGGACGGGGGCCATCAGGCTGGTCCTCTGAGTGTGGGGAAAAGCGCGGTCTGGATTCAGGCGCAGCCACAGGGAGGCCAGGGTGAAGAAGTGCTGGGCGGGGCTGCTGGGACCCCCAGGTGGACGGGAAGTCCCCGGGAAGCACACGGGCTGCGGCCGCTCCCATCCTCCCGCCGCCCCGCTGCGGCTGCTCTCTCACGCCCCCAACTGGCCATGCTAACCCGGAGTCGGCTGAGCTCTGCAGGGTCCCGGCGACCGGAGGTTGAGGACAGAAGACAACACCTTCATACTTCATAACTGGTCACCTAGGTTCTGTCTCCTCTTTTTCCCTGCTTTATTTGTCTTCGAATGCATATGAGACACACTCATGGTCTGTCTCCCATTGCTGGAATGCAAGTTCCACAGGGGCAGGGATCCCGGCTGTTTCATCCCAGTGTCGGCAGCACCTAGAGCCACGCCTGGCGTAGTCCCATGCATGTTTGCCGAATAAATTAATACATCAGTGTAACTCCATCGACACGTCAGAGACTTTCAGTGGCAAGAGGTGTCCCCGTTTTTGCAGGAGCAGCTCGCTAGGGTGGATGTTTTGTTCCTGTAGACAATAGATGATACAACAAAAATAATTAGCAGGAAGAGTCCTGCTTTTTACCCCTTGGCCTGTGTGAGCTGGCATTGCCCTGCAGCAAACGCGGTTTGCAGGGAGAGCACTCAAGGGCGTCTACTTGTTTGGGGATGATTCTCTAAAAGTCATTGTCAGGTACAAAGCCAGGACTTGACAAACTTGTCCAAAAATTTCCTTCCCAGTCAAGATATTTTTAGATTGAATCAACTTAACTGGTTTGGATTAAATTTAAACTTGAAATTTTCACTCTTTAAAATATTTTACTTCAGGCAATTAAAGTTTCAGTTGACATTTTTTAGAAGTCTTTTTTTTTTCCTCCCCTGGGAGGCTTTGGCGAACTCTGGTAAAATTACAACATTAAGAATGGCCTTGTCCTTTTCTCTGCCTAACTTGCTTCCATAGGATTTTTGAAACATCAAATATTGAAGAATTGTGTGCTTAAGAACTTTCTCTCAGAACTGATGAAACTTATTTAGAGCTTATTTAGAAGATTATGTTTGTAAAATAAAACTTACAGCGTTGTCCCTAGGTGGAGAATTAACTTAAAACTAAGACCACATTCCAAGAAGTGGCATAATCATATACGTGGAAGTACACACGCCATTCTACTTATAATGGCAGCAGGCAGAAGAGGAAGGGAAGCCAGGACGTTCCTAGGCTTCGGCCACTTTTCTTTGCTGCCAAATGCTAAGATCCATGCTAGGCGCCCCTGTCATAGCCATGCAGCGTCTCAGTAGGAGTGAAAGTAGTTCAGAGCCAGAAGGGCGGAGAGTTCAATTGCTGTCTCAGTCAAGGTCAATCTTGAGGAAGTGAATGAGGGTGCCAAGCAGTGTGTCAGGAGGCCAGGGCCTTTTCAGAGAGTTGGGCAGTGGGGGCATCTCTGTGCTCCAGTAGATAGAGGACTGGGTTATTTTTCTAACTTACTTATCACAAACATTCCCAAACATATGCAAAAGGAGTGAACGGAGGACACCTATGTGCCTGTCACTCAGTGGTGACAGCGGCAGCATTTCACTATATCTGGCTCATCCAGCCCTACTCCCTTTTTCTTTTTCTGGAGGATTTTAAAGCAAATATTATATATTATGTCATTTATCCTTACAAACTTCAGTATGCATCTCAAAAATACCAATTTCACACCTAAGGAAACAAAATCTTCACTATTATATAATACCCACCCCTCACTCAAATTTCCCCAGCAATCTAAAAAAAAAAAAAAAAAAAAAAAAAAAGTCCCTTTAGAGTTTCAGGATCCAGACAAAGCCCATCCGTTGCATGTGGTGGTGGTATTTTAAGTGTTTTCGGTGCTTGGCCTCTGCTTCTTCGTCATCGGCTTGTTGGAAAGGTTGGGCCAGTTGTCCAAGGATGCCCTGTTCCGGGTTTGTCTGAACACTTCCTGCGATCCCATTTCACTTGCTCTCTCCTGTTTCCCATTGACAAGAAGTTAGGTCTCAGGGATTGATGTTACCCCAGATTGAATTTTTACTCTTCTTTTCCCTAAGAATACTTCACAGGAAGTGTCGCTGGCGTCGATCATGTCCCATCGGGAGGCACCTCATGGCCAGTTGATTGGTTTTCTAGAGATTGATCAGTCGGTTCAGGTGATCATTTCTTTATTAACAGCCTGATTATTCTATTACAAAATTTCTCATCAACCTTACAATGTATGAGTTTACTAAACTTTGAAGATCATGGTCTAAATCAATTACTACTTTAGTTACCACATTACAGTGACTACACTCATCTTTAGGGATTCAACATGGTGACTCTCTAACTCTTGCAATCGTGGTTATCTGAAATCCAGCTCGTACTGGAAAGGCAGGAAAATGCTTAATTATTTCTCTTTAATTCTCCATTTTTAGAATGTGCTGGTGCCCTAGAAACCTCCATTGGTATCCAAAGCGTTTTTGCTTTATTTTTGTCTCCTCTTTATTTTTAGTCTTACTTCCTGTCCTAGATCGGGAATCAGCCATTTCTCCAAAAAACTCTGGTTCCTTTTAGTGGTGAGTGGTACTTGATCGTACAAACTGGTGTAAGCGGGTGCTTATTATCACCTGGTTGTCATTGCTTCTGGCATTTTCAGTGGAAAGCTATAAAAATATATTTTTAAAAAGAAACATGCATTTAAATTGATATTTTCAGTTCAAATGTAAGATTTCAGAGCTTTTACTTCTTGAACGTTATGCTGATGTTTCATTTCTCTTACATTGAAAATCTTGGTTCCTAATGACATTAGTATAATTACTTCTTTGCTTATCCTACAATATACATATAATAGTTCAAAAATAACAATACCAATATTATTACTAGCGATGTGGCTACTAAAGGAAGTTTATGATTTCTTTGCAGTTCTTTTTGTCCTTAGAATAGATCCACTGGGAATGTACAGTGAAACTGTCGAAGGTCAGTTGGGGTCATTTTTCCTCTGTGTGCGTATGTTACTAACTTGAGACGTAATTAGGTCCATTTGTTGTCATTTTTTTCTACTTACATATTGTTTTTTAAATGTAATTTGTAAAAAGTATTTACATATCTCAGTCAAAACTATATGACAATATACATTCAGAAATACCACATTTAATACAATATAATTGTAAAAATGGAGAATTAAAGAGAAATAATTAAGCATTTTCCTGACTTTTCAGTATGAGCTGGATTTCAGATAACCATAATTGAAACAGTTAGAAAGTCACGGAGTCTTTCTCTGTTGCCCAGGCTGGAGTGCAATGGTGCGATCTCAGCTCACTGCAACCTCTGCCTCCTGGGTTCAAGTGATTCTCCTGTCTCAGCCTTCCTAGTAGCTGAGATTACAGGCTCACACTGCCATGCCCGGGGGCTAATTTTTTTTTGTATTTTATTAGAGACACGGTTTTACCGTGTTGCCCAGGCTGCTCTTGAACTCCTGAGCTCAGGCAATCCACCCACCTCAGTCTCCCAACGTGTTAGGATTACAGGTGTGAGCCACCACGCCTGGCCACCATGCTGCAATTTCTAATGATGAATGTATTCACTGTAATGTGATAACTAAAGGAGTAGTCGATTTAGACAATGATCGTCAAAGTTTAGTAAACCCATTAAGTGAAAGATTGACACGGAATATACATTCAGAAATACTACACTCCCTTTCTAACATTGCTTCCTCCACTCTATTCTAGCCTCTCCCATCAATAACCATTTTTATTAATTTTAGTTTTTTCTTCCATTTCATTTCTCTGAAAATATAAACAAATATGAATCTATGTGTTACTATTACACCTTCCTTCTCATACAAAAGCTAGCACACCATATACACTGTTCTGTATTAGGCATTCTTCACCTGACGCTTTGTCCTGGAAAGCCCATGTCAGTATATAAAGATCTCCTCTTTGCGTTACATCACCATGTATTAGTATACTAGAGCTTTTCCAAACAGTCCCAAATTTGGGTTGTTTCTAGTCATTTGCTATTAAAAGCAATGCCAAATCTATTAACCTGGTGCATACAGTATTACATATTTTTGCAATGTAACTTTGGGATAGATTTCTAGGAGGGAGAAAGCTGGGTTAAAGAGTAAATGCATATGCAATTTTGCTAGATATCACCACATTCCTCTTTATAGGGGTCAGAGTATTTTATCATCAACAATATACAAGATTGTTTCCCTCACAGTCTTGTCAACAGAGTATATTGTCAAACTTTTGGATTTGTGCCCATTTGTTGGGTGAGAATTGTTATATAGTTTTTCATTTGCACTTGTCTTATTATGGGTGAAATTGGCCATCTTTTTGTATGCTTACAGGCTGTTGATTACTTTATCTGTGAACTCTATTGCTACTGTTTTCCTATTTCTAATTGTGTTGGATTTTTTCATCTTAATTTTTAAAACATGTATATGTGGGCTGGGTGCAGTGACTCAAACCTGTAATTCCAGCATTTTGGGAGGCCAAGGCAGGAGGAATGCTTGAGCCCAGGAGTTTGAGACCACCTGGGTAACATGGTGAAATCCTGTCTCTACAAAAAAAAAATAGAAAAAATTAGCCAGGCGTGGTGGTGCACACCTGTAGTCCCAGCTACTTAGGAGGCTGAGGTGAGAGGATCAACTGAGCCCAGGGAGGCTGAGGCTGCAGTGAGCTGTGATCAATGCCACTGCACTCCAGCCTGGGTGACAGAGAGACCCTGTCTGAAACCAAACAAAACATGTATATGTGCAGAATATTAGCTTGACTAAAAGCCTTTAAGAGAAGATATATCTAACATTCAAGTTGCTTGAACGTTTACTGTGACAGATTCCCTTCTACTGCCACAACCAGTTGATACAGTCTGCCATACTTGTTGGAACTTCTCTCTCTATCCTTTCTGTCTCTTACCTTGAGTTCATATTTATCTTATCTTTATCTCTCTGTGCTCATTCTGGGTAATTTTTTCAGGTTCATCTCCCAGTTCATTAATTCTCTCTCCAGTAGTTTTTAATCTGGGTTTTAACATTTTCATTGAGTTTTCACTTTCAATAACTATATGTAAGCACTTTGATGTTGTTCGTTTTCAAATCTGCCTATTCTTTTATATATAATACTGTATATTGTGATTTTTTATGTTCTTGCTTAATTTTTAAATTTCTTTAATCATCTTAGTTGTGCTTACTTTATAGCCATTTTAGATCTTTTGTTTCTAATCTTTCTCTTCATTTTAGCTACTGATTCTCTCATGGTAAATTGTTTTCAGTGTTTTTAAAATTTTTGAATTATAAACTGACTTTCACCCAACCGTGAAAATGTGAGAATTCTGTGTAGTCTGTATTGAGAAATTTTCTCTCCAGAGAAGAAGCTTTGCATGTGCCACTTCCAAGCACTCCAGGGGTATCACCAGCCAGAAACCCATTTTTGTGTTAATTTCTCAGCATCAAAATTTCTCAAACCAAGTGGGTAGTACATATTTGAATCTCCATTGCCCATAAGGGCATGTTTATGGGTAAAAATTTTCGGAGGAGATTTTCATTTCCCTCTTGAGCTCAGGTTCACACACAAGCTTCCTTATGATCTTCCTGAGCTAATGAGTATTATTTTTTTCTAATCAATAACCGACATTTCAGGCCTTCCAGGATCCTGGGTGGTAGTATCAGTTTCAATGCCCTGCTTCACAGGGTTGTAAAAACTTGTCTGTAATTCCTGTTTGGCCAATGCCCTAGTTTACTGGGATTGGTGCCCTCACTCAGGACTGCCACAAATGTGTGCATGCTCTTCCCACTGTCCTTCTGTTGCATCTTCCTTCAGGGCCTCTGGAAAATCTCCTTCCTTCCTTACAGTCTCAGGCGGTGCTCCTCATAATGCCTACTTTAGTCAGCAATAAACAAAACACATGTTGTTGAGCTTCTCAACTTATGCTGCCTCTGACTCAAATTATCTTTAATTAAATTAATTAATTAATTAGTTTTCTGAGACAGGGTCTCGCTCTGTCACTCAGGCTGCAGTGCAGTGGCACAATCATGCAGCCTTGACCTCCTGGGCTCAAGAGATCCTCCCACCTCAGCCTCCTGAGTAGCTGGGACTACAGGCGTGCACTACCACACCCAACTAACTTTTGTATTTTTAGTAGAGATGGGGTTTTGCCATGTTGCCCAGGCTGGTCTTGAACTCCAGGGCTCAAGCGATGCACCCACCTTGGCCTCCCAAAGTGCTGGGATTACAGGCGTGAGCCACTGCCCCTGGTCTTCAAAGTATCTTTATGATGAAATAGAAAAACATCCAACACCTTTTCTGGATCAGCATCCAGAAAGACACTCAAAGTCTGAAACCCCTTTTCCGGTAGCAAAATGCATCAAAAATTGGAAGGATGTATGGGGTGTCAAGCTGAAGGGGATTGGGATGGCTCTGCACCTGCCCTGCAGAGAGCCGCACAAATTATTAGCTGTGGATTTTAAAAGCTCTATAAAGCAGCTCCTTATTGACAAGAATATTATTTTCTATTAGAGTCTACATCTTCACCCTCTACTTGAAAGTCCTTTTTATGTTCCTGAAAAAGCGCTGGACTGAGTTCGTCTGCCCACTGCCTGGTTGTGTGCTGTTGGCTACTCAATGCTCACCTCTGAAATAGACAGACTACACGTTAGCCGACCTTCAGGGATGCACTCATGGCTTTGAACGCTAAAATTAAATGTAAACTGACCTGTACATTTATTGCTTGAGGTTAGTATGATCTTGATTCAAAAACCAGTTACAGACAACACAAGAAAGTAAATCACAGTTCCATTTCATTTTCAAAAATAAAATATTGGCTAACAGAATCCACGGTGGATATAAAAAGTAATAATATATGATGTTCACGTAGGAGTTATTTCAGAAATGCATGGCTAGTTCAGTATCAGAAATATCAGTGTAATCCACCAGACAAAAATAATATCAGTAAATGCAGTCAAAAGTATTTTACCAATTGACTCACGAATTATGATTTAAAATTCTCAAAAAAAAAAAAAAAAAAAAACCCCTTCCAACAAGCCTAGCAATTGAAAGGCTCTTCCAAAAATTGAGAAACAGTATCTATTACAACAGAAGCCTACAGTCACATCCTACTAAATGGAAGAAATGTGATCGATTCTCATTAGGATTTGGAATAAGAAAAGGAGGCCGACTCCCACCTCCCACTGCTTTAACTAACACTGGCGTTCTTGGTTAATAGTTATTAAGCAGTTCAGAAAAATTAAAACAAAATTTAACAAAACATCCAGGAAAGAGAAGGGAAAGCATTCTGGCTTTCATGTGACTTCACAATTCATTTATCCCCACAATCCAAGCATAGTCTCTTTGAGACTAGGATCCTGTCTGATCTTTTTAAAAATCTCTGGGACAGCACCTAGCATAGAGGTTGGCAGCAACTACTAATTTGCAAAAGGGGATCCTGTCTATGCTATGCAGTAGCAAAGATTACATGAGATCCACACGTGGAAACGGCTGTACACATGCTGGAGCAGCACTCATTTGGAAAGGCCGCACTCCCTGGCGTTTTCTCCCGGGACCTCCTCCACCCCACGGATTGCTCCTCGGGTTCCCAGTGCCCGGGCCCCAGGCCCACCAGGCCCCGCGCGAGAGCCGCCGTCCTCGTGTCGGCCAGCAGGTGGCGCCCGGGCTCCACGGCCGGAGTCGGGCAGCGCGGCTGGCGCCGCGGGAAGTCGCCTCCGAGAGGGGCTGCTGCGCCTCGGCTGCGGCTCCAGGGGTCCCGGGGCCAACGTCGCCAGCGGTGCCCGGCAGGGGCTCGAAAGGGCCCGGGCCGCCCCACAGTCCCGCCCGCACTGCTTCCGTCCGGGGACGCTCCCCAGGGCCGTCCGAGCGGACTACGCGCGGGTCCCCGTGGCTGGGGGGCGAGCGTGCGGCCGGCGTCTGCGCCTCTCCCGGAGGCGAGGCGGGGGTCGGGTTGGGACCAGAGCGCGCTTCCCTCCCCGCCGCGCAGAGGTCGGCCGGGGCCGCGGCTGGCGACAGGTGGCGGGGACCTGGGGGCCAGGTCCGCGGGTAGCCTGCGACGGGGAAGACGCCCCTACGGCCCTCAGGGCTTCCTCCGGGTATGATGATCAACCACACGACCGCCCCGCGCTGGCCCCGGCAGAGCCCAGTCCCCGGCGCGGGTCCGCAGGGCGATCCGGGCGGCCGCGGCTCCACGGCCCCCGCCCTCCTCCAGCGCCAGCGCCCGCGGGGAGCGATCGGGGGTCAGGGCGGGGAGACGCGCGGACTCCTCGGTGGCGCCGCCCGAACACCTGTTCCGCCCCAGGTGAGCTGCTGCCCCGCCCGGATCCCTTCCTCCCCCGGTTCGCGTCCACCTGGGACCCGCCTTCCAGAGCCTCCCAGCCCACCTCGCGCCCCGGGACTGAAAACGCAGACCAGTCTTGAGCACGTGGCCACCCGCGGTCTTTGGCTGGGAAAGGCTTCTGCCCGCTGCCTCTTCCTTCCAGTCCAGGGCGGCAGTCAAGGCTGAGGGCGATCGAAAAGTCCGGGAAAATGCGCCCGGCCCAGCCCCGTCTCCGGAGGCCCGGAGGTGGGTGGGGTGTGGCGGGGGGGCTACAGGTGTGGACGCAGGCGAAGCCAAGGAGGCCTCAGGAGCCCGGGGCCAGGTGACAGCTTAGTTCCCTGTGCAAACAGTAACCCTCGGGTGTTTCTGCCTTCCCTTAAACCTGAAATCATGTTCTGAATTCTGTACAGCCTCTTTTCTTCTCCTGATTAACTTTCATTTACTCCAGAGAAGCGTCTTAACGCCCACTCAGACAGGTAGTGCTTCCACACTCCCAGACTCAACTCATTCTTGGCTTTAAACTCAGCCCTGAGGCACAGAACCAAGCTTTCTCTTAAGGACTCGAGGCACTTCTGTGCTCAAAGCCTCCCCAGTCCCTGTCAACTCAGCCCTCTGCCTTACCACACATCTGATAAGATTCTCTGTACACAAGTAAAAGCTTCAGGGGTGCTGCTGGTGGGGGGATGAAGGAGAAGGGGATAAAGAAAACAATGTGTGTGTGTGTGTGTGGGGGGGGGGGCCGAGAGGGGGAGACAGGGAGAGAAAAGAGCTAGTGAATGCCAGAGATCTTAAAAACCACTCGGAATTCAGGTATTGACTTCAGACATGTTTTATTATAATCTTATACAGTCTACATAAATTTGAACTTGTATTTATTTGGGTTCAGTTATAACATAGCATAATAAAAATCAAAGCACTGGTCCTCTGAAATAAAGCAGGCAATCACCATTCAATAAACACACTTGATTTATTTTGTATAAAAGGGTTAAGTTTACAACTAAACTTTTATAAAAAGTTTAGCATGAATAAGTACATCATTACACTTTTGAATGCAGAAATAGACATCTCTGCCACTATACAAGAAAACTCTAATTAAAGAGTTCACAAGGTTTCACTCAAATAGATATATTTATATATAAATATATACACAGCATTCAGTAGGCTTGTGTCAAAAAGGTAATTTCTGACCAAAAGACTTCATTTAAGTGACTGAATACTGGATCCTTCTGGTATTCACGCTCCACCTTTGAAAAAAGGCAAAGTCTGCTTAGATTGGGCAATTCCTTGTGATTTTAACGTTTTCGCTCCCCATGGTGGGAATAGTATATAAAGAAAACCTTCCAACTGCAGAAAGGGCATTTAAAAGTCTTTTTCATAAATAACGAATATCACAGTCCAAGTAAGAGAACACCCTGGGAAGATGATCATTCTTAGTTTTCCTTCCATTTTTTTTTTCTTTTTAAAAAGGTCCATTCAACTTGTCCTCCTTGTGAAATGGTTGAAAAATAAGTTCAGCACTTAAAAGATTCCGTGAATTTGTTGTTGTTGTTGTTGTGCAAAGAATAAAAGAAATCATGAACACCTGCGAAAGAGTGGGGGAGAAAGGCATGTTTAAGAGAATGTAACCTAAGGGCAGAGGCGGGCGACTGGCGCCGGGAGGAAGCCACAGTTTGAACATTTAACCAAACACTCAAAGATTGGGCAAACCCTGGCGTCCAGATGCAACACACACACTCGCCTCGACAGCGCAAATTAAACATTAAAATAGCAGAGACTCAAGGGAAAAACTTCCCAACCCAATCTCCTATTTGGATCTCCAACAGCAGTGCTACAGGCGCCAGTCTGCTTCTCGTAACAATTATTTGATTGAAAACAGCCCTTTAGTTAACAGATAGGGAAGTCTGGGATCCCACATCACAGGGTTGAAGGCACAGGGTAGCAATCCTCAACTAGCCCAGAGAATCCCAGAGGACTATAGTTTTAGGGAAGGAGGATCACTATGGAATTTGTGGCGGTAAGATTAATTACAGTGGAGGTTAGTACCTCATAGTACCAGAGGACTCGTAGGAAGATCCAGGGCATTACATTTGCTACAAAGCCAATACACACGTTCCTCGGCCGCCTTCGTAGTAAGTTATTGGCATCATTTCCTTTTAAAGGAAAATGTTCTGTGATCTCGAGCACCCAAAGCTACAAGCTCCTTCATGTCTAGTGAGACAATGTAGTACGGGTAACACCGCGAAGTAAGCATGCATTTACCAAATCAGACATTTTATAGATACACAAGCAAAAACACATGCGCGCGCGCGCACACACACCGAGGGGCAGTTTACCCACGGGTGGCACAAGCAAACACTCACCGCTTATTCAGCCACACAGTGCTTTGCTGTCATTTGACATTAACTCAGAAGGGAATTCAGAAGCCTGGAAAGAAAGAGGATAAAGAGTACGAGGTTAAGACAATGTTAAGTAGAAAGGGTTTTTTTTTTTTTTTTTTTTTTTTTGTAGTCCACAGACCAGCAAGTTCCATTAAACACGTTTATGGTAACAATTCAGATTTAAAGACAGACGCATTAACATGTCAGAACTTACTAGCAATTTCACGCACAGCTCAATCTACAGCAGATTCTGAAGAAAATAAAGTTAAATAGCTCATACGAAAGTCACCGTCTGGGCTACGGATCTCCTAGTGACAGCCCAGACGACCGCGGGAGTGTGCGGCGGCGGGGCGGGGACCCCGGAGCAGGTCTTACCTGCAAGGACAGGATGCTGATATCCGTGTTGAGGGTGGTCAGCGGCGTCCTGGACGCCTGGTTCTGCCCGGGTCTCTGGTGATGCAGGCTGACAATAGTGGGATGCGAGTCCAGGGCGATCTGCAGGTCCAAGATGTAGTCGATGACGTGCTGCAGGATTTCCATCTTGCTCACCTTCTTGTTCTGGGGGATGCTGGGCACCAGCTCCTTGAGCTTGGAGTAGCAGTCGTTCATGTTGTATAGCAGGCTCATCGGGTCGTCCACAGGGGTTTTGCTCCGGGAGATGCCCAGGCTGTGGTCCGACAGGCTGTTTTTCCTAACGGACCTCACGGGACTGAAGGCTTTCATGCTGACCGCGAGGGAAGGCGAGACCGGGAGGGAGCTGGCTGCCCTGAAGCTCAGGCCGCCGCTGCCGCCTGCTGAGCTAGCTGCGCTTGGCACCGGGCTCGGCTCAGAATGAAGCCCGAGCCCGGCGGGGCGGCTTTTATCCGCACTCGCCGGGGCCACACGCTGGAGCTTCCCTTCGTCCCCATTGGCGGAAGGTGGCACGTCTATCAAGACGAGCGGGCGCTTCCATTGGTGGGCGCGGGCGCGGGGCGTGGGCTTGGTTCTTCCGCGTTCGCAGCCAATCCCCGCGGGGTGGGCGGGGCGCGAGCCCAGCTGGGGTGGTAAATAGAGTACAGTACAGTAAGTGCGGGGCTGGCGGGGGGCGGGGGGCGGGGAGCGGCGGGCGGGGGGCGGGGAGGAGGGAGGCGGGAGGAGGGAGAGGAGGAGGGAGGAGGAAGAGAAGGGAAGATGGGGGAGGGGAAGGGGGAGGGGAAGGGGGAGGGGAAGGAGGAGGGAGAAGGGGGCAGACCCTGGGCGCCTAAATATGCATTCTTAATTCTAATTCCAAGCGCGCGGCGGGACCCTTGCCCTGGGGGTGTTCCCAGACCAAGCCCTACACACCTTAGAGCTGTCGGCAGCTCTAAAATCACAGCTACACGGGCGAGTTCAGCACCGCAGGGGGGAAGCCACAGTTCACTGCAACCCATCGGAGGGAGAGCGTGAGGAAAGATAGAAAGCATTTCAGAAGAAAGTGAAAACGCAAATTAGGTTGTCACTGAAGAGTCACGTTTGTAGAGTGAGTTCGTCTCTTCAGATAAGGAAAAGTTATGTTAACACAAACAAACCACCCACGCACGCATTCGACGACAGGCTTAGTGTGGGCTTTTGCAACCCGGAGCAGCGCGGGAGGCATTACTGTAAACTCAAGAAAATGAGTACTTATTGCAAACCATGCCCAACCTCACCGGTCGCTAAGGAGCTCTCACAGGCAGGGCGCTTTCAGGGTTCCTTTTCAAGAAGGAGGCAGGGCTATTATAATGATCGTATTAATCGGAAATAATTAGGAGAATTTGCATATTGAAACTACATTTACATACACTGCCCTTGAAAGGCTGCCGGTCTGTGCCCTTCCGTGTAGGTGGCAAAGTAATGTGATTAATTATGCACTAATTGTGATTTCTGGTGTCACATTCCAACACCTAGAGGAGTTCCAAAGCTTTGTGACAGATAGGTGGCCCTAGCCATTGATAGACATCTTCACACTAAGGAAAAAAAAATATTCTGTCATATGAGGTTTGGAATCTTTTCAGCACTAGTACTGAATACGGGTTCAAGGTTTTTTTTTTTTTTTTTGGCTGAAAATCTTTTAAGAACTCGTTCTTTCAGTCTAAGTTTTAAAAAGTTTGCAGCTATTTACTTAAATACCTTAATTTTCACATAATTGTAGCTTATCTAGAATTCTGTTTTGACCACAGTGTGTCAGTTTCTTGTTTTTGAAAATATTTGCTCCAGAAAACAATGAACTAGAAAACTCCAGGAAAGGCAATATTCAAATCTTATTTACTTTCTGCCTCAATCTCTACCTCCTTTGCATTTCAGAAAGCGGAAGGGGCAGGCCTAGAAGCTGAAAGAAAAGCTCGATAATGGGGAAACAGTGTTTTTTCCTTCAATTAATGATTAATTTCTCAGCTGGTGGGGCCAGCAGTCTCTGACCGTCACGTGACAGCTATGCGCCCCATGACGCCTCTCCAGGGAGGCAGAGTGGGTGGCACTGAGGTGGAGCTCACCTTCCTGAAATTCAGCCCCCTCAGTTTGGAGGAAGGAGGTAAACTGTTTCCTGTCCAGCCAGAAGTTTGCGGAGGGCCTTCCCCAGGCCAGGCAATGCTGCCTGCGACTCTGTCCCTGACAGCGTTGGATGCACCGTATCTCTTCTGATATTAAGTCTGGAAGTGATTTACTATCCGAGTCCTCCCACAGTTCGAGCCTTTTGATGTACTTTGTGTGCATGTGTTTCTGTCACATACGTGCCACAGTGGAACAGATTTTGTTTTGACACTATTTTGGTTCATGATGTTATACTTTGACTATTTTACAATAATAGCCAATGTAAACAAACATCTTTGGGATTCTCAAATTATTACTTATGATTCTTGGACATTGCAGCTCTTCGATACTGACGCATTCCTAGCTTTTTCCAAGGACACCGTATGTTAACATCCGTGCCAGCCTCATTATCCCCACAGCCAGGCTCTGGGTTGGGCGGTAATGAGCATTGTGCGGTTTCACTTTACACTTTGCAAAGTTGATTAAGGCAGTGCCTTCTCCCATGATCATTTTTGTACCCTGATGTAGTAAAATGGCTAAATATGGTGAAAGTTTTCTGGTGTTTCTTTCTTTAGCTGCCATGTCAGAGTCCAGTCTGCCTGGCTGTGTTGAATTCGATTCTATTGGCACGCTACCCAGTTTTACATTCATTTAAAGATCATTTAAAGGGGATTACGAAGCTGTATAAGTTAATGATTTAAACGAGGCCTAAGTTACTAGTGTGTCTGTTTCAGCACGCCCAATATGAAATCACCTTAAAAATTGCTTTCGTGGGGGAAAATCGTGTCGGAGCATTTTCCAAGTGGGTTTAAAGGCAAGTCAAAATCTGTCAATTGGTGGCTTGGGTGGGTTTGCATTTGAGGCCTCCAAAGTTCAAACGGCCCCAGCTAGAGGGAGGGCTAGATCCGCGGGCGGTGGGAAGGTGTGCAGGGCTTCCGCTGGTGGGTGTTGGTGCGGTTCCCCTCGACTCCCCACCGGGACGCCCCCACCCCGTGGCAGCGACAGACCGGCCCGTAAGGTCCCCCAGCCTGGCTCCAGGACTCACTCACTCCGCCTCTAGGGCAGGCCCCGCGGCGGCTCTCGCGTCCGGGCCCCTCGCGGTAATCAGAAGCAGCTCCGGGCCGGGAGCTCCGCGCTGGCCAGGCCGCCTTTGCCACCCCCGCGTGATGCGCCGGGGGGCGGGAGGAGCCTGCGGGGGCGGGGGGCGCGTCTCAAGGTCCTCCCTGCACATCTGGCGCAATGGGGAGCGTTCGCCTTTCTTTCCCGGGTTTTGTTCTCACAGCTGTGTCCATTCCGCCCGTGACCCCGCGAGTGATCCCTGACAGGTGATGAATTGGCGGCGGCGGTGGCGGCGGCGGCGGCGCGCGGGCCAGGCCGCGGCGGGGCCGGAGCCGGAGCCCCGGAGCAGACTCTCTGGCGCCAGGCGCGTGACGCCGCCCATTCACGCCGCCCTGCAGCCTTGTCCTCGCGGCGCCGCTCAGGCGGCTGCCATGGCAACCGCGCCGTCACTCAGCGCGCGCGCCCAGCTGATCAATGCCTGCGAGGCCCGGCAGTCCCAGGCTCGCCCAGGCCCGGCCGCCGGCCCGCGCGCACCTGCAGACGCTGCACGTCTTAAGTTTCGAGTGATTTGGGGAAGGAAAGAGGACCGAGAAGAAAAGAAAAGGGCTCGGGGGGGGGGGGGGGTGGGCGGGTGAGGGGCGGAGGAGAGGACGAAGGAAAAAAGCCGGGAGAGGGAGAAGAAAGAAATCTTCCTTTTGCAAAAGGAGGCATAATGTGGCTTAGAGGTTGCCAAAGCAAAAGGTTTTGCTTTATTTTGTTTTTGCAACCGAGGCGTTCAGGGTGGGGCTGGCGCGAGGGAAGGGTGGATGGGGAGAAGGTCACTGTCTTAGCACATGGCGAGATTTATTTACTCCTTTGGATTATTTCGGTTTCTCGCCGAATGGCTTTGATCCTGGATTCCTAAAAATACCTTTGAAAGATTGAAAGACTCGCCCCGCCCCCCCAACCTCCACACCGTCTTACTGCCTAACTCCTCGGAACCCTCGGAGGTTGCGCATAAACAATTTTTTCTTCCAGAACGGCCCCCCTCTCCGCCCTGGGGGAGCCGGGAGGATGTGCAGCCCCAGTCCTCCTGCTCGGCGGAGCCTCGCGCGCGCAGAGCCTAGCGCGATTCGCGCCCTCATTACTACTACAAAGCGCGGGCCAGACCAATCCCCTTTCTAATGCACCATTTTCGACTGAGAACATCAAGAGGCCAGAAACTTCCAAGTCAGCTTGCAGACGCAGACGCCTCCTGGGGTCCTGGCTTTAAGAACCAGATGCCAACACTCCCGGACAGTTTATGGCATCCGGATCCCTCAAGGGTGCTCATCTGCAGTTGAGAGTGTTAGTAGCAATTATTTATCTGTCCTGGAGAGGAGTTCCTGAACATAAATGTCCTCTGCTGGCCCTAAAGCTGGGGGCGGAGGCTGTGTGTTGTGGGGTGGGGGTTGGGGGGCCGAATGTTCCCGGTCCTGTTATCTGGTTTAGCAGCATTTGTTGTGGTTTTCGAGGAAACGGCATTTGGATTACATAAGGATTCAAGTTTTTGCTGTACTTGTTTATTTAATACCTTGGCAAGAGGGAGCCCTTACCCTGAAACCAGATAACCGATTTTGGGTTTAAAACAGCCTTAGATGAAGGGCCACTCGAGGGGAAGAAAATGAGCAAAGCCACAAAAAGCAAACAAGGGAATGTTTATTTTTCTCTTTTTGGATATTTTTGAAGACCTGCCTAACCTCTTACACTTCTTGTCGCATACAGCTAATAAATGGCATTAACAAAGCGTTTCAGCGACTACCACGGCTTCACAGTGGCTCCTCCCCTGCCCTGCCACCATTCAGGCTGTAATTCCTTCCAGGATTCCCGCACCATCCTGTGTGCCCAGAGCTCTCTAGAGCACCAGGTAGAACTCCGTGCTAAATCCAATTGCTTGCAATCTTCTGATCCCCTTTTAGGGAGATCACTTTTCAGCTTGGTTCAAAGAAAGCAAAGTTTGGGAAGTTTGGCGGAGGGGCCGACTTAACTACGGGCACTGCAAATATTTTGTTACAAATGCTGTGAAGTGCCCCGATTTGTGGCTGCGTTAGCTTTCACAAAGGATTTTCCTGTGTCTTTTGTTCCGATCACCAAATTAAAAGAGAAAATTAACTTGAGTGAGAGATAAGGTCTTGGAAAACAATCTTGGGCCGCCCGCGAGCTGGCGGGAGCGGGGCTGGCGTCGCCTTGTCTGCGCCGCCCCGAGGCGCGAGTCTTGGGGTCCGGCCACCGCAGGGAGCCTAGGTCATGCAGGGACCCCCCCCTCCATCCGCTGTGCACCCTCGCGCCACAGCGCAGCACCCAGGCCACCCCCCCTCTGCCCACCAGCGTCCGTGGGAATCCGCCCCAGCCAGCGACAAGGACGGACTTGTCCGGAATCAAACTGCATCTTAATATTATAATGCGGCACCAAAAGCAAAACCCGAGGCCCCGGCTTGCAGTCCCTAACAAGAAACACATTGTGTGCACTTTTTCTTTTTTGGCTCAAGCCACGTTCGCGCGCCGGCCCCTCCGCAGCGAGCCAAGTCCATGACTTCAGTGAGGAGGAACCCGCCTGCCTCGCACCACGTGCGCTCCCAGCTGGGGCAGCCGCCCTGTGAGCCCTGTCCCGGTCCCTGGGACGGGCTAGGGCCTGGCCGGGACGCGCTTGTCCTGGGCACAGGACAAGGGCTTTGGGGCACAGCCCTTTCTCGGCCGGGGAGGCAGGCGAACCGATCGCCCGGGCACTGGTGTTACCCAGGCGGCGCCAGCGCGAGTTGGCTGGTGGACAGGTTTTTCAATAGTTTGAACTCCTTCTTCCCCTTGCCGCATCTTTAAGGCGTTTACTCCCAGATTCAGCCCTCTCCTCATAATAATGACAGTTTGCAGACTTTTCCTTTCCAGTTAGAGTGCGTGCGCGGGTCCTGCAAGATCCCAGCCGCGCGTCACCGCGAACCATTCTGCGGGAGGGGCAGGACCTAAGGCTGCATCTCCAGGAGGGAACGTGGAGACACCGCGGGCGGAGGGGACCTGGAGGAGTTCCTGGAGGAGCAGTCCTAGGCACGGGGCGAAGGATTTGCGCTCTAGCTGGTGGAGCGCACATCGCCCTGGTTAGCTCTGCGGTGGGTCCTGGGCTCATCCCGGCCTCTTCCTGCCTCCGCTGACATCAGGGCCTCTCCTGTTTAGTCCTAGGCCTGCCCTTCATCAGGACTCCGCAGAAAAGGATGGGTAAATTAAGGCATACATTTAATTTTAACCATCATGCCTGACTTTCTAGGATTCTGTGTGAAGAATACAGAGACAGACGTTCCATTTCAAAGAAAAAAGAGCAACACGAAGGCCCTCTTTAAGGAGAGAGTAAACATTCACTTTAGGTAAAAAATAGTCTTTTACACGCCTGTGCACGGCACACCTCTTTTGCTGTTCACCTTGAGCCCAAGAGTTTGGAAAGGCTGCCCCCATTTCAGAGAGGAAGAAACGCAGGCACACGTGAATGACAGACTCCTCTGTGGTGGCCTAGACTCCAGCCAACACTTCCTAGGACAGCCTGCCATTGTGCAAAGGTGTGTAACCTTGACTCCAGGTGGAGCATTGATTACTCTTTTAACCTTGAAATGTATTCCACTCCTGGACAGCTGGATTGCCAAGAGCCAGGAATCTGTGAAAACAGTTTGTTCTCATTTTTCTTCCAAGTTAACACCGAATGACTGAGCTTGACCCTTTGTTAACTAAAGGTCAACTAACATCTTAGGACTTTTCAAACCTTAGTCTATGTAAGAAACCCACGTTTACACCCAGAGTTCTGTGGCCACCTGTATAAATTCTGATTGAGTAGGTTTGGTGAGCAGCCCAGGATATAGCATTTTAAGCAAGCATGGCGAGGAGATGCTGATGCCGGTGGTGCGGCGACCACAATTTGAGAAGCTTCAGATAAATAATTGGCCTCTTAAATGAGCCCTGGATAAATAATCGGCCTCTTAAATGAACCCTGCAGTAGGCAGACTGCTGGGTGAGAATGAGCCTACTTGGACCCTTTAAGGCAGCGGTCCCCAACCGTTTTGGCACCAGGAACCGGCTTCATGGAAGTCCATTTTTCCAATGGGGGGTTGGGAGAGGGTTGAGGGAGTGGGGCTGGGGGATGGGTGGTGGGTACTAGGGGTATAGTTTTGGGATGAAACTGTTCCACTTCAGATCATCAGGCATTAGATTCTCCTAAGGAGCCCACAGACTAGAACCCTGGCATGTGCAGTTCACCGTAGGGTTTGCGCTCCCATGAGAACTAACGCTGTGGCTGATCTGACAGGAGGCGGAGCTCAGGGAGTAATGCTCATTCACTGCTCACCTCCTGCTCTGCCTGGGATTCCTAACAGGTCACAGACCGGTACCAGCCCACTGCCTGGGGTTTTGGGGACGCCTGCTTTAAGAAACTAACTGTACACTCGTTTCTAGAAATTCAAGAGAAGGAAAATCTGTTATACTTACCCGCATTTTCTCTTTTTCCTTTGTTCTTTTTTCCTTCCTGATATTCCATTAGTCTCCGTTTGAGTAATTCCTGCTGTTTCAAGAGCATTTTTTGGACAGTCTTTTAGGGTAGGTGTGTTGGTGACATGTTCCCTTAGTTTTCCCGCATCTGAAGTCTTGTTCTTGCCTTCAGTTCTGCAGGATATTTTTGCTGGATATAGAATTTGGGGTTGACAGTGTTTTTTCGTTTTAGCACCTGACATTCTGTGGTGCTTTCTTCCTTCTATCAGGGTTTCTCATGACAAAATCTGATTTCTCATATGAAATCTGCTGTTATTTGAATTGCTTTTTCCCCAATGTAAGTAAGGTGTGGTTTCTCTCTCCTTGATTTGTCTTTTCATTTTTGGAAGTTTGCCTATGATCTCTCTAGGCATGGATTTCTTTAGGTTTATTCTGTTTGAGGTTCTCTAGACAGCTTCTTTTGCCAAACTTGGGAAATTTTCAACCATTATTTCTTCACATGCTTTTTCAGCCCTGCCCTTTTTCTCTTCTCTTTTCAGAACTCCAATGACACTAATGTTAGATCTTTTATTATAATCCCAGAGGTCCCTGAGACTATGTTAATATATTTTTAAAAAATCTGTTTTCTCTCTGTTGTTCAGTTGGGCAATTTCTGTTGTTCTGTCTTCAGGTTCACAGATGGTTTCCTCTGCCCTCTCCACTGTGCTTTTGAGTCCATTCAATGAGTTTTTACTTTGGTTACTGTATTTTTCAGTTTTAAGATTTCCCTTTCATTCTTCTTTACATCTTCTGCTTCTTTACTGAGTTTTCTATTTTTTCATCTTTTTTTTGCCTGTTCATAATTGCTCATTAGAAGATTTTTCTGATGGCCCCTGCAGAGTCCTTGTCAGATTATTCCAACATCTGTGTCACCTCAGTGTTGGCAACTGTTGATTGTCTTTTCTCGTTCAAGTTGAGCTTTTCCTGGTTCTTGGAATGATGAATGATTTTTTTTTTCTTTTTTCTTGAAACCTGGGCGTTTTGGGGGTAATGTTATGATGTGGAGCTTATTTAAATCTTCTATTATAGTGGCCTCTGCTGCACCACCCTGGCTTGGGAGGAGGTGCTCCTCACGTGGCCTCCAATGACATTGTGGGGTGGAGGCATCTTACCATTGGAAGGTGATGAATGTCGCAGTTCTTACTCAACCTTGACAACCTCAGTGGGGAGAGAGCAGTGCCTGATTATCCCCTGGGTGGTGGATGGGGTGGGTGGGTGTTCAGGCTCCCAGGTAGCCTCTGCTGATGCTTATTGCTGACCTGCAGGGATGACTGTCTGCTCCCCACTGCACCTTCTCTGACACCATCCTGTTGTTCAGGGTGGCGTCTTCTGACAGCAGACTGAGGGGGGCCATCTAGCTCTTCACTCCCCTTTGCTGATGGGGTTAGAGTTGGGGCCACAGTCTTTTCTGTGGCGTTTGGTTGAAGTGGGACGGTTATAGTCTAAAAGGTTTTGGTTTCTTGGCTTCTCTCTTACAGTCACCATGTAACAAATGCAGACATCTCTGAGATCACCATGCAGTGAGGAAGTCTAAGCTGGTGGCATGAAGAGGCCACATGGAAAGGGCTAAAAAAGGGGCCAGCCTCAGTCATCCCAGCTGAGCACCTGGCTGGGAATAAAAGAGGACTCCGTGGATGTCCAGCCCAGTAAGATGACCTCAGCCCCAGCCACCAACTGACCAAGCACACAAGACATCGTGAGGCTGCCTGCTGGAGCCTGGCCAGTGGGACTGTAGAGTAACTCATTGTCGTAAGTCAATACTTTTGTGGGTGATTTGTTTCATAAAGTGGCCTCCAAAAGAGAAATTGGGGGTACAGAGTTTCTAGGTATAATCTTGTGCATTCATTATAGTTGTAATCATTGATAATTTATTTGTGTATTTTTCCTGAAAGTTTTATAACAACATGATTTATAGTGCATAAAATAAACATATCCCTACACCCAACAAACCTACCTGTTTTTTTTGTTTTTTTTTTTTTTGAGACAGGGTCTCACTCTGTTGCCCAGGCTGGAGTACAGTGGCATGATCATGGTTCACTGCAGCCTCAACCTTTTGGGCTCAAGCAATCCTCCTACTTCAGCCTCCCAAGTAGCTGGGGCTATGGGCATGTGTCACAGCACCCAGCTATTTATTTCTTTTTGAGACAGGGTTTCACTCCTGTCACCCAGGCTGGAGTGCAGTGGTGCGATAGCTCACTGCAACCTCTACCTCCTGGGCTCAAGCAATTCTGCTGCCTTAGTCCCCCGAGTAGCTGGGACTATAGGCACATGCCACTGCACCTGGCTAATTTTTGTATTTTTTTAGAGGCGAGGTTTCGTCATGGTGCCTTGGCTGTTCTTAAACTCCTGAGCTCAAGTGGTCCTCCTGCCTTGGTCTCCCAAAGTGTTGGGATTACAGATGTGAGCCACTGCATCTGGCTAATTTTTATATTTTTTTGTAGAGATGGATTTTCACCATATTACCCAGCTGGTCTCGAACTTCTGGGCTCAAGTCATCTGCCTGTCTCAGCCTCCCAAAGTGCTGGGATTACAGGCATCACTGCACCCCGCCTAAAAGTGCCTTAATTTTAAAAGAAATACAGGTTTTATTTGATATGTGTCTAGTATATTCTTAGGACTTTCTTTTAACCAATAAGAACCCCTACCAACTATCCCCCAAGATATAGAATTTATAACCCTATGTGATGACTGTATGTTTTGAACCAAAACCAAGTATGATGAATGGTACCAGCTCAGGGGCCCTGGAGACACGAGGAAGCCTCACTGGTGAGAGGTGACTGCCTGTGGGCCGCACAGTTTCCTGGAAAGGCAGTGAGAGCATCTGGTACCTCCAGACACTGCAGAAACAGTGTCACAGAAACATCTCAGAGGCGTCACTTCTCTTTATCAAGATTTTAAAGTGATTTCAACATTAAAAAAAAACAACAACAATGTAAAGAATTTGAGTGTGGAGTGATGATCATGCTTCCAGGTTAGGATCAGGCTTTTTCTCCCATTGTCTTGTTGATTTAAGGTGCAGGAACTCCTGGGATGGTGTTGCCCAGTGACACAATCCCAGTGTGGCCATTTCTGATCCCGAGAAAGCAGTCAGGAGTGGGTGGATGCAGTTACAGTTCATCAAGTCCTGCTAGTTCAAGTCATGAGTCCTGAATTCTCCAGGAGGAGCCACTAAAGAAATGCAGAAGCAGGCAATCCTTGCAATAAGGTGGGATGAGGTTCTTTGGTTGCTGCCGTTACGGGGGTGGGGTGCATGTTGGGGCCTGGGGGGTGAGGCTGAGGGCTCCCCCAGTCTGTCCCTCCCTGAGCCTGAGCTCTTGGTTCCCACCCAGTCCTTTGTTTCTTTCGTCTCTGGGAGCACCTGCACCCCTGGTTTGCAGCGTGTCCTAGGGTGAGTCACCATGAGCCCCAGGTTCCCATGTGTAAAGGATGGGCAGCGCTCCCTCACCTGCTTCTGCACTAAGCCCTTACAGAGCCCTCAGACGGAGACTGCTGCTTTCATATCTTGCAGGCCAGCAAACTGCCAGTGTGAAGGATGCCCAGGTAACCTGCCCATGCCAGAACGGCCAGGAGATGGTGGAACCAGAATCTAAGCCCACGCCCATCTGACCTCAAAGTCTGTGCTCCTGAGGTTCGCACCGAGTTGCCTCCTAAGACTTGCTGAAACTGGATCACGTCCATTTACCCATCTCTGAGAGAAATGCAAGCTTTAAAAAAGGAAATATTTACTATGGATATTTTACAATAGTTCCAAAACATGAAAGTTTTAAATAAGATATTCTTAACCATCCTCACCACATCTTCAGGTTCCCTTACAGCCACTGTGTTTTGACGATTGCCCATTAGAAAAAAAGACTATGCTTTCTGTAGGTTTTAAAGGAATGGTGGTGAAATAAGGAGCATTCCCTGAGCAGATCTTGCCTGCGGGCACACCTCTGAGCATTGGACCAGGCGAGAAGAGCCCATGTGTTGGCTGCTTTGGGATCCCAGCACTGCCAATGGCAGGTGGGCTGTGGCCCAGGGAGAGAACCTAGCCTTTTGCATTCTCTTGCCCCATTTGAAAATGGAGACGATAGTGGCGCCCCGCTCAGTGTTATTTTGAGGATTTGAATGTATCTCAGATGTAGTACCTGGAAAAATATAAGTGCTCAGTAAATACGGTTGCCAGATAAAATGCAGGAAACCTATTTAAATTTAAGTTTTGGCTGGACAATGAATAGAATAATTTTTCTTAGTATGAGTATGTCCTTATATTTCATCTGCTAAATTTAGCAACCTCCTCAGTAAACGATCACTACAATTGCAGAAACGCCTTATGACAGATATAGTAAATCTGTAAAGAAATAGGAACTTGCATTTATTTTTACTAAGCTCTGACTGGTTAAGATAACTGGGCAAGAGAAGATATCTTCGACTAAACTTGCAGCACATAGAGTATAGAGATTCAAATTTGAAGTCCTATAGGACTAGAATGGCCAGAGGTGAACTGTAGCGAGCTTATCTAAAGAGGACCAATTTCAAAAGTTCCTCAGAGACTTAAATGGGCCCACAGACCCCTCCTGTGTCTTTGCATAAGCCAGCTCGTTATATCAGTTATAAGTTGATTTCCAGAGAAATGTACCCTGGAGATCCCTCTCCCACTTGAAATAGGACTGGCCAATCCAGATGTCCCCCAGGTGATGTTGGCTCAAATGGAGCTCCATATATTGGAGAATCTATTCAAGAAAACAAGCAAAAGTATTTGTGACTGAGTTAGCTAATGCCAGCTGGTATCTTGAACAAACCCAGATCTCTAACATGCTAGTTTATTTCGTAGTGTAAAATGTGTGTTACTGATGGGCAGACAGCTCTCATTCAAGCAGTGACAGATGTAAGCTCTTCCCATTTTTGTGGCCCCATTGTATTCGGCGTGTGGCTTCCAAGTTGCCTGGGATCATCTCCACCCAGACTAAGGAAGAGGAAAGAGCTTGGACAACTGCACTTGGCTGGTTTTTATGGATCAGGCAAGGAATTGGCTCCAACACATTAGCTCACATTCCATTGGTTAGAACTGGGTTTCTCAACTATTAGTACAGGGTGAGTGTAGGGTTTTGGCACCATGGGCATTTGAGCTGGCCAAAGGCTAATCAGAGTTAGAACAAAGCCACAAAGCCTGTGAATGGTGTTTATTGTTGTGAGGAGCTGTCTTGTGCATTGTGGAATGTTCAGCAGGATGCTCTCTGGCCTCAGAGACTCACTAGATTCCCATAGAACTCTCCTCTCTCCTCTAGTTGTGACAACCACAGTTGCCTCCTCTCCAGACATTGCTAGATGTCCCCGGGAGGCAAAATTGTCCTGGTTGAGAACCACTGTGTTAGAACTCGGTCACATGGCCATACCTAACTGCAAGGGAGGGGGCTGGAAGATCTAGACGAGTAGTATGCCAGGAAGAAAATAGAACTGATTTAGAGGCTGCTGGCCAGTCACTTTCAGTGACCTTCAGCATACTTATTCCTCTGCAGCTGTCAGGACACTCATGCCTGTTTCTGAGATGTTTCCTGTGTGAGGGGACATAGTGACTATTGGAGGGGTGACATGTTGGACTTGGGTAGGGTGAAGAGGATTGGAAACCACCATCATGTTTGGCAGCATTGAATGTTTATGACTATTTGAATAGTTGTGACAAGGGTACAGTGAAGGAGGAAGTAACCATTTTTGAATACCCTTTTACAATTTGCAAAGCACTTTTAAAGGTAAGAGTGAGTTCCTAGACCATATTAGGGTGAGAATGGACATTGTTGGCTGCCATATCATTGGGCAGGGGCTTTGAGATTTTTGTCTTCAGAAGGCAGATTAGATTTGGAGTAGAAGGAGAAATGTAAAGACCTGGTATCTGAGTGTGTTTGCAGAGGGGAATTGTCGTTTGGAAGCACAAGAAAGGGAATGGCCCGTTGGCACATATGGTACATTGTGTTTTCATATAATTATACCTGAATGAAAGCAAGAGGAAACGTGTAGGAAGCTGTTTACATAGTCCTTTTAATAATGTTTACATGAGTTAATGAACATGCAAACGTATCTGATGAAAACATGTCAGTAGTGAAACAGCCTTGTGAAGAATCAGATCTTACCTCAGGCTGGAAAAAAGGACTGGTTTTCCAAGCTCACAAATTGCAGCCAGTGTGAATAGTAGCACAAATGACTGAGCTTTAAGACATCCATCCATCCATCTATCCATCCCCTCATCCATCCATCCCCTCATCCATCCACCCATCCATCCATCCCTTCATCCATCACTCCATCCAGCCATCCGTCCCTTCATCAATCCATCCATCCCTTCATCCATCCATCCATCCTTCCTTCCATTCATCCCTTCATCCATCCGTCCATCCATCCATCCATCCACTCATTCATCCCTTCATCCATCCATCCATCCATCCTTCCTTCCTTCCATTCATCCCTTCATCCATCCGTCCATCCATCCATCCACCCATTCATCCATCCATTCCTTCATCAACTCATCCCTTCATCCATCGTCTACCATTCATTCACCCCTTCATCCATCCATTCATTTATCCATCCGTCCATTTACTTCCATCCATCCCTTTATCCATCCATTCACCCATTCATCCCTTTATCCATATGTCCATTCCTCCATCCATCCATCCATCCATTTACTCTTCATCCCTTCATCCATTTTTCCATCCATTCATCCATTCATCTTTTCATCCATCCATCCATTGATCTATCCATCCATCCATTGCTCCATCCAACCATCCATCCATCCCTTCGTCCCTTCATCCATCCATCCATTCATCCCATCATCCATTGATCACTTCATCCATCCATCCTTCCATCCTTCCATCCATTCTTCCATTCATCCATCCATGTGTTCAGCAAGTATTTACTGAATGCCTATTATGTGCCAAGCACTCTCCTCAGAACTTAGGAAATACCAGGAAACAAAATCAACAACAATCCCTCACCACCTGGATATTACATTTTGGTGGGAAGAGACAAAGAAATAAAATTGGTGAGTGAATCACATAGGTTATTAGAAGGTGATAAAGGTGTAGGTGATAAAGGAGAAGTGCCAGGAGCAAGGATTGGGTACAGTTGTGAATAAGGTGGCCCCAATAGGTTGCACTGAGAAGGTGACATTTGCACAGAGACTTGAAGAAAGGAAGGAGAGAACATGACTGTACCTGGGTAACAGCATTTGTGGAAGAGGGAACAGCCAGTGTAAAAGTTCCAAGGCATGAGTGCCTGGTACATACATGGAACATCGAGGCCAGGGTGGCAGAAACGCGGTGAGTCCAGGAAGGGAATAGGAACTAAGTGTAGGAAGGTGTACAGTGGGGTGGTGTGGGGGTGGAATTGTGGCAGCCAGATGGTGTTGGCCTAAGGCCTCTTGGCCCTTGTTAGGACTTGGTTTACCATGGCGCAACACATCCATGAGATTGGCAAAAATTAAAAAGTCTGACAACAGAAAATCTGGTAATCTGGTGAGGATGTGGAGCAGTGGGAATTCTCCAATACTGCCAGGGAGCATGGGCATCAATCCCACCACACTGGAATGCAAAGGGGCATTCTGAGTAGAACTGAAGATGTGCCCATCCTTGACCCCACAGTTCCAGCCATGGGCATGCGCATGAATGTGCACACGTGTTGACTGCGGCATTTGTTTGTCATTATGAAAACATCTAAGTTTCCATCTATGGGAGAGGGGATAATGTGGGAGTGCCCAACAGTGGAGTTCTAGAGAGCAGTAAAAATAAATGGACTAGAGCTGCACACGTCAAAATGGATGAAGATAAAAGACATAAGGATGGAAGAAGACCACCTGGCCACAGAAGTATATGTCCAATATGATGCTGGTGTATCCAGAGTGTTCAAACAAACAACACAACACTACTCATTGTTTCCAACGTGAGTATGAAAGTATGGAGCAGTGCGGAGGGCCAGGAGTGCTGAATCCACATGGTTACTTCTCCAGGCGGGGGCCGAGGACCAGGGCTGGAGGTTTACTCCAGGAGCTTCAGTGGTGCATGCTGAATGTGCTGTTTCTTGGGCTGGGGGACAGAGATGTGCATGCTGTTATACACTCTATATTGAAATGATTGTATAACAATATACTAATTTATCATGTAATAAATTTGACCAGAAAGAAACAACTGTTCTGTGGCTGCTTCCATGACTGGATTTCACGTTGTAGGTTTCTAAGCAGAGAGTCCAAGGAAAACCAAAGGAGCGGCGGAAGGATAAGCCTCCCGGGTGTTCTGGGAGTGTCCCTTTGCTTGGGCTCCTCCGTTAGAGTTGAGAAAACCTGGGACTTGTGACTACTGGAGTCAACCTGGGATCCTGGCACCAAATGCCAGCAGAAACAATCCTGCCCCCCTCGGAAGATGAGATGAGGTTCTTTATGGAACATGAGTGCAGTTCGAGAGCTTCAGGTAGAAAGCCCAGTCGTCCTTACCCTGCGTGGCCCATCCAGGATCACGAATGGGGTCAGCCTCAGGGAGCTATGAGCCTGGTGTCTGAGACACAGCTTGGGCCTTTGTACTGCTGGAAGCACAGGGAACCCTGAGGGTTGATCAACTCCCCAGCAAAGACAAACTGGCATGCTCGTCAGTGTGAGAACAAAGCTACAAGACCTAGGAGTGGCATTTTGCAGATCTGCTGTTTTTCAAAAAAACTTGTGCTTGAATGTGTATAACATAAAATTTACCATTTAAGCCTTGTGTGTGTGTGTGTGTGTGTGTGTGTGTGTTTGAGATGGTGTCTCGCTCTGTGGCCTGGCTGCAGTGCAGTAGCTCACTGCAACCTCCACCTCCCAGGTTCGAGCGATTCTCCTGCCTCAGCCTCCCGAGTAGCTGGGATTACAGGCACCAGCCACTACACCCAGCTAATTTTTTATATTTTTGGTAGAGATGGGGTTTCGCCATGTTGGCTAGGCTGGTCTCGAACTCCTGACCTCGTGATCCACCCAAAGTGCTGGGATTATAGGCATGAACCACCACGCCTGGCCCATTTAAGCCATTTTTAAATGGACAATCAGTGGCATTAAGTGCATTCACGTTGTGCCACCATCACCATCATCCACCTCTGGAACTTTTTCATCTTCCCCAATGGAAACTCTGCCCATGAAACAGCCACTCCCCATTCCCCTCCCCGCAGCCCCTGGCAACCACCCTTCTACTTCCTGTCTCCACGAACGTGACTACTCTAGGTACCACATATAAGCAGAATCATACAGGATTTGTCCTTTTGTATCAGATCTGGGGTTCGTATGCTGAAGGAAACTGCCTGCAAACTCTTCTGTGTGAGTGGAGAAAGGACCTGTGTTTTGAGTGTCAAAGGAGTTTCTGCCCCAAGAGGACTTAGAGTTACCAGGGTGAATCCTTGACTTTTTGGAGGAACGTGTCAGAAGATGTGCTCACTCACATCCCTGAATTCATGGATATTGCCAATGTGAGAATGGCAAACCCGGGGCCCGAGGGTGGCCGCTCTTCACGCAGGCCTGGTGGGGCCTTACTGCTGCTCAGAATCCTTTTTTTTTTTTTTTTTGAGATGGAGTCTCGCTCTGTTGCCCAGGCTGGAGTGCAGTGGTGTGGTCTCGGCTCACCGCAAGCTTGGCCTCCCGGGTTCACACCATTCTCCTGCCTCAGCCTCCCCCACCCGAGTAGCTGGGACTACAGGCACCTGCCACCATGACCGGCTAATTTTTTGTAATTTTTAGTAGAGATGGGGTTTCACCATGTTACCCAGGATGGTCTCAATCTCCTGACCTCATGATCCACCCGGCTCGGCCTCCCAAAGTGCTGGGATTACAGGCGTGAGCCCCCGCGCCCGGCCCACAATCCTTCTTAACACAGTGTGCGGGCAGCCACAGTCACCTGATAGGCCCTGTGGAGGAAACATTTGCCATCTGTGGTCTGTGGCATGTCAGTTACTTTGAAAACTGGAGGTAACACAGTCTGAAGCATTTACATGACTTCTTTGTGCCCTTAAGGTAAGTCAGCGGATGTGTGACAAGTGCTTGGAACCTCCCCGGCTGGGGGCTCCCTTGCCTAAAGACCAGCTCCTCCCCACGTCATGCCTGTCTTCCAGGGCCCGTGACTCCAGCTCTCATTCCATGAAGACGACACACTCCATTTCTCCTGGATGTTTTTTTGTTGTTGTTGTTTATTTGCTTGTTTTGAGACAGGGTCTTGCTGTGTCACCAAGGCTGGAGTGCAGTGGTGCAATCATAGCTCACTGCAGCCTCAGCTTCCTGGGCTCAAGTGATCCTCCTGCCTCGACCTCCCAAAGTGCTGGAATTACTCTAGCCTCTCCTGGGTCTTTGAAGTCTGTGCCTGCACATGGCTGATGCTCAGCTAACCTGAAGTTTTCTCGGCAGTGTGAGTAGTTTTTCACTCTCCCCTCGAGCGGTGATGCTAAGTCCCCTTCATGGAGTTTGCTGTTCATTTCTCTGCTCACAGGGATTAGAACTTGATAGCAAAGAGCAGGAGGGCATCAGGCACTGGCTGGGCTGGCAAGAGGTGTGCCTTTAGCCCTGAGCACGCCCTGAGGAAGCAGCTGTGCTTCAGGCTCCGTGTGACGTGAGGAAGAAGCTGAGAGGCAGAGGCGAGCAACACGTCTGAGGCCGCAGAGCCGCCAAGAGACCAAGGAGCAAAGCCACGGCACCCGTCCCGCTCCCTTTTTTCAGTCAAGTATGAGGGAAATAGTGAGGAAAGTTATTCTTATGTGGAGCGGGACAACAAAAACCCATAAACAACCTTCTCATGTTGGCTCAGAATTGATGGTCATCTGGCTGGTAATGGGATTTTACTCTTGTGTTCTTGAAAGCTCTGCCAGGAAAACCTCACTAGAAAGGCCTGGAAGCTTCTGGAAAATATGGATTTGTAGACCCGCCCCCACCCCTGCCTATCCTATCAGAATCTGTGGTAGAGTAGGGAGTAGGCCAAGGAATTTAAAATTTTCACAAGATTCCTGGGCACTCCTCTAATCATGCCTGGAGAAACACTCTGCAGACCCTCAGCTTTTTAACGGAGGTAGTGATATTGTTTGGCTGTGTCCTCACCCAAATCTCATCTTGAATTGTAATCCCCATCATCCCCATTATCCCCACGTGTCAAGGGAGAGACCAGGTGGAGGTAATTGAATCATGGGGGCGGATTCCCCCATGCTGTTCTCCTGAGAGTGAGTGAGTTCTCACGAGGTCTGATGGTTTTATAAGTGTTTGGTAGTTTCTCCTGCGTTCATTCTTCCCCTGCTGCCCTGTGGAGAAGGTGCCTGGCTTTCCCTTCACCTTCCGCCATGATTGTAAGTTTCCTGAGGCCTCCCAGCCATGCTGAACTGTGAGTCAATGAAACCTCTTTCCTTTCTAAATTACCTGGTCTCGGGCAGTTCTTTATAGCAGTGTGAGAACAGCCTCATATAGCTGGAAGTGTGGCTTTGGAACCTGCATTTTAGACAAGATTCCTCAGCTGATTCTTAAGCACACACCACTTGTGAGCCACTGTCTTCAGGCGCTCATCAGGCACTCAGCAGCAGCGGTTTAGTTTTTCCTGACATTTTGTGTTTTTCAGTAGTCATGGCCATACGGTGATGAAAAGTGGCCATTTTATGATAGAATGGAGGTCCTAACTGTTGGGGACATTGCAGAAACTGCAGGAATTAACCTGTCACATGTTTCATTGAAAAACATGATGATTTATCATCAAAATGAATAAGTTCTTTCACTTTAGTATGTAAACCATATACTATTAGAATGAAGGACACATTTAAAAAATACTAAATTGAAGTGATCTTTGTGTTTTGATGGTGACTGAGTTCTGCTTTGCGTTTTTGTTACCATTTCCATCCTTGAGTTTCTTTGGTCCTGTTCATTGCCCTGGTTCCAACTCGGCTTTTTTCTCCTCTGTAGGCAAAGTTCTAGTGCATACAATCCCAACACAATCGTGGTGTTCTGTAAGAGCCTCTGTGCTCCAGCCGGTTGGGGCACCCATCTGGATCTGACTCCCAGCTCTGCCTTTTCCTCCTCCAGGAGGCAGGGAGGCACCGTGCCTGTCCCAGCCACCTCTAATGACCTCCCTCAGGACTTCTCTAGGTGAGTGACTCAGCTTGACTCAGCTACCAGACTTTTTCTGGGAGCCAGAATATTTTGCCACACAACCAACATATGGTAAACATTCACACTGCCTGAGTACAGTAATTGTAAATTAAACATGCCAGGGAAAAGAAAAAGGCCTAGATCTCCTCACTCTCAAAACGGAGAGATCGTCAGCTCAAGAATGAGAACAAGTTGACAAAGCCATCCCCCCCACCCCCACTCCGCTCTCTGGGGCTGCCGTGGGGATCTGTTGCTCAGAAGGTGGCCCTGAGAGAGCAGAGAAGACACAGGATGCCAGGGTATATGTGGAGAGGGGCGGAGGGGCGTGTCTCCTCAGTTTAAAGATAAAACAGATGTGGTCCCAGCTACTCTGGAGGATGAAGCAGGAGAATCGCTTGAACCAAGGAGGCAGAGGTTGAAGTGAGCCAAGACTGTGCCACTGCACTCCAGCCTGGGTGACAGAGTGAGACCCTGTCTCAAAAACAAATAAAAAGATAAAACAGAGTGCTAAGAAGGAAGCGGCTCTGTTTGAAGTACTTGCCACCGTGGCTGGATCAGCTTTATGTGTTTGCAGGGAGCAGTACAGTTATTCCCAATTTTTAAGTTTGGTGGAGTTTCCCCTTCTGTTTCTTTCTCAGCCGCGTGGAGTTATGGCAATTGAGAAAGGCCAGGGCAGATGCTGACATTTGGCAGCCTCCACAAATGGGATTTCAATGCTGTGAGTCCTGTGGTGGGGCCGTCCTGGCCCCGCTCTTTGGAACGTAGCTGCTGGGAGCACCTCTTCCCTCTGTGTTCCTAGGCTCATGGTGTTATGCCTCTGGGAAAGGGCAGCCTCTTAGAAGCAGCTGGTGTGGGCTGGCGTCCTTGTCTGAGATGGCTTCTTGGCATTTGGTGTTCATGTGACAACACACACTGTATTCCCCGCCTTTCAGAGTCTGGAGTTTTCTTCCCCTGAAGTACTTTTCTCTGCTTTGGAAGATGTTGCTTTTTAGGTCCTAAAGTGGAGTCTGAAGGTTGGAAGAGTTTGGGTTTTTGTTACTGTTTTGTTTGTAAATGTCTTGGCTCTGTGCTGATGGTTTTAAGGATCTGGGAGTGAGGAATGAGAGAGAGATGTGCGAGTGGAGATGTTTTGAGGGATGCTCTAACCTCAGGGTCAGGGTTGGCCATGAAGGCAGGTGGCTTAGGCACCCTTCCTGGGTCATGCTGTCCCCCGCCAGCCTGCTGTGGCTCGCAGGACAGCACCAGTGAGCCCTGGAATGCTCTTGTATAATAGGCTTCCTGGAAGAAGGGCCTCCCTCGTTTGCCATTTGCAACCCTGTTCCCCTATCGTGAGAGGGCATGGCCCAGAGCATTGAAGGATTGAAGGCAGGAGACGTACCTGGAAGGTGAATGGAAAATCCTCACATCCACCTATTCACTGATTCTTATTTTAAAATGAGAGATCAGTGTCTCCAGTGCACCCCAAGTCAGTGAGCATGGGGCATTGAGAAGGTCTAAGTATACCCTAGTATACTGGAAACTAGTTGGGCCAGGAAGCCCAAGGAGGAGTAAGAGAGGAAGAGGGTGGTGTGGACATGGAGGTATAAGACCCCCAGAGCTGCACGCAGGCTGTGGCCATCTACACATGGGTCTGCAGCACCACACAGTGACACCAAACATTTGATGCCGTAGGGAGCAAGAAAACGTCTATAATCAATTGCTTCTTTAAAAGTGTGGTACAGGCCGGGCGCAGGGGCTCAAGCCTGTAATCCCAGCACTTTGGGAGGCTGAGGTGGGTGGATCACGAGGTCAGGAGTTGGAGACCAGCCTGACCAACGTGGTGAAACCCCGTCTCTACTAAAAATACAAAAATTAACCAGGTGTGGTGGTGCGTGCCTGTAATCCCAGCTACTCGGGAGGCTGAGGCAGGAGAACTGCTTGAACTCGGGAGGCGGAGGTTGCAGTGAGCAGAAATTACACCACTGCACTCCAGCCTGGGCGATAGAGCAAGACTCCGTCTCAAAAAAAAAAAAGTGTGGTACCCACAGGGTCAGAGTTTTCTTTTGTTATTTGTTTTTTATTTTGTTGTTTGTTTTTTAACCGACAGTACCTTTTTCGAGTTTGTTTCAGGAAAAAAAAAAAATGTGAGTTCTGAATTTTCTTCCCTACTTGCCCTCCTCCTTCTATCCCAGATACCTGGGGCTGTCCCCTCTTCCCTGTGGACAGTCACTCTGGCCCTGGCCTGAGACTGGATGTCAGCCCTGCCTCTGTGAGCCCTGCCAGCCCCGTCTGCTGACAGCAGCTGCACGCTGATGTCCAGACTCCACGACCGGCCTGAAGCCTGTCAGGGTCCAGCCAGCCCACTGTCCAGCCTCAGCTTCCATCTCTTGCTCCTCTCCCATGATGCTCCAGCCATCTGTGTGGAGCCACACACACCTGCTGTTCCCAGGACAGCCCTGGGTGGATGTTTACTCCTGCCCGCTCCTCTCCTGGGAACACCATTACCCTCCCCTTCGCTGCTTGGCTGACCCTTCTCTGTCCTTGAAGCCTCAGATATCACTTCCTTTGAAACCGTCCCTGCTCCCCTGGGCTGGATGCCCCTGCCTGTTCTTCTTCCCTGGAGCCTGGCCTGTACTGGGCTGGACTGGCTGCTTTCTGTGATCTCCTTCAACAGCGCCACTGTGATGGCCCAGAGCAGGGGGCTTTTATCCCAGACGTGGCAGGTGGAGCAGTGTCCAGGAGCCAGAACCACCTGTCTCCCGGATGCTTGAGGGCGGCAATTTTTGAGTGCGGTCCAGGACGTCCAGACCACTGGGGAACCCGTCAGCAATGTGGACGCTCCAGCCCCAGCCTGAGCGGTGGGATTCAAGCCTCTGGGGACAGCCCATGGTCTGCTCTGACCAGCTCTCCAGGGACTGTGCTCCTGCCCAAGCGGGTGAGCCCTGGCAGCTCTGCAGATGGGCAGGTGGACGACAATCCAGTCCAACCCCTCAGGCAGCCTTTCCTGGGCATTCAGACTTCAACGAGGGTGACATCATGTCCTGAAGGCACACTCAGAGAACAGAGAGTTTGTCACCCATAGCTTAAAACCAATATCAACCAACCACAGGGATGAGGCTGGGGCTGGCCTGCAGAAGAAGAGGGAACTGTGTGTTAGTCGGGGCCTCCAGCTAAGGGTGGCTGAGCCTGCCTGGGCTCAGAGGCCTGGAGCCACACATGACTGGGTTGGGAGATGATGCCAGAGGCCTGCTCAGCAGCCAGGGTGCAGGTGAAAGTCCAGGGCCCGAGGGGTGGACGTTGTCCAGAATTCTGGGGGTGGTACTTGCTGTTTTATCAGACCAGGAGATGGAGCTTGTCATGTTCCAGACTTAAATGTTATTGCCAAAAAGAAGCCCTAAACAGGCCACGGTGTCCTGTTTTTTTAAAATTACGGTTGAGAAATAGAGGTCCGGAGTGATGACAGGACGGGCCAAGGCCACAGGCTGCTGACGAGGGTGGTGCTCTGCCCTGCCCCTGCCCCTGGGGCAGCCCTGGTCTCCAGGAGCAGTGCCCTCAGAGCCTTGCTCAACCCTGGGGGCAGGCGGGGTCCCCAAGGTTGGCCTGTTCCTTCCTCTTCTTCAAGGCTGACAGGGGGCTGTCAGGAAGTGGGGAAGGGGTTTGGAGAACGCCTCCAACTCCAATTGTTGGAGGCTTTCTTTGAATTTGGGGTGTGTGGTTCCTTTTCTTCAATTTTTGTACAGTTCCTGAAGGGGAAATGTGCACCCCATGTCCACTCACTGAGGCCTGTGCCACACTGAGAGAGATAGAACTGGATGAGGTCCCCAGCCTGGCACCTCTCAGGGAACCTGGGGGCAAGGTCCCACAGGTAGACGGTCCCATGCCCAGTACACGCATCTGATGTGTTAAGATATTCCCCCTGACGTGTTCCAACCAGGCGTAAATAACACGCGACGTCGTCCTGACAGCAGATAGAGCTGACCGTGCCCTGTTGTCTCAACACTTATCTGTGGACACCATTTAAATATCTTTTTGGAGATGTTGCTGTGTTGTCCAGGGTGGAGTGCAGTCATGATCACGGCTCACTGCAGCCTCGAATTGCTGGCCTCAAGTGATCCTCTCACCTTAGCCTCCCAAAGTGCTGGGATTACAAGATATGAGCCACGCCTGATGCCTGGCCACTGTGGGGCACAATTTATAGAGTGACTTGTGGCCCTGCAGTTATGGGTAAGTAGAATTGGACCTAAGAGACACTTTGGCACCGGAGCAGCTGTCAGCTCTGCCGTCAGGGCCACAGTTGAGCGTTCGGGATCTTTTGGTATCCTCATAGCCAGTCTATTCCACACAAATGAGGCCAGAGGAACACCCTTCTCGTGAGTGGGGCTCCTGCCACTGTTCTGGGCCGAACCACAGGGCAGCCCTGCAGTTGTCAGAAGAGGGCAGGATTCTCACCCAGGCGGCCAAGGCTTCCTCTGAGGCTGCATCGGGCATCCCCTCCCAGGTCCCATCTGTTCTCTGCCAGCCCCGATATACTCCGGGCCCCTGCTGCCTCTTCCCACTTGCAGCCCCTGGGATTTCCTTGGTTTCTTCACTCCCCTCTTCCCAAGGTCTTCTTGCTGCCCTCAGACAGGTGTGGCCCATCACCCTGTTGCTGCTACATTTTGTTCAATGTCAGAGCATCCTAGGGCGCCACCTCCTCCTGCCTCCACTGTAGCGATGCCTTTGAATCAGATGTCTTTCTTACCTCTCGTCCCCACGGTGAGCACACAGAGTAGCTGATTCCTGAATAGCTGTGAATTGCTTGAATTTCCTCTTTCTCCAAGGAAGGAGGCCCTTTCCTTTCCCTGGCGCCACCTCGCAGGGTCTTCCAGGGATGGGAGCTGGGGCATGAAGAGTCATGGGCACACTGGGGAAAGGCGTGTTCCGTCTGGGTGAGGTGACCTGCTCTGGAGCACACAGTGTCTCCCGGGGGCTGACCGTGGCCTCTGCCTCCACGTGGGTTTGAACAGAGGCCATTTTCACTGCGGCCTCATTTCCTTGCGGTGCCTGGCACCGTGCCCTGCATCATGAATGGTGAGCAGTGAGTACACAACCCTGTCCCGTCTTCTTCATCTGTCACTAGAGCAGGTTTTCAGAAACTCAGATCTGGGCTTTCGCTCTCTGTGGTTTCCCCAGCTCTTGAGGACAGCCCCTCCAGTGCCAGCCCAGCCCTTGCCTCTGCAGCCTGACCTCTCAGCTCATCCTCCAACCCACCAGAGCTGTCTCACCTCGGGGCCATTGCCTTTCCACAGACCTGGGGCCCCCATGACCTGGTCTGGAAGTTCTCTCACTTAAGACTTAATTATACAAAGCCTTTTGTGGTTGAGCCTTTCAGTTAGAAGAGGCTGTTTCCTCCTTCATCTTCCTACCCTGCCCTATGTGGATTCCCGGTGAGGCAGGAAGATGCTCAGGGCTGAGCTCAGGGTGGGGGCGGGGGTTGGGGTGGGGGTGAATATCTGGTAAGTGTCTGTGGCTATTTCTGCTTCTTCCTCCAGCCCGATGTCTCTTGTTCACTGTATTGTTTCCCAGCATCTAGCTGGGACAAGCACATAGAAGTTCTAGTTAAAATTCATTGAATGAATAAATGAAGTTATTTCACTCTCATCATAAATGAAAGGAAAATGTGTAAAGACATATACACAATTCATAGGTATCCATGACATCATAAGAAACAGGCCTCTTTCTCTGGAGTGAAGGCTGACATGACGTTTTGATTGACTTATTACCTTTTTAGAGTCAGGGTCTTGCTGTGTCACCAGGCTAGAGTGCAGTGGCATCATCGTAGCTCACCACAGCATTGAACTCCTGGGCTCGAGTGATCTTCCTGCTTCAGCCTCCAGAATAGTTGGGACTACAGGTATGTGCCAACACACCCAGTTAATTTTTCTACTTTTTTGTAGAGACAGTGTCTCATATGTTGTCCAGGCTGGTCTTGAACTCCTGGGCTCAAGCAATCCTCCCACCTCACAAAGCTGTAACCTCAGCCTCCCAAAGTGCTGGGATGACAGGTATGAGCCATCACACCCGGCCTCAATTGACTTATTTAATTGGCACAAATTTTTTTTACCTCTAGAAGCCTCTAAGTTGGGCTTGAGAAAGCCAGGTCTCAGCCACCGGGTTTGCTGACTACATATGCTTTGGCTAATAGGCCAAAGGTTGAGTGGGGAGAAGCACACAGCTGCTTTGAATTTGTGGTGCTCAAAAAAGCAGGGAGAGAAAAGTACAAACATTAGCTAGTCCTTGTTGATTTAGTTGGTTGGCTTTGTAAGACTGCAGGGTGTAGAAGTCAGCTTTTCTTTCTGGCTTCTGACTGACTCATTTGCCAAAGCAAGACAGAATTGCAACCTGCCAGGCACGAAGGTACTGTGTGAATTGTTGGAATGGCTGAGCTTCTATAGATTATCTTTTGCGGTTGTATTGCCCAAAGGTACTTTGCTTTTGGAAATCTCCTATCATTGCCGTTCTTAATTTTCAGTATTATCGCTGCCATTTCAAAAGGGAGGGAGAAACACATTTTCATTAGTTTGAATGTCACTCCTTGAAGTTTGTTCCTGGGGAGTGCTCCTAGGATGCCCTGAAATTTCTGATTTATCACCTAATGAAAATCAGCGTTTTCAGAGCAAGTTCATGATTGATCAAGAAGTTGAGCGTTTTCTCTGGGCAGTATGCATCACTGAAATTTACATGCAAATGAAAATCTTCATGTTTAGCCCCTCCCTTCACCTAGAAAATAACCCCACCCACAAATCCTGCTGCATCTTCCTCCATTTAAGATGGAATCAGCCCATTCTTTGCCTTCTCCAATGTTGTGAGCATTTCCTTCCACTTGCTGAGTTAATGATCTTTTGGAGAAAAATTAAGGAAATAGAGTCACTTAACTGAGGGAGAGGTGGGGGTGATGGACAAACATCGTCAAGGGGTTATCAAGGATTCCAAAAGGTATTAGGCTGCTCATGTCCTTCTCTGCACGAAACTGCTGCAGTACTCATTCCACCCCAGAAAAGCGAAGTGGCAAGGGAGTGCTCGTCAGGAGTGTTTTGAAGCAGTTTTGGCCCATGTCACTGTCCCTAATAGACTGAAAGTGAACGAAGCCAAGAGGCTCAGCTGAACCATGTCTAGGAAATTCAGACCCCAGCCTCTTTTCTGAAAGCATATGCATGAGACATTATTTGTAGAGAAAATCAAACCCTCCTGATTTCGGAACAAGTTGGTGGGAATTGTTAGGGTCAAGCTGCAGCGAGACAGTCAGTGTTCTGAGGTAGATGGAGAGCCTTAGAGCCAGTGCAACCAGGTGGTGTGGATGGTGGTGACAGTCAACTATGGGCTCTGCTTTAGGTTGAAGGCAGATGATATGAGTGAAGACTGTAGCAGAGAGGACACAGGTTGGATAAAGAGTAACTATTGTGATAATCAGAGCTTCCAAGCCTGTGGGAACAGGCTGCTGAGTTAACATCATCATCAGATATCTTCAAGAAAAGGCTTGACAGTAGACTAACATCTGTGTGCCCACTATGGGATAGATGTGTTCATTTATTCATTAAATTTGAACATCAATGCAGTGGTAACTATTAGGATAGTAGTATGGGAAACAAAGATAAAATATAAATTTGTCAGTGAGGCATGACAAATATATACATTGCAGTATAATATGGCGAGTCCTAAGATAAGAGGCAAGCTTGGGTGCCAGGAAGCCTGGGGCCCAGGCCTAACCCAACCTGGGGAGCACTGGTATGGGCGATGGGATAAGACCTCCTGGGGAAGACGAGTCTTAGGAGATGGTAGGTGTGTTGGGCAATTCATTCATTTTTTTTTTTGAGACTGGGTCTCACTCTGTTGCCCAGGCTACAGTGCAGTGGTGCAATCACAACTCACTGCAGGCTTGACCTTCTGGGCTAAAGCAATCCTCCTGCCTTAGCCTCCCCAATAGCTGGGGCTACAGGCATGTGCTGCCATGCCCATCTAATTTTTAAATTTTTTTGTAGACACAGGGTCTTGCTATGTTGCCCAGGCTTTGAGTTCCTGGGCTCAAGTGATCTGTCTGCCTTGGCCTTCCAAAATGCTGGGATAACAAGTGTGAGCCACCATGCCTGGCCATGATGGGCAATTGTGAGCCACCATGCCTGGCCATGATGGGCAATTCTAATAATAATTCTAACAGTGATGACAGGTAAGCAGATAATACTGGCCATGCCAGGGACTGTGGTAAATGCGTCAGATGGCTTCCCTTATGCACTCCTTACTCACAACAGCCTTTGGAGGTGATTGCTCTTACTTGGCAGTTTGAGCCTAGGTAGGTTGTTGAAGCAGAGAGAAAGGGCAAGGCAGGAACAGGCAGGGGGCATTGAAGAGCTGCGCCCACCTGGTCTGGCTGCTATGATGAGCATTAAGGCCAGGACCTCAGGCCAGGCCACGTCCCAAAGGACTGAGGAGTGTGGAGCTGACCCTGTGGGCAGGAGTGCTTCTGACAGGCTAAGCTCTCGAAGGGAGTGACCAGTGGTGATTTTGGAGTAGGTGGGTAACAAGGCAGGATTCATTCTGTAGCAAGACCCCTGTGTGAAGAGTACCTTGTTGGGCGGGAACAGGAGGAACAGTCAGGGAACCAGAATCAGCGTGCAGAAGTTGGGAGGGAGGACACGGCAGGGTGCTCCACTAGCCCCAACCTCGTCCTGAGGAAGACACTGAGGCTCAGCGTAGACCTCGGAAATAAGCAGGTATGTTGCAGGATTCCAGTGCAGCTTTCTGGACTCAGAGGCAAGCAGGCTTTCTACCATGCCATAGACACTGATTGTGACCTTTTGTCCTCTCTGTTTTGTGATTTTTGTCTAAATCTTTCCATCCAGCCCCTCAGGCTACAATGGGTCTCTTTCAGGGTCAGAGAAGAGAGAAACCCTTCCCTCTGAACCTTTCCTCTAAGTTCCGCTTCAGTAGGCATTTGTGGGCTTTGAATGGATAACCAGGCTCCTGGCTCATGTGGCTTAGCTGGTGGTTCTGAAAACAAATCAGCTCCCAAGTGTGGCCCGCCACGGGGTTGCTGCCGGGGTCCCTAGAGGCCTCTGGTGCACAGCAGACAGCTGCTTTCTCCCCGTCTCTCAGACACGGTCTAGGTGGCCCTCTGCTTTCTGCAACCCGGATCCTCCTTGTTGTATTTTCAGCCTGCAGAACTGAGCTGATTCACTTTTATGGAAAAACACATTTTAAATATTTAGTTGCTCATGGAGAGTTTTGTTTAAAATTACTTGAAATTGGAACTTTTCAAATTGGAGATGTTTGAAAATCTTTCTTAAATTCTGAAAATAAGTTTGCTTCTTGGCTAGGATGCAAGAGGAAGAAATTTCATCCCAGACGATCATTGTCTTGAAAAGTGAAGAAGGAGTCAGTAGCGATCGATGAGAGGGCACCTTGCTCACAGGTCAATGTTGGGCGGTTCTCCAGGAGGCCCTGGGCTCAGGGCCCGGCTGCCCTGACTGCTGGGACCTGCCCAGCGGCTACTTGGCTTGTTTTGGTCTGCGCCTTTAAAGAAAGTCCTGGGAGCACTCAAGTTGCCCCCTCCCTTTTTCTTGAAATGTACACTAATGCCATTAACTATCAGATTCATCCCCACACACCTTCCTTTGATCAGCCCATGTTATTCTGGCCAGCACCGTTTGGCCATTGTAGAGGCCTAGCACGAGCTTCTGGCAGGATGCACAGGTATCCATAGCCTGTCCTGGTCGGCGCCCAGCCCTGGCCCACACACATGGCTTGCCCTTAGGTAACAGAGACAAAGGGTGTTGAGTAGTACTCAGTGAGAAGACAAGCTTCCAGCTCCTGAACTGAAGTATTAAGTTTAAAATGTTTTCACTTTCCAAAAGGTAGAAGATATTTGTAGACAGAAGAGTTTGCTGGACACCAAGATGGGAGTGAATGAGCCTTGTGTTGAAACCACTACCTTCCTGTTGAATTTGACCCCCAGTGTTGCAGGTGGAACCTAGTGTAAGGGCTCCTGGGTCCTGGAAATGGCTCCCTCATGAATGGCTTGATGCCATCCTACAGTAATGAATGGGTTCTTGCTCTGTTAGTTCCTGCAAGAGCTGATTGTGAAGAAGAGCCTGGAACCTCCCCTCTTGCTCTGTCTGTCTCTCTCTCTTTTTTTTTCCTTAATTTTTGAGACAGGGTCTGGCTCTGTGGCCCAGACTGGAGTGCAGTGGCACAACCTTGCTCACTGCAACCTCTGTCTCCCACGCTGAAGCCATCCTCCCACCTCAGCCTCCCAAGCAGCTGGGACTACAGGTGCATGCCACCATGCCTGGCTAGTTTTTGTATTTTTTGTAGAGACTGAGTCTCACCATGTTACCCAGGCTGGTCTCGAACTCCTGGGCTCAAGCAATCCACCTGCCTCAGCCTCTTGAAGTGCTGGGATTCCAGGCGTGAGCCACTGTGCATGGCACCGTCTTGCTCTCTTGCTTCCTCCCTCACCATGCGGTCTCTGCACACACCGGCTTCCCTTCACCCTCCGCCATGAGGGGAAGCAGCCTGAGGCCCTCTGCATATGCAGATACCTCGTCTTCCAGCCTGCAGAACCCTGAACCAAATATACTGGAAAAAAAAATTATCCAGTCTCAGGTATTTCTTTATAGCAACACAAATGAACTCAGACAGTCCTCATGCTGTACCTTGGATCCCTAGACTTGTTAGTACCCTCTGACCTGCAGTTCCCCATCCCCCCTGCACTGTAACTGCCACTCTACTCTGTTTCTATGTATGTATGATCCTGCCTTTATTTAAAAATTTGGCATTTTCTTGATCATGAATTATTTTTTAAAATTTTAGATTCAGAGGGTACATGTGCAGGTTTGTTGCATGGATATATTGCATGATGCTGAGGTTCGGGCTTCTAATGATCCTGGCACCCAAGTAGTAAACATAGTAACCAACAGGTAGTTTTTCAACCCTTGTCCTCCCTCCCTCTCCTCTTTTTGTATCCCCAGGGTTTACTGTTCCCATTTTGTGTCCACGTGTACTCAGTGTTTAGCTCCCACTTGTAAGTAAGAGCATGTGGTATTTGGGTTTCTGTTCCTGTGGTAATTCGCTTAGGATAAAGGCCTCCAGCTGCACTCATGTTGCTGCAAAGGACATGATTTTATTTTTTATGGTGGCATAGTATTCCATGGTGCACACGTACCACATTTTCTTTTTCCAGTCCACCACTGATGGTCACCTGGGTTGATTCCATGTCTTTACTATTGTGAATAGTGGGCCATGGATTTTTGCATTAATTTTGATTTCTTAAATATTGCATTGAAAGATGATTTCTCTTGACCACTGAGTTTTTTGAAACCTCATAAATTCTGCATTCAAGGTCTCACTGCTCTCAAATCATCGCCCTGATCCTGGCCCTGAGGCTGCTCCACTGTGCGCTTTGATGTCAGCATCACTTAGCACAGGTTCGGTGCTGAAGTAAAGGAGAGAATCCCTCCGGGAAATGGGACCCACACGGCCCGCTCTTATTCCACCTTTCCAGGCTTTTTCTCTTTCCACACAAAGGATTCCTGTCTCTGGGTCCCTGGGTCCTGCTGCCTGTGACCCCTCTGCCCCATCTCTGTCTGGCGAGTCTCCTCCTCCAAGGGTCTATTCAAATGTGCCCTTTGCTAGTAGCCTTTCTAATTGCTCCTCTGAGGACCTCCGTGCTCCCACTGCATCTGTGTGCCCCTCTGCCCAGCCCCAGTGGCTCAGCTTGGTACCATTCCCCACGGCTCGTCTGCAGCCATTTCCTCACCAGAAGGCAAGCTCTTCAAGACCCCATGCTTTATTTATGCCATGCATGATTTTCTTAGTGTGTGGGTATGTTGGTCATGAGGGGCATCCATTGAATGATCAAAATAGTGTTATTGGATGCTTAAAAGATTTTTCTAAGTATTAATATACCATGAGTTTGAAACAAGTAACTGGCCAAAGGTGTGTCCTCTCCTCTATTCTGTGTTTCCTGGACCTTCCATGGGTCCCTTCATGGATCCCTTCCACGGGTCCACCAATTGCCAGTCTCTGGTTGGCTGCTTGTGGTGGGGCCAGGGAGGAGTGGAAAGGTTACCACTGAGACTGCAGGAAATTTGGAAAACCAAGGTCAAATAGGAAGTCTTGTGGCTGGACGGGGAGCAGGGGAAGGAGCTAGGGGATGTTCTTGGAGGGCACCTCCTCTTCCCCACCCCCTGCAGAGCTCATTCAACAAATATTGGTGACCAGCTGCTGGGGTGAACTGGATTGGAGATAAAGGAGTTGTGCTGTCACATGGGACAGGAAGGAGGAGCCGCCAAGAAAGGCTGGGACCTGAGGGAAGGAGTGCGCCGAGGGGAGTGAGTGAGGGGTGGCATCTTAAGGCACCCAGTGCCTGGATGGGGGAGATATTTTGACAGAAAGGAGGAAAGTGGTGATTATGTGACATTTCCCTAAAAAGTAGATCTTCAGAGTGATCTGTGTGTGTGTGTGTGTGTGTGTGCATGCACATATATAATATATATACACACATATTAGACATATATATTATATACACACAATATACACATTATACACATACATATACACATGCATATATAATATATACACATATATACACGTTATACATATACACATGTAATATACACATACATATATACACATGCGTATATGTAATATATACATCTATACACACAAGTTATACACATATACACACATATGTAATACACATGCTATACACATACACATATGCATATAATCACATATACGCACATACACATACATACACACATATACACACATACACATACGTACACACATATAATATATACATATATACACATACATATACACATGTTATATACACACATATACACGTTATACTCATACATATATACACATGTGCACATATACACGTACATATACACATATATAGAAATAATATACACATACACATATATACACATGCATGTATAATATACATATATATACACGTTATACACATATAGTATATAGACACATATATAATATACACATGTCATACATATAATATATACACATGTTACACACATGTAATATATACACACATATACATACACACATGCATATATAATATATACACATGTTATACATATACACATAAATATATACACATAATGTACACATGTTATACAATCATACATATATGCACATGTATATATATACACGTTATACCTACACACATATATATATACATGTTATACACATACATATATACACACATGCATATATAATATATGCACATATATATGCACATTATACCTATACACATATACACACATACGTTATACGCTCATACATACACATATATGTACACATATATAATGTATCAATGTATAATTTATGTTACATGTAAAATATATGTTATGTATAAAATAAATATATATTATGTACAAATTATAATTTATATACATATAAATATATACATTTATATATAAACATATATGTATATGTTTTCTTTAAACTCAGGTTAAAGAAATAGGAAGTTAAATGTTATGGGAAGACTATTGGTAATTCTAGCCAAAGTAACTTGCTAATATTTTTAGTTTTACTGCTCTGGAATGCTTAAGGAAGATAAATGGGTTTTATTCTGAGACTCCAGTGCACAGATTGACTATTATATGCTGGACTTCAGGGAAGCAGTGAGCAATGATTTAGGGAGGTCATAAAATGGGGAAAGCGAAAACCAAAACACAAACACTGGCAAATTGGAATCCAAGAGATGATTGGGGCCTGCCAAGGATGGTTGAGTTATCCGTTACTGTATGACAGAGCCCCCACCCCCTGCCCAAAATGTAACAGCCTGGCATAACAGCCGCTTCAGGGGTTGGTGTGTGGGTCAGCAATTCGGGACAGCCTGACCTGCTAGAGACCAAGAGGCCTCTGGGGGCCTCAAGGCTGCTGCTGGGGAGCCGGGCCATAAAGGCCATAAAGGGGGCTCTTTGTGTGGACTTTTATCATCCCGAGTCCACCCTGGGTTTCCGTACGTGGCACCTGTCTTCCAAGATGGCAAAGGTGGAGGCTGCCGTCATCCCACTGCCTCACTTTGCTCAATTGCAGCAGCTATAGCAGCCACAGGCCAGCCCAGATTCAGGGGATGTGGACCCCCCTGCGACGGGAGCAAGGGCAAAGCTATGCTTCTGACAGCTAAGCCCACAAAGGGGATCTTTGGAAAGGGGATTTCCAGAGGAAGGTGGCTGACAATTTCACCAGAGAGAATTTGGGGTCCTAAGGGGAGGTCTGAGATGAGGGTGCACATTTTGGGTTTTTCATGGGGAACAGGGGAGTTGTGGAGTTGCATGGGGCCATGTCCCCCAGCAAATGCCCCTCACATGTGCACAAGGGGTGCTGTGCACCAACTTCTACTTATAGGCCTACTGCCTCGCTGTGCAGGACATGAGTGACTGGAAGGAAGCTCATGGAAGGAAGTTCCATGGAAGGAAGGATACGTGCAGGGTAAAGGTGGAGAGACCCAGAACAGGCATCAGTGAACCTCATCCCCTGGAGGAAAATGTGTCCCCAAGAAGCTTCTAGGCCACTTAGGAGGCAGTGGCTCTGAAGTCAAGGCAGGGCCCTCACTGTGTTACAGGATCTTTTAGGGGGTTGCTTTTCTGGCCAGAAACCTCTGTGGCTGGTGGCGCCTTTGCCCAAGTTCTTGTCCTGTATCCAGGAAGAATGAGGTATGCAGACAAGTGGAGGGTGAGCAAGACAAAGAGAAGCTTTATTGAGTGTTAGAGCAGCTCTGAGGAGGCTGCAGGGGGCAGTTCCTTCTGTAGGCAGGTAGTCTTGTCCAGTGTTCAGCAAGCAGCAGAAAGGAGGCCCTGGAGAGGGTGGTTCCTCTCTGCAGGCAGGTCCCCATTGACTTTCCAGCTCTCAGCAGAGAGGGTAGATCATCTCTGCAGTTGGTCCTCCAGTGCCCAGTCATCTTTCCATCCTCTGTCCTCTACCCTGCTCTGGCTGAGCCTGGGGCTTTTATGGACCTCAGAGGGGAGGAGGTACATGCTGATTGGTTCATGCATGGCCATGGGTGGGGTCAAAAAAGGCACCACATTCCTCCACTCTGGTGCAGGGATCTGGCAGCCCTTGGCCTGAAGATGGGGTCTTTCCAGGGACCTGCCTCCTTCCACCCAGGAATCTGTCTGCTTCCTGCTGCTGTTCATGGCACCCCAGCTTGGCCCAGACTTTGCTCCAAGATCGGAGCAGGTATCAATAGCAGGGAGAAGCCAGGCAGCTGGAGCAGGCACTTCTGAGCCTGCAAGGGCAGGAGGGCCTTCCCAGGTCCCCAAGAGTGCAGAGATGCCTGAGGCTGAAGCCGCTGGTTTGGGTGGCTGCAGTGGCACCTGGGAGGGCAGGGCTCCTGCCTGTTCCTGGCCCTCCAAGACCACGGGAGGCCCAGGTCTACTGCCTGGCTTGGGCAGCTGCAGCCATGCCTGTGAGGACGGGGCTGCTGCCTGCTCCTGGCTCCTGCTGGCTCCATGGAGCATGCAGCCCCAGCTGTGCCCCCTTGCAGCATGGGCTGGGGGCTCCTGATCCTTGCTGGGCCCCAAGCCAGTGTCCGGGGCAGGGGCGACATCTCCATGAGCTCTCCCCATTGCCCTTGTGCTCCAGGATGGCCTGGGATGGAGTGGATCTCGGGCCCTGGGCTCGGCCATCAGAAGTGGCAAGCTTGGCAGCCATCTTGACTCAGGGCAGACCCCAGGGACCCGGCCCTGGATGGCCTGTGTAGAGCCTTCTTCTGAAGTGCAGGAACCTGGCACCCTAGGCGGTGTGGGCACAGTGGCTGTGCCACTGGCCAGGTCCCAAAAGTGGTTGCCACTTCCACTTCCTGTCCTGGATCCCCAAAGTGCAGCCCCAGCTCTGCACTGGGGCCCCTTTCTGCCCAGCCATGCTGCTCCCCTGCTGCACTGCTCCCCCTCCTGAACGGGATTGGGCTCGGCCCCTTGCAGCCACCCCCAGGGCAGTGGGCTGTGGGGGGCCCTGTCCACCTCCTACCTGCACCCTCCCTGCAGCAGCTGGTGTGATGGTAGTGCCACACCACATGCTTGTTGCTGCCATCAATCCCTGCTCTGAAGAGGTACATCTAATGGCCGTTAGGATAGGGACGATGACTGCTCTTAACTTAGAGGCCTATCTAGGGTCCCCAGTGTAGAGAGCCATCGTCCGCCATTTGCATGGCCATTTGGAGTTTGATGGCCCAACTGTTTCTTCTGAACTGTAGTCACAGACCACTGGTTGGTTCACCCCCACAATGGCCAAAAGCTACAAACAGCTTAAAAGAAAAGCTTCCTCGATTCTGGAAGACAAAACAAAGGATCAACCATGTCCCAAAAAGTCAAAAGAAGATGACTTCAGTCTTCCACTGGTTCAGTTCACCAGGTCAACTCCTGTTCAAAATCTTCAGTTATCAGAAACCTACACTGAGGGCTGAAGACGGTCCTTTGAAGAGTGTCAAAACTAGACAACACTTGTCTGAACGTCAAAATGTCCTAGGCTAGTCACAGTCAAAAACACAATGGATAAAGAACTGGTTGCCTCTGTAGTCTCCAAGAACCTAACAGTAACCTTAATTATGATTGAGAACACACACTCCGACAGCAGGATTTGAGGAGGCCCCTACCATTTTGGAGCACATATTAACATGACTCACTAAAATATAAATACCTTATTTTGACAGTTGGGGGGTTGTGTTTTTTTCTTTTAAAATTAGTATGTGGCCTGAACAGGGAGGAACGTGGGCGCTTTTGAAGGGCTGCGCCGGGAGGAACCAACAGCCTTTACTGGGGCTGAGGCGCAGGGGCAGCGCTTTCCGGGGCCGTGACTCCACTGGGGCCTCGTAGGCGCTCCGGGCACACGGACAGATCCCGGGGAAGGGGCCAAGGGCAGAGCAGGGCGCATGTCAGAGCCCCGGCCACCGTCTCGGCAGCTGCCCTCTCGGAGGCCATGGCCGTGGCCCTGCTGTCGGCTCCAGGCTGAGGCCAGGACGTCGCCGTGCCCGGGGGTGCGGAGCCTGGCATGGATCGCAGTTTGGGAACAGGCACATGGCCCACGGGGCTCCTCTGGGTTCCTCCCCAGGCGGGCGGGCGGGCCGCGGGCAGCCCCCAGGAGTCACCCGTGGCCTGGGCTGGCCTGGGGGTCGTGGTGACTCGGTAGCCTCGCCCCAGCGGTGCGGTCCGGGAACAGGAGCCCGCGTGGCTTCTCGGCGCCTCCGCCCCAGTCGCACTTTGTAGTAGCCCCACCTGAGGCTCCCATGCCCTGGCACCGAGGGGCAGCCGCCCCACCCTGCTGACTTCCCGCGCCGTGCTCACAGGGCCTCGGACAGAGGGCGGAGCCTCGGTGCTTGTCGGAGGGGCTGGGGGTCAGAGGGCACAGCGATGGGGCAGAAAGCCAGGTCGGGGCTGAGCAGTGAAGCTGAAGAAGGAGCGCGATGGGAAACTTGAGGAGTCAGGATGCGATTCTAGACCTACAGCTGCTCCTTCTGCTCCTTCTCGTGGGACGAGATGGGGGCAGCAGCCGGGGTGACTTTCCCTGCCCTCCTCACTCGGCTTGAGGAGGAATGACGCGGCCACCAGGGAGCGTGGGGCGGAGGGGGCCCCCTGGTGTTCACGGGGCCCAGGGCACCGGGCCAGTGAGGTCCCTGGTGTGTCCCATCGTCCCCTGCCCGCCTCTGGGGCTGGTTTTTCTGCCATGGCTAAGGTCCTGCAAGCGGCCTGCGGGTTCTCAGCTCTCAAACCCAAGCTCCTGCCCCACCCTCCTCCAAGAGCTGGTTCTTGGAGTGCAGCCTTGGAGTGCGGCCCGCCCTGGGAGGACGCTTCCAGGAAGGAACCTGCCCAGGCCTTGGCAATGGGGCCAGGCCCTTTGGGCAGAGATTTCTGGGCTCCGAGGTGCCTAGGGCATGGTGTAGAAGTTGGGGCACGGGCTTCCTGTGGGCCGACCCTGCAGATCCTGCCTGGCTTTGCTAGGACTACCCACTTTACAAAGCACCACAAACCGCCAGGCTTGAGCAACAGGAAGCCCTTGCCTCATAGTTCTGGAGGCTGCAGGTCTGGCAGGATTGGCTTTTCAGAGCACCTCTGTCCTTGGCTTGGAGGTGGCCATCTTCTCCCTGTGTCTCTTCACATTGTCTTCCTTTTATGTGTCTGTGTCCTACTTTCCTTTTTCTGTAAGGCCACCAGTCATATTAGGTAGGGCCCACCCTAATGACCTCACTTTAACTTGATTATCTTTGTGAAAACCTGATCCCCAAATAAGGTCATACTGTGAGATTCTGGGGGTCAGGACTTCAGCATATGGATTTTGGGGGAAAACAATTCAATCCATAACTGATTCAGTCCGTAGCCAGGTTGGGAAGGGCTCAGCCAGATGTGGGCTGAAGCTAAGCCCTCAAAAGCTCAGGGCCCAGGACAGGGTCCTTTTCCTAAGGACCCTAGAGGCGACGGGCAGTGGGGAGGGATGAGATGTGATGGGAGATGAGCCCAGAGTGGTGGGGGCCCTGATGAAGGGGTTGGCACATGGGTGGTGGTACAGCAGGAAGTCTCTGAAGGGCTTTGGGAACGGACAGTACAGTGACCAGATCTGCACCCCAGAACCCTGACTCTTGGTCCAGGCTGCACCCCAGACTGGGGTGGGACCCCATCAGTATTGGATGTGTAGGCATGTCTGTGAAGCGCTGCTTTAGAAGCCTAGCTGAGCATGTGATGGTTAAGTTCATGAGTCAACTTGACTGGGCTAAAGGACACCCAGAGAGCTGGCAAGACGTTATTTCTGGGAGTGACCCCAACAGGCAGAGTACTCCTTTTAAAGACAACTGAAAGGAAAATATCCACCAGCGAGGCATTTCCTAGTCCTGTGACCAGGAAGTGATCAAAATGGCTCAGTTTTGACCTTCAAGCTTTAGCAAGGTGGTCAAGGCCAGGTGGTATGGGAATGGACGCTGGAAAAGCCCAGGTCAAGCTGGCCTGTCTCTCTGTTCCCTGCAGTGGAAGCAGGGCCTCCTGGACACCTGAATGAAAGAGACGCTCTGTGTATCCCTGTTATCAGGCAAAAATGCATCTCATATGTAATCAGGAACATTTTATCCAAATCCTTGCTCAGATGTGGACACAGGGGAAGAAAGCAAAACAAGTCCGGGCACCCAGAGCCCATATGGGCCACAGACACACCCTGTGAGCACTTATCGGGGGGGCTAATAACACCCCCCCAACACCATGTGACCCCTCTCCAGGATAGCACACAACTGTTTGCAGTGCAATGAATGTGACATTTATTCTCAGCTATGTGCAGAGTCAAGTGAGGTTATAGCAAATAAAATACAGAAATATTCATTTTCCTTCTAAAAAGGGCTCTTAAATGTCAAATCAAATGAAATGGAATCATTGTATCGGGGCAGAACACATATAGCTTGCAGATTGTGCAAACTATATGTTCCCCCAACCTCGCTGCTCCCTGTAGAAGCATTTTATTGACCTAGGCCAGTTAAATAAAGTTCATATACACTTATTAGTTAAGCAAATGTCATTTGCTAGAGTCTGACCAAAATTCATTAGCTAACTTCTCCTCACTTTCAGCTCCTCCCACCCCAGAAACCTCACACTTTTTGTCTGGTTTTCTTTGCCGGACTAATTATAAGGTTTTCTGACAGCAAGTATACATGAACTAGTTGAGCTCTGTAGTCCACCTTTAACACCTGAAAATGATCCCACTAAAATTCCTGGCATGCGGCATCCAGACGTCAGCATTTCTGGGCCCCGAGGCTTTGGGAGCACGCAGGCTGTGGGAAAAGCAGGAGGGAAGCCTGGGGCTGCTAGGCTAATGCCCAGGAGTGGCTGGACCAAGCTGAGTGGCAGCCTGCCCTATCCTGAGAGAGCCAGTGCAGGAGACTCAACCGAGCAATAAACATGCCCAGCTCCAAAAGGCAGGCCTCTGTGCACAGATGTTGTGATGTTATGAGATAATTTTCAGGCCTCAATGGGGTGAAAGGGTGGATTTGTCAAGAGAGGGGCATACCTATGGCGGTCTTTTCACTGAGCAACACCATGATTTCATTACCATGTCAATTCTGGGAGAAGGCCCTGATTTAACACAGCAGTTGGCTGAATGCATATGGAGCGGGTGGACCTCTGAATGAATAGTGAATGGAAAACCGGCTGGAATCTGCCTTCAGCTTTGTTTCAGGATGACCAATGTAAGGGACCCCAGAGCTTGCAGCACAGATGGTAGGAGGGGACCGGGACTCCGCTGGGCTTCTCTTCTTCTCCTTTTTATTCTATCACTTGCGGGGGTTCCTCTGTATTTGTGTACATATTTCAGTTGCCTAACTAAATTTGCTGCAATTTCTCATTCTACTAAAGCAAAATTAGCTTTGAGGGGAATTAGAGATGAAACACAATAACATATGTAGCAATAAACATTAAAATTTTGTGCTGTTAAAAATTGGAGTTTCAAAGACTCAGTGTTGTGAGGTTTAGAAGTAATTGAAAATGTAATTAAGAAATCATGAAAAAGACAATTAAAAGTTTGAAAGACAAGTTCAGAATTACTTCTGAAGTTCTCCAGTGTGAAGGGAATGTGCAGATTCTCACGTCGGTGCCTGCGTACATCCAGAAAAGAAAGGTTAGGTGCTTTCAGAGAGCAGGGTGGCGTCCGAAGGGCAAGTACTGTAAATCAAAGGACTCTCTGGCATTATCTAGCTTCCTTTCTGCTTTAAAAGTTAGAACAGATGTCACAAGAGAGGACAAAATGGATTTTACCCACCAAGAGAGGCTTTTCTTGCCATCCTTAATAGGAAGCGCCTTGAAATGTTAATGTACACAGTTTGTGTTGCCGGGGTTTGCATAGAGATGGTGGGAAACAGCTCTGATCCCAACAAAACCTTTTGTTATTAATCAAGAAAATCTGGTCCGCTGAAGCAGCAAAGAGCTGAAAATTAGCCCACTGGCAATGAGGCCAGTGAGCAAAAATGCGGCCGAGGATTCCGACGCGCCCGGAAGACCTGGTGGTGGGGCCATGCTAGATCCCATGTGTCTCCCTACGCTCTGCGGTCTCCCGGCCTCCATATTTAAGGGGGAAGGAATATTTCTCTTGTGTCTTGAGCTTTAGAATCGTGTGTTTTCTTTTTCAGCAATTTCAAGAAGCAGGCTGGAGAACATCCATTAAAAGCGCGCTAATGAAGTGGTGCTAAGAAAAGAAAGCTAAACACCACAAAATCAAAGTGGAGCATTTTGCCTGGCTAATGGGCTTGATTATGAGATTTTACAGGCTCTTTTATAAACTTGAATTTTATTTTGTGCTGGGAAACAGGAAATTTCTGTTTGGCTTTAAACATACACGATCACACCACCAAATATTCCTAATTTAAAACTGTGAGAGTAGAAAGAGATTTTTATGTCTAAGAGAGGAAGGGGCAAAAACATCCCCAGCCGTGGTCATGAATAAGCACAACCTTCAATACTCCTATTTTAGAGAAGGGGAAATGGAGGCCCCGAAATGAGGCGTGTAGCTGCAGCCACCCTAACAGCCTCCCTTTCCTCTGAGCTTCCGTGGCTCTCATGATCAACAGCTGGTTATAGGGTGTCTAACATCGTACCTGTGGTTCCCAGGTGAGCCCGCTTTGCCGGAGGGGTTCTCAACCTTGTCACCATTGACATGTTGGACCCGATAATTTTTTGTTGTGGGGGCTGTCCTCTGTCTTGTAGGATGTTTAACAGCATCCGTGGCCTTCATCCCCTGGTTGCCAGTAGCATACCCTCCCGTTGTGACTACCAAAAACATCTCCAGACATTGCCAAGTATCCCTTGCAGGCCAAAATTGCCCCTGGTTGAGAACCATTGAACCAGATCAATTACCTCCTGTAGGGTGATGGACACCACACTTTAAACATTCTAACTCCCCAGTGTCCAGCCTGGTGGCGTTGGGGCCAGAGCCATGTGGTGAACGCACGCTGGTGGAGGAGATTACTGAGAGCCTGCTGAAGGATGGGCAAGTCCACTCCAAATTCCAGATCGGTGCAGTTTCAGTCTCTTCCTCCATAACTCCAATGGTGTTGCGTATTCCCTTTTTGTCCAGCGGCCAGGCTGGGTGAGGGACAGCAGCAGAAGGAAACGAGAAGCCGAAGCAGTCCACACCTTGGAGAATCACCTCTGTCTTGGATGCTGATGCAAACAGCTGCATTCAAGGTTTGCATATGCTTAGCTGCATGGGCGGGTGACATGCTAATAGAACAGCCATGGGGCTGCCATTGGGCGCCCGTTCTAATCTCTGGCAAGACTTTTAAGTGAGGCTGTGCTACTCTTCGAATGATGCTCTATTATCCTTGTAGAAACACCGTGCTATACGGAATAGTGAATTATGGGAAAGTTGCCTGTATATAGAATGGTAAGCATTCACTTATGGAATATGTATTGAGCATATATTGTCTATATCTTTCTATTAAAAGCGAACACAGAGCAGATCTGTTATAAAGTAAAACATTTGTTTCCTGGACCATCATCTTCCTTACCATCCTGAGTGGACTTAAAATACAGTAGGTCAAACTCAAAGGCACTAAGAATTCCAGTGGTTTCTTGGAGTTCCCGTAGAAATACTGTGATCGCTTTACACATGAGTTCCACAGGAGACTCAAGATAGTACACAGGAGGTTAAGGGCATTCATAGTGGTCAAGCCGAGTTACATGATGAGTCCTTAACTGTGACTCTAGGTGTTGATCATAGGGACAGTCACGGCCACACATGCGCCACAGGGAGGCCAGCTTCCTTAGCTGTGTGCAGACATGGGGCTTAACAATTGGGGGCTCCCAGAACAGGAGGTCCCAGCTTCACCAGCACTTGGGTTTGTAAATGGCCACGCTAATTTTACTTTGTCTGTTGAGGAGCCTCTGGCATGGTTGACATGGAGCCATCAGGAGAAACTTGGCACTTTCAGGATATGGGGGGTGTGGGAAGGAGAGACTCTGTGTGATCAGGGACAGCTTAGAAGAGATGACTTCAGGGAACCTGGCCTCAAAGAAGCTGTTTCTACGGTCCGTGTGTTTTCATCAGGCCTTAGGTTCCTGCCTGAAACTCTATTAGGTGGATGGAGATTCATTTGGGTTAACAAAATTTGTTCTTAAACCAATGCACATGCCTGCACAGGTGACTTCAGGAGACAGTTGAGGGCCCAGATCCCTTCATTTGATAAAGGAGGCAATGACCAGGGAGGCACAGTGCCCCGTCTGCTGTCATCTAGCTCAGTGCGGTAGGGCCAGGCCGATGGCAAGCCATTGCCTTTGTTCCCTGTTGCTTTCTCCCTGGAAGGGTTCCCAGCCAGGGGACTTGACTCCTCACCTGCACTGAGCAGACAGGGCCCTGGGCTTGGGCACAGGGGGGCAGAGATTAGTATGGGCTGAGAATGGAGGGGTGGGATGGCCCATCTGTCCCCAGCCCCTCAGGATAGGGTGCTTTCTAGTGGGCTTTGGAGTCAGAGGTCAGGATCTGGCACCCACAGAGAGAGGGGCACAGAGATGGCGAGGGGAGAACACTGACTGAAGACAGATGCCAGCCCTTCTGCAGTCCCCCGATGCCCACTTTGTCTGGAGAGGAGGAGGGCACTCCCTCTCTTGCTCTCCTTCCTCCTGGAACTGGGCCCTGTTCTGAGACTGTTATTAGTGTGGGAGACCAGCAGCTCCAGGGACCAAGTCAAATTCTGTGGGCTAGCCTGGGATCTACAGGACAGCTAACACATTGCTTCTGAGGGACAAATGCATTTTGCACTGGAGTTGTTGAACTTCCTAGTAATTTTTTGGACCACAGCTTGCAGGTAGGTTGTGGCCAGCGGGAGAAAAGGACATCACCATTTCCACAGAGGTGATTGCCTAGTCATATCCACAGGGGAATTAGCATCTCTCTCAATTGGCCTATCCCACCCAAAGTGCTAGAAACAGGTCGTACTCAAAAGTAACTTAGTTAACTGTCAGGCTTTTAAAAAAAGGGGCTGCTGGTGTTTAGGAAGCTGAAGAATATCCTCCTTGACTGAGATTTCACCTACGGGGGGTGAGCTTGGAGCAGAAAAAGGCTTCGTTATAAACACCTTAGAAATAGACAACAAAGGGAATGCTGACACGCTGGCCGCGGCCCCACCGCCAGCTCCAGCGGGCAGTTAGGGGAAGGAAGGCTTTTGTGTGGAGTTCAAAGCCCCGAGTGAAAGCTAATGAGGACCTTTGTGTTGGGGCAAAAGACAGTGAGGGAGCTTATCAGAAAGGAGGGTTAAATTACCTCCTCTGTTTTCTGCAGGTTTAAAAAAAGCAGCCTTTGGAGCTCCTTGAGGGGTCTGCCAAGTCTGTTTCCCCGACGACGAGGGGTGCGTGAGATGTGTGGGTCTGTGCTCGTGCAAGACAGCCCGGTGCTCCTAGGGGCACGGGGAGGGAAGAGGGCAGTTTAGGGGCACAGTTACCCCAATAATTGCTTGAGTCTTGTGAAAGTCAAGATTGATGAGAAGCATGAATGGTTTTGGGGGGTCAGAGGGTGTGGGATGTGAGGATGAGCTTCAGAAAACTAAATCAGTGCAAAAACCAAGTGCTGACAGTGCTGTGTCTGGATGGATCTCGAAGGGACTGTATCTCGTCAGGTATTTGATTCTAAGTTCAGGCATACGGGAATAAAAATCAACTGCTCCAATTTAAAACATTGCCAACATCATAATAGTATTTATTTGCGGGTAGAGGAGATCTCTCTCTCTCTCTTTTTCTCTCCCTCTCCCCTCCTCCTCCCCGCTCTTTCTCTCTTTCCCTGCTCTCTCTCTCTTCCCCCAGCTCTCTCCTCTCTTTCCTGTCTTCCCTCTCTGAGTCTCTCTCTTTCTCCCCCTTTTCTCTGTCTCGCTCTCCATCCCTCTCTCTCCCCATATATAAATGTAATTTATTATATGTATTTTATTATATGTATAGTTATATATAATTTCTAATATATTTTAAATTTATTATATATATTTTATTATCTATATATGAATGTAATTTTCCCCCATAACTGGCAGGGAGGATCTGGGCGGGAGGGGTGAGAGTGGCAGCCCTGGCTATCTTCTTCTACTCACTCAGTGATCAGTTTCCAGAGTGTGGCGTGGCCTCTGGAAGGTGTCCCATTACCGATGGGGACGTGTACCCAGCCAGGGCCCCACACCCACACTTAGGGAGCTCCCTTATCCTGAGAGGAAAGGTCTCTCTGTGTATTCTGGGCCTTCGGGATTGGGCAGCTGCTCACTGAGAGGAGCTTTCAGCTGGGAGGACCCTGGGGCTGGGCTAGCCCTGATATTCCCAGGTGCAGAGAGGTGCCAATCACCCCTCCCTGGAGGACCCTTTTGGTCTTGCACACACACCCCCTGTCAGGTTCCACTCCAGGCCAGGATTTCTCTAAACTGCTCTGGAGTCACTCCTGGCAAGAAATCTCTTTATTTTGCCCTTTCACTTTCCCCCATCTATGCAACAAGAGCAAAAAACCTGTCTCATGAACAAAACAAACCCAACCATGCTCACTTGGGGGAAAAGGACACAGTACTATTAAAGCGGACTAGGAACAAACATGACAAATTATCACATGAATGATGCGGAATGAATGGTAATGAAAGAAAAGCGGCAAATAACAGTGAGGCAGCGACTGGGGAAGCACGTCTAGCACTTCAGGACCATTACCCTGGCCGAGTGTGACCATCTCATTAAGACGTTTGCTCCGATTTCCTCTTGGTGCTTCCTCCTATCGGGTCTTACAAAGTCTCCAGCTCTGTACAATGTAAACAGAAGGAGCAGAGGCCGCGGCTCTTGGGCTGCAGAGAGGAGGAGAGCATCTCAGGAATGCGAGGGAGGAAAATGCAGTGGAGGGAAGAGAGGCTTGAACAGCTTTGTCTCTTTCATGCTTTAGGAGATGGAGATTCTGGGCAGAGGAGTTCTGGGGCCTGGGGGCTGGGGCAGTTCCAGCAAACCTGTGGCAGACAGAGGCCTGGAGAGGAGGGTGAGGTGGAACCGGAGGGGAGAGGGTGTGGGAAGCACCGAGTACAGAATCTCAATGGCCCAGGGGTCTCCAAAGTCTCAAAGCCTCCTGCTGCATTTTCAGAACAAAATTCGTGAAAATTCCCTTTCTTTAGAAATATGTTTGCTCTCAGTGGCTTGACTGGAACTTGTGGGCATTGAATGGGGCCAGGTTTCGGGGGAGGAGGGGGCTTGTGGGGGAAGCTTTCTCTGTGTCACTCCACGTTGGCTTCGCATACTCCTTGGACTTTCTGAGTCATTAGCCCTCAAAAAGCCACCCTGATCGCTCCCGGGCTCAGAATAGAGCGCTGGGCAGCAGGGGCTTTGCAGAGCCTGAGAGGTCTCCAATAACGCTCAGCAAATAGCCTCTTGTGGAGCACACAGAAGAGAATTCCCGCTGGCTTAACTCCTGTGATGATCATGCTGCCTCTCCCACTCAGGAGAAGCATTTGCACAGTCATGATAGCAGCCACCCCGCACCGGGTGCTCGGGGTCTGCCAGGCCCCTTCTCAGCCTCACATGCATCGTTCTGTCTCACCCCCACAGCAGCCCGAGGGGTGGATGCCGCCAGTCACAGATGAGAGACTGAGGCTCAGAGAGCAGAAACGGCTTGCCCATGGCTGTTCAGACAGTTCACGGTGAGCTGGGATTTGGCCCCCGGCGGTCAGAGCCCAGAGCCTGGGCTCAAACCCCTGGCTCTGCCACCCTGTGCTCTTGTGGAGCTGGGAGAGGACAAAGTCTTCAGCAGCAATGTTTTTTTTTTTTTGCTTTAAACTCCTAGTTCTTAATAGTTTAAGAACAATGGATAACAATGGATACATTTCAAGAAAATATTCATTTTATATTCTATATTATGTAATTATATAATAATAATGTTAATCATTTTAAGATGGCATAGTTCGCCAGTTATTCTTCAATTAAAAAAACAGGTTGGGGTTGGGTGAGGTGTTTCATGCCTGTAATCTCAGCACTTTGGGAGGCTGAGGTGGGAGGACTGCTTGAGGCTAGGAGTTTGAGACCAGCCTGGGCAATATAGTGAGACCCTGTGTCTACAAAAAATAAAAATTAGCCAGGTGTGGTGGCAGTTGTCTGTAGTCCCAGCTACTTGGGAGACTGAGGCAGGAAAATTGCTTGAGTCTAAGAGCTGGAGGTTACAGTGAGCTATGATCCTGTCACTGCACTCCAGCCTGGGTGACAGAGAGATACCCTATCTCTTAAAAAAAAAAATTAGCACAGATTCTAGATTTTGGTTATACTGTTGTCACAGCTGCTGGGCCTGCAGCTCTGCCTGCAAGGATGTCCTGTGGGCCTTGACAGAAAAAGGTCGAGAAATCTGTGCCAAGAAGTGGGTGGGTTTTACCTGCCAGTTTCATGACAGCTTCACAACTTCCCTGAGATGGGAGTGCTGTCTTAGAGTTAAGAAAACCTAGACTCAGGCAGATGCATCACTGTCTGAGGTACATGGCTAACGCTGTGAGTAGAATTGCATTCCCCAAACGCAGTAGGATACGTCCAAGTCCTAACCTGGGCGCCTGTGACTGTGGCTTATTTGGAAATAGGAGTTTTGCAGATGTAATCAAGTTAAGATGAAGTCTTATGGGTGGGCCCTAATCCAGTGACTGGTTCCTTATTAGAAGAGGGAGATTTGGACATGCGCATGGAGCACCGTGGGATGGTGGAGGCAGAGGCTGGAGAGGGACCTCTGCAAGCCAAGGAATGGCACAGATGGCTGGCAAAGCCGGAGCTAAGAAGAGGCTCAGGTGGGTCCTCCCCAAGCCCTCAGACGGGGCACGACCTTGCCCACACCTTGATTTCAGGTTTCTGGCAACCAGAACTGTGAAGAAATACATTTCTGTTGTTTGAAGCCATCAGTAATTGGTGACGGCAGCCCCAGGGAACAAATACACCAAGTGTTCGCCTGGCTTTGACGGTGTGCTTGAACTGAACTACGTTAGGTAGTGTGGGGTTGCTAAGAGGGTGAGATACCACCTGCCCGGAGCTCATGGGTTAGGTGGGGGCAAGAGGACAGGGCACTTCAGATGGAAGGGGTGGCCTGAGCCAAGACAGTCAGGAAGACATGCACCAGCCGTTTGCTGGTGAGCAGGGAGGACCAGGGGCTTGGACCCGGATACTGATTGGGTCTGCAGGCTGGAACCAGATGCCGGAGCCAGATGCCAGGAGGTCTTGAAAACCATGAAGAGGAATTGAGCTGTGGTGTCCTACACAGTGGGAGCTTCGAAAGTGCAGGAGTGTGATGAGAATGCTTAGGATATCTGTGTTCATCAAGGGGTGGATGGTGGGGAAGGAAATGGCTTCCCCTGCCGTGCCAGCAGTGGGCCCAGAAGAAGGAAGAAAATCAGGAGTTTCTTTAAGAAACAGGGGTGCTTACAAGTGAAGTGGGGGAAGGAAAGTGATCTGGGCTGGTCGGGGCCTGTGAAGCGAGGCTTCTGTCCAGGAAAGGGATAGGGGCCTGAGAAGCTCTGGTGACCCTGGGAGACTGGGAGAGAGGTGAGGACTGGAGAAGGACGCAAGGAACAGAGAGATGGCTGAGCAGGGCAGAGCAGCCTGGAGGAGGTGAGGGATGTCAGCTGCAGAATGGGCTGTTGACATATAAAGCGTATGTGGTCCCTGATGATAAATAATCCTGGAAGGGAATGAAATACCATGTTGGAAAGTGACTCAGAACCCAGGCACGCTGGTGCTCTTGTCGTGTGGGTGGCCGAGTGATGTGGAGGGAGATGAAGGGGTTAGTATCTCATGAATGTGCGTTGGCGGCTGACTGCACCGGAGAAAGAGTTAATAATTAAACTGGTTGTGCCACCGCTGTGGGGCCAGGGCTGCTTCAGGCTCCCTGGGGCTGACCCCACTCCTCACCCGCCCCGTTGATATGTGGTCCACACGAGAAGACCACAGGAAGCTCAGACTGTGGGCTTTGAACAAGGCATTTTCATTTTGGAAGCTGCCAGGACCGGAAATTAGTGAGGCTGATTCAAAAAATCAATTTAGCTTGACTTGAATTAAGTAAGGAGGGGGACGAAGGAGGGGGAAGGACGAGGGAAGGAACTGGTGTTTGATGAGTCCCAAGGGAAGTCCTTGGCTCCCTGGTGCGTGGGAATGCTCAGGTCCTCTTTTCCAATGGGGAAACTGAGGCTCAGAGAGGTTAAGTGGTTGGCAGAAGACTGTGCAGCTGGAAGGGTGTCTGAGCAGGAATGAGGAGGATGACCTGTTGGCCCCAGCACCCCCAGCCGAGTCCTTACAGCTACAGGACTCCCTCAGGCTTCCAAAGCTGTGAGAGAGGAGGCTCCGGGCCCCTGGACAGGAAATTGGAGGCCCAGATCCCACCTGTGGCTCTGCCCACATCTCAGGGGACTTTCTGGAGAAGGCTGCCATTACTTGCTCCGTGCTGTGATGACAATGTAGCTTCTGCCTTCCTCTGGCAGGTGGGGCAGACCAGATGACATTTTAGGATGCTGCCCCACCCTAGGATGGCAGATTCTCTGACTGCTGGAGATCTGAGGTGATGCTCAAAGTCTTTGTAGTTGAACGAGCTGGGGTCTGCTTGGGGAGTCCCTCCCGCCAGATATTGAGTATCAGTGTCTCATGCCCAGTGAGCTTCCTCCCTCTCAGGGTGCTGTCCTCCAACCCCGCTGCTTTCCCACGGATCTTGAGAGGGCACCACCACCATCCAGGACTCCGGCTTCCTGTCTGGGCTGCTCCACTTCTCGCCCTGCAGTGCCTCAGCCCGCCATCCTGTCTCTTCGGGGTCTGCAATGAGAGGTGCTGTCTCTGACAAAGGCGCTTGTGTCTCAGAGGCCGGCCTGGGCTCCTCGGGACTCAACACTTCACACTGAATCTCACCCACAGTTCAGAGCCCCTCACTGGGGTCCCTGGGATGTCCTCACCAGCTGAGGATTCCCCTCAGCTGGAGCTGCTCCAGGCCTTGGGCCTTATAGGGGGCTGTGGCCCAGATGTTGGGAGTGTTCTCCTCAAACTCAGGCCTTCCAGCTGTTTCCCTTCCATGACTTACAAAGCAGCAGAAATGCTGCCTCCTCAAGGAAGCCATCCTACAAAAGAACAACACCCCCTCCATCCTTCTGCTCAAACAGGACCTTCAGTGACTGCCTGTCCTGGGGTGGGGGGCGGGGGGCGTTCCCCAGTGCTGTGAGCCCACTGGGTACCTGGTGGGTGTTGTTCTCTGATTACAAATATGACACATGGGGAGCTCAGAGGCTGCCTATCTTCTCCCAGGCTCTGACTTGGACCCTAGGGTGCCTCCGTATTCACAGTGTCTTGCCGAGAGCACCTTCCTTGGACTGTGGTGGGTGGAATAATGGCCCCCAGAGATGGCCACATCCTAAGCCCTAGATCCCGTAAATATGGTGCTTTGCATGGCAAAGGGACTTTGCAGATGTGAGTAAGTGAAGGCTATGGAGATGGGGAGATTATCCTGGATTAGCCAGGTGGGCTTGATGGAATCCTGAGGGTCCTTAAATGTGGAAGAGGGAGGCAGGAGAGTCAGTGTCCCAGTGAAATGTGAGACTCACTGGCCATGGCTAGCTTTGAACATGGCAAGAAAAGGAAAGGAAACAGATTGTCCCCTGAGCCTCCAGAAGGAGCCAGCCCTGCTTATTATACTTTGATATTAGCCCAGTGAGACCCAAGTCTAGGGCTGGAAACTGGGCCACAGGAAGTGAGGGATGTGAGCCAGGAGGTTCCAGAACCTTCCCCCTAATCTGCCTGCATGGTGATGCCTCATCTGTGCCAATCCAGAGAAATACGCTTCTTCACCCCCCTCCTTCTAGCTGACCTGCAGGGCTCTGGCTCACAGTGTTTCCTCACAAGCCCTGGGAGGGGGCTGCACCTGGGAGGTGACTTCCTCTGGGCTCCGGAAGCTGCTCCGTTGAGCTGAACGAATGGGCCCGGAGCTGCTTACAGCAAAGCATGAGGGCTGGAGAGGGAGGAGTGAGGCCTTGCACCTGCCTTCAGAGCTTTCTGTTAGCTGGGGACAGGTGCGTGCACAGGGGACCCTAAAACAAGGCAGTGCTGGGGACACGGCCACAGGGCATTGGAGGAACTCCAGAGAGGGAAATTGCTTTTGCCTGGGGGCATCGGGAAGGCCTGCTGGGGTCTGCTTGGGGAGTCCCTCCTGCCAGATATTGAGTATCAGTGTCTCATGCCCGGTGAGCTTCCTCCCTCTCAGGGTGCTGTCCTCCAACCCCGCTGCTTTCCCACGGATTCTGAGAGGGCACCACCACCATCCAGGACTCCGGCTTCCTGTCTGGGCGGCTCCACTTCTCGCCCCGCAGTGCCTCACCCTGCCACCCTGTCTCTCCGGGGTCTGCAATGAGAGGTACTGCCTCTGACAAAGGCGCTTGGGAGGAGCGTGTGGAGCAGGAGAAGAGTGCCTGGGAGCAGGGGTCAGCAGGGACAGGGGCCAGGTCTACGCAGAGGATGCTATGGTGGCCAAGGGGAAGGGCTGGGAGGGGGCTTTGCAGACTTGGAGAAGCTTTAAGGTGGTGGGTACAGAGGCATGACCAGAGAGGTCGGCCCAGGTTCCTGGTGCTCCTGCTTGTATTTAATTCCTGGCACCCTGGGGTCTCCTAGCTCCAGGGGAGGTGAGTGATGTGCTCTGGCCAATGGGCTGTGAACTGTGCTGATTGGATCCCCGCTGTCCTGCCTGCCCCAGAAGATGGGAAGCCACGTGCCCACAAGTCTGGGTCCCACCATGGCGCAGCCCCCCATGGGCCCAGGCCCTCAGCCTGTGGGGACACGTGCAGTGGGAGAGGGTGGTCTGGATTTATTCAGCCACAGAGACTCCTCGGCAACTTCTTATCCCAGCTCCATCAGCCTGTCGAGGAGGATTAACTAGGCTTAGAAGTAGCCCATGGCCTTGGGAAGGACGCATTGTATGGGGTTGGGAAACACAAAAGCACGATGAGTTAATGTTTATGGGAGGGGAGGTGGGGAGACCCAGGTAACAATCGCGGGTGGTAGTCCAAGATCCTGCGGTGACCACCAGGGCAGAGCCGGGTGGGGCAGTGGCCACGGAGGGGCAAACGCTGCGTGGGGGGAAACTCTTAACTTCTTGCTTCCAAACGAAAGGGTCCCAGTTTGAAGAACTTCCCCCGACCCCCTGCCCCCCCGCCCCTCAGTTTCAAGTGTGTGTTTTATCCATTTTCTTGGGAACCATATTCCTGAACCCCTAAGCACCTGAACCCTAACTAATTTACTCTGAACCCACCTAATTTACCTAACTTACCCTGAACCCCTAAGCACCTACAGGTTTTAGAATGATGAATAATCCATTTTGGATAAAGGCAATCATACCTGGATTCAGCCAGAATAGGAACTTTTCTAAGCAGATTTTTTGGAAAATAAAATTTTGGGACTTTTAAGTTGAGAAATCAGTGAAACCAAGTACAATATCCCATTAGAAACAGCACATTCGTGAGCACTTACTCTATGACTTTATGAGTAAAAATACTGTTCCCTGAATTATTAAAGGTGAGCATATCCCACCTTAAGATTATTCATACATAATAATGATAGCCCAATGTCCTATAAAATAAACGTATGAAAGTATGATGTACATACAGAGGCATTCACTAATTATATGTGTATTGCTTAGTGAATGATCATGTCTGCTGCCTTTGATTTCTTATAAAGTGACTTTTAGGGTAAAATAAATCAGAATTTTATGACAGGTGGCAGGGTGCTTTCTCATTACATTTTCTGTGAATCAGTTTGATCAACCATAAACATACTGAGCCCTCTGCATTTCTGTTGATGGAGTGTCAGTCCGTGCAACCTGGCTACATGTCATTATTCACTTACATTTTTTCTCTTAATCCTTACAGGGGCTTTATTTGGTGGCTGCTGCTTTATTTGGTGGCTTCTGTAACACTCTCCACTTCACAGGATGAGGAAACTGAGGCACAGAGAAATTGTGTAGTTTGTCAAGAGTCACACAGCAAGTGGGGTGGTGGGGCCATAGTCCAGCCCTAGGCGGTCCCCAGGGCTGGATTCTCCTGCTCTCTGGGCTGCAGGGAGGGGCTGCACCCTCTCTTCCCACACGTGACTGGTGGCCTGGAGGTCCTGGGCTGCGTGTGTTCATACCAGGCCAGAGCAGGCATTCCTTCTATGGACAACTATCAGATGGCTCTCCTGTCCCAGGCACTGGCTGGGAATGCACAGCCTGCTGGGTGAGGCGGTGGGGAAGGTCCCATCCTTACTCCCAATGTTGCCCATAGAAAGAGACTCTAGAGTCTGGCACCAAGGGTATTGGTATTTAGTGTGAAAAAGAGGAAAGAGAAGTTTGAAACGGACACAATTTTCATTTTAAAATTAACTACATGGACTTGTCAAGTAGAAATTAGAACCATGCTGATTTCTGGATGTTTGCACACCTAAAAAAAAATCTGGCGGTGACAGGCAATACTTTCTAAGCTCTCGGGCGTGTGCGTCCACTGGGCGTCTTAAAGGCACAGACAGCATCCATGAGACAAGGTGGCAGGGGCGGGGGGCGGGTGCTGGTCTTGCCTTTATGTAAGAAACGTAGGGGAACATTTCTGTCTTTTTTGGTGGGGGGACAGGGTCTTGCTCTGTCGCCCAGGCTGGAGTGCAGTGGTGCGGTCACGGCTCACTGCAGCCTTGACCTGCCTGGGCTCAAGTGATCCACCCACTTCAACTTCCTGAGTAGCTGGGACCACAGTTGTGCACCACTGTGCCCAGCCAGGGAGCATTCTTTCTCTCAAACCACATGAAACCATTGGCCCCAGAATTTTAATAAGAAGGGGGTGACACCACCCATGATCATTTTATCCCAGATATCTAATACTTTTGTGGCAGGTTAACTCAGCTAGCACTCTGCAGGGTGGGGCACCGGTCCCCCCGCCCGCCCCAACCCTCCGCTTTCTCTTCCACAAGGGGGCTCCCGGCCAGGTGGGGTAAGCAGGTTCAGCCTCTTGCGCCTTGAAGTAAACGATCTTGCATTACAAAGTGCCTGAGTCACTCCTTCTCACATGGGACCGACTGATGTAGATGGCAGGGACACAGGGTTTGGCTGAGACCAGCCCTGTGCCAGCCAGGGGAGGGAGGCTGACCCCAGTGTAAGAGGAGCTCAGGAGATGAAGAATGGAGACCACCAGGAACCGTCCAACTGCCTTCTCCGTGCCATGTCAGTGAGGGTTGCGCAGGTGCCTGGCCCAGTCAGCCCTGGGAGGCCCTAGTGCATGACTCCCGGGCGTCTGCCTCGGGGCATCCCTGCTGCTCCTTCCTCTTCACCTCCTAAGCCACCTCCCAGGCCTTGGTGCTGAAGGAGTGGCCAGAACTAAGGAGGGGCTGCCATCAGGTGGATGGGGCATCCATGAGGGTGCAGCGGAGGGACGCCCTGCTGGGAGGGAGCTCGGAGCTTGAGGGGGCTGCCGGAAGGGCCTGGCTAGGCCTGATTCTGGGTCTGCTTGGAGCCTGCACTGCCAGCAATAGTCTCTTAAAGCTGAGGGTTTTTTTTTTTTCTGCCAAAAAAATGTTTTCAGTAGTAGATGCCACTTCCACAGAGATCTGAGGTGCACACAGCCTGGAGTGCGAGGTTCGTGGGGGTTGGGAAGATGCTGTTACCTGGTAAACGTATCTTTCAGGGGACAGGTAAGTCCCCAGGTCTTTGGAAGGCAAGCATCAAGAAGTGAGGGTGGAACCAGGGTGGGGCAGGTCCTGCTTGGATCCTTGCAGACTTTGCCCCGGCTACCGGCTGCTCCCTGTCGTGCGCCTGGCGTGCTGGGTCCCCGCGGCTGCTGTGCTGGGGAGCCCTCTGCAGGGCGGCCTCCTCCGGGCCACCCTCCTTACATCAGCGGAGGCCACTGAGGATCCACTGCAGGCATTTTCTGACACTCAGGGCGGAATGACACTTAGAATGTCCTTTGGTGATTCTGGCGCTTGAGATTCTGTTGAGGCAGGGAGTGTGGCCGAGGGGAGACCCTAGAGTAAGACCTGGGGTAGCATCCCTTTTTTTCTGCTCTCTAGGGGGTGGCGTTGAGGCTGCTCTTGCTAAAATGCTCCCTTTCTTTTGCTTGTCTGTGAAGTCCCACAGCTGTAAGGGAGAAATGAGGGCTGCACGAGGCTGTTCCCCTCAAAGTCTGGGGTTCCCTTGCAGGCAGGGTTCTGAGGGTCCCCGGTGCCAGAGGCCTGGGTTCCACTCCCGCTGGGTCACAGGCACGTTGTGAGGCTGAGGCTGTGGTCCCGTTCCGCATGGCACAGGCTCACACAGGGGAGCTGAGGACCCCCACACGGAGGGGACTGCGTTCCCAGGAAGCCCCCCGTTCCCCCGGCGCTCAGCCTCGGAGGCATTCAGCCTTGGAGGTTTGATGGGGGGGACAGGGAACGGGGTCCTCTCTCTGTTTACCCGCGCCTCCTGGGTCACTCACTGCAAGCTGGGACTTAGCGCAGATAGCACTTGATTGCGCCACTCCCTGCTCAGAGAAGGCCCTGTAATCCGGAGGTTTCCTATTTGTTTTTTAGTTTTATGGGCATTTAGTAAAATGGCTATGATTACGGCCTGTGTGTTTAGCTGTAGAGGCAAATTACATTGATAGCCCTTTCCCCTCTCTCTCTCCCTCTCTCTCTCCCTCTCTCACACACACACTCACACACTCTCTCACATACACTCACACACACACACACATCACTCACACATGTACTGACACACAATCATACACATACAAACACACTATTGCTATCACACAGACACACATGCTCACCCTCACACACAGTCATACACTATCACTCACAGACTCCCACACACAGACTCCCACACACACTCCCACACACACTCACATACTCTCACACTCCACACACACAGTCATACTCTCAGACACACACTCTCAGACTCCTCACACATACTCTCACACACATTCTCATACACACACACACTCACTGTCACAGACACACTCTCGCACACCCCGCTCATCCACTCCACTCTCTGCCGCCTCGTCTCAGCTGGGCCTGCAGCTCCGCTGTGAGCTGTGAGCCACAGGCTGTGAGGAGCGCAGCCACCCCTGCTCTTGGGGGCCGTGGTCTCCTGGGGGGTTTGTCGGGGGTGAGTGTGGGTGCTCCAGTGAGGGTCCTAGCGTTCCCTCCAACCCGCTTCATGTCCCGCTCTGTCTACTGGGGTTCTTCATGAGCCCCATTTCATTTGAAGAAAGGATTGGATAGCTAAAAAGAATCTGAATCCGTCTAAAAAGATTTTGGAAATTCCTGCCCACCCCCAACCCAGGTCTGAGGCACATGTGAGTAGATTTAAGCATGTCCACAGCCAGCGCTTCAAGGCAGGTGTGAGTGGGATCTAGGGCTGGACACAGAGGGGCTGTCCTTGTGGGCTGGGGGCCTGGAAACCGTGCTCCAGGGGTGAGAGGGCCTTCCTCTTTGGAACGCTTTCTGGGACACCTGCAACTGTTTTCTGTCCTCACAGCAGCGCATCTGTGGTCCCCGCATCTGGCCTGCGTCCATCGTCCACCAGTCTGCTCACCTCCAGGCAGCCCCGTTTTCTAGGGCTGCCTCCGGTCCCACCCAGCGCTCCTGGTGGCTGTGCCTGGTGACTGGGACGACTTGGCAGTGTGGTCAGCGGCATGGCCTCGTAAACTCCAGCTTCTGGAAAGGAGCTGGGCCTGGGCCTGAACGATGGTGGTAGGACCCACTGCTGGACCCGGCCAGGTGGGTGGCACGGGCTGGATGAGAAAGGCAGGTCCTGCAGGCTGACTCAGAGTGCCAAGCAGCTGAGGCGGACGTCCCGGGTGCAGTTTGCTTTGAGGGGTCATCCCGGTGCAGCAGAGCGCTTCTGCAGGAGTGGGTCACACGTGGACATCTGGGCAGGCTAGGGACACAGGGCCTCAGTTGCTAGACCTGGCTGGGCTCGGGCTCCTGGGGGCAAGGCCTGGCCCCCATCCTGTTGCCAGAAGATGCCCAGATCAGAATCGGGGGTCAGGGGTGGACCAGATGTCTGGACTGGGGAGGACTCTGCCCGTGCTCCAGGCACACTCTCCCCTGGGAGCCTCATTCCAGCCATTCCCTCTACCAGGAATGGTCTTTACCCACAGTCCCTCTTGGTTGACCCTGGCTTTGGCTGTAATCTCATCTCTCGATGAGGTCCATGTTGACCAACCTATTTAATGTACAACCTGCCCCCACCTTCCCTCACCCCCTAGTTCACCTTCCCCAGTCTTCTATTTTCTGTGTATTGTGACCTTTAACCTACTACATAACTTATTTATGTACCAAGCTTATCATTTATTATCTCTCTCTCCTTTCTAGAAGGTAGACCCTCAATCAGGATCTGTTCAGTGGATTAGTGAGGAAATCTCCAGACCCTACGCTTCACTTTTGGGGGTGGGAACCTCCCCTCCCCAACCACCTGCCACAGGGAAGGAAATACCATGTGTGACAAATAGAATACAACTATCAAAAGAACGCGAAATGAGCCCCATGAACGCCAGACCTTTCAGCCAAATTCTATTTGTACTGGGACAATGAAAAAGTGACTCATTTATCCACAGAAGAGGGAAAGGCACGACTGCTAGGCAGAAGTAGTGTGCATCTCCCGCCTTCTGTTTTGTGCCCCGATGTGCCTAGAAGGTCACCCCAGCCCCTCCAGCCTCTGGGGAGAAGTTGGGCCTGGGCCTGAATGATGACACTGGGGCCCATTGCTGGACCCGGCCGGGCGGGTGGCAAGGGCCCTGCTGCAGACTGGACGAGAAAGGCCAGTCCTGCAGTCTGACCAGGTGTAACCTCGGGGTGCGAAGCAGCTGAAGTGGACATCCCGGGTGCAGTTTGCTTTGAGGGGTCATCCCGGAGCAGCAGAAATACCATGTGTGACCCATTTTAGAGATGAGGAAATGGAAGACTCCTCTGCTCTAGGGCCCCAGTTGTTGCCCCTGCCCTACTTCTCCCGATCAACGCTGCCTCCTTATTCAGAAAGCTCAAGAACCGAGTCCCCAGGAAAACGACATGTTGTTTTTTTTGGCACTAATCATTATTGTTTAATTATCCTGGGAGGGACAATAAGAGGGAAGGAAGAAGGAGAAGGTGAGTCTGGAGGCAGGGCGCCTTCCCCGGGGCTGTGTTCAGCACCAGCACCGAATGCTCTGGGATGTCTGGGCAGAGGCTCAGAGACGCAGCTTGACTCAGAGGGAAGCTTAGTCCTGGGCCAGTTTTCAAGGGTTTCCTCTGTGTTCTGGTCCTGCGGGTGGGCACTGCTTGCTGTGTTCAGACACTGATTAGATTAGGGCAGCTTGCCAAAGACAGGTCCCTGCTAGAGCAGCCCTTGGTGGCCAGGACATCGTGGTTGCCTGTGCCTCGGAGCCCTGGCTTTGCCCAGGTGGTCGCTTTGCAGCATTGTGTGGCTGGGTTGGAGGCCAGGGTGCTGCCCACACGTGGGGCTGGCTGGAGCTCGGCAGTCCAGTCACATGACTGGTCAGGGCCTCCTCAGCTCCTCCGTGCCCAGGGAGGGAGTGGGGCATTCCCCAGTGACCTGTCACAGGTGGCACAGTTCCTGGGATGGGAGGCCCAGTTCCCATAGACCTAGGGCAGATTTTTATCCTGTTCTCAGATGCCCACTGCATCCAGGAAGCTCTGTGTCTCCTGTGGAGCAGGGCTGAGGCCATCAGCTTGAGCTCATTTCCCTGGGGCTTGGGGGTTCGTGTGGCCCCAGTCTGTGTCTCCCAGATCAGCTGCTCCTCTTCCCTGGTCCATGAGCATTAGTGGGTTCTGGTCTGCCCAGTGGGCACCTTCTTCCACATGAAGCAGTGGAAGCAGAAGCAGTGAACACTCCGGAAGGGTCCACTGTGTGCCAGGCTCAGGGACACAAAACTAGATCACGGGTGAAGTTCCACAAGTGTGGGCATGTGGCGTGCCCATTGAGTGCCAGCCGTGTGCCGGTAGCTGAGAACTCAGCAGCGCAAGGTAGATGCAGGCCGCCGTTCTTGTGTAGTGAGACCCACAACAGCAGCTCCGAAGCGGGTGTCCAGAGAGAGGGGGTCCTGACTCTGACTCGGGGAGTCAGAGGAGACCACCCTGGAAGAAGTGGCGTCTAAGCTGAGACCTGAGAGTTAGGACTTAGTCATTTAAGGGTTGGGGGTAGGGAGGGGTGGGCAGGGGTAGAAGAGGGTTTCCAACAGAATAGCATGTGTGAGGCCCTGAGCAAGACAATTTGGGACCAGAGTCACATTTGTGTGACTGGAGAGTGCAGGGCAAGGGAGGGAGTGGTGAGCCATGCATCTGGGAAGGGAGAGATTGTGCAGGAAGGGGAGAAATCTTGTGGTCCGTGGGGCCTGGTCGGGAGGGGAGCGTGGCTCTTGGGATGCTGCGTTTGAGGTCTCTGTGGGGTGACTGGGCGCGGTCATCTAGCAGGCGGTACTCAGCCTGGAGGTCAGGCTGTAGGTGAATGGATGCTAAGTGAAGTCACGGAGGAGGCTCGTGCCCAGGAAGAGGCCAAGTGCAAAGAGAAGACTGCCAGGGCTGCCCTGGGATCCACAGGTGCAGGGGGCCCGGGAGGCAGAACTGCAGAGAGGACTGAGCGAGGGCTGCCCAAGGGCAAGCTCAGCCCAGGAGGAAGAGAGAGAGTGCTCCCAGGAGGAGGAGGAGAAGGTTGAGAACGAGGCACTGAGTTCACCAGGCAGGTCAGGGGGAAAAGAATGAGCGAATGGAGAGGTCTCTTGGATTTAAGGAAGGAGGTGGGTGGGGGCTGCACTGGAGGGGAGGAAGGAGGAGCCTGAGGGCTCTGTGTGTGTGTGTGTGTGTGTGTGTGTGTGTGTGTCTGTCTGTCTAACGGGAGGGACATGAGCATGTTTTAAAGTTGACGCAAGTAGCTGGGAGAGAAGGAAGAGACCAGAGGGGAACTGGGTTCATCAATGTGACAAGGACTGTGCCTGAAGGTGAGGGGTTGGCCTTGGGGAGGGAGAGGGGCGAGACAGGGGAGGAGCTGGGCTGTGGCGCAGGGCTGGGGTTCAAGGATCGGGGCTGACAGGGCTGGAGTTCCCCTCTGCTGGCTTCTGTTTTCTCTGAGGTAAAGTCAGATGCTGAGAGCTGGCAGGAGGCGGTGGCTCTGAGCTTTGAGGAGTGTGAAGAAGGTTGCAGTGGTCACCTTAGAGCTGGCTGGGGAGGCAGAACCACTCACTGGAGGTGCTGGGCCTCCCTGGGGGCTGCAAGGGGATGGGGGTCTTTTGGGGCTGTTTTTCTCTCCTTGGAGGCAATGCAGGGGAAGGTAGGGGCAGGGCAAGGCTCTGGTCCCAGCTGCACCTCTGGCCCACGCTGACCTTGGGGAGACTGGTCATCTTCCTAGGCCTGCCTGTTTGCTTGTCCACATAACAGGGAGGCCAGGCTCAAAAAGCCATTAGGGCTCCCTGGAGACCTGGGGTTCAACTGAAGGCCACAGGTTGAAGTTTGAGTCTTTATTTCATTCCTGATTAGTGCAGGAGAGAAGGAAATGGGAAGCTAATATGGAGGCATGCCTGAAATGTGAACCTAACAAGTGGGAATTTTACCACTACTTTGGGATTTTGCACTGGGTTCTTTTCCACAGAATTTAGGTTTGTAGGTCAATTATGAAAACATTATGAGAGCTTTCCTGGTTCATCTTCATCTCCCTTGCCTTTTTTTTTTTTTTTTTTTTTTTTTTTTTTTGTGAAGACAGAGTCTTGCTCTGTTGTCCAGGCTGGAGAGCAGTGGCATGATCTTGGCTCATTGCAACCTCCGCCTCTCAGGTTCAAGCGATTCTCTTGCCTCAGCCTCCCACACCTGGCTCATTTTTGTATATTTATTATACAGACGGGGTTTCACCATGTTGGCCAGGCTGGTCTCGAACTCCTAACCTCAGGTGATCCGCCCACTTTGGCCTCCCATAGTGCTGGGATTACAGATGTGAGCCACCGCGCCTGGACGTGATCTCCCTAGTCTTTGAGCTCCCTTGCCTGGTTTCCCTTCTGTCCATCTGAGTCTGCAAGAGCTGGCAGTGGAAACGTAAATGAAGAGGGTGAAGGCGTTCAGTTTTGTTGCCTCTTGGTAGCACTGATGAAATCATCGATTCTCTCACGTGTTTGTTTCTTACTTGTAAATATACCTTTGGTTAGAAGATGAGTGAATGGATAAATGTTGGGATAAAGAAAGGGTCTGAAGAGACCATTTAATAATTTCATTTATCTCGGCTCTCCTGGCTCTTCCTGTTATAATGAAAAATTATGGAAATGGAAAATAAGCTATTTGCAAGATCCATGAAGGAAGATATGTAAAGAGAAAACAAGTGGGCTATAAATGCATTTGGCTCGCTACCTGCACTGAATTTGGAATTGACGTTGATTTCAAAAAAATTGAGAAATTGGAATAGGCTTGTTTTCTCTCATGACACAAGTACCAGTAAGTCAGATGACGAAGTGGAATGTATCCTCATGAAAGGAAGCATATTAAAGATAAGACCCAGCTGCTCTGCCAAGGAGTGGCTGTTCTTTATTCCTTTACTTTTCCTAATAAACTTGCTTTCATTTTACTTTATGGACTTGCCCTGAATTCTTTCTTGCGCAAGGTCCATGAACCCTCTCTTGGGATCTGGATTGGGACCCCTTTCCGGTAACATCTTCCTGGTGAACCATGAAGGGATGATACTGAGGAAACTTCCAATCCTTCCTGCAACACACACACACACACACTCACACACACACACACACACACACACAAACACACACACAAATAAAAAAGATAAAACCCAACATTTTAAATCCTTCAGACCCGCATTTCACTGGTAAGTAGAAAGTCAAGGGACACAGGGCTTGGTTTTCATGGTTTTCTCTTATTTGGGTGGAGCAAATTTCCTGATCATTCCTGTGACGTGGGAGGCAAATATTTGGACACCTTGAATGTCTGACATCATCTCCATTGTACCCTCACACTTAGTTGATAATGGGTTTGGTACAGCATTCAGGGTTGGAAATCATTTTCCCCTGGATTTTTGCTGCATTGTAGTCTAGCATCCAGGATTTGTCTTGAGAATCAAAATTATTCTGATTCATGATCCTTTGTAGAAGACCTATTTGTATCTCCCTGTCAGCTTGTAAGATTGTCTTTTGTCCTCAGTGTTTGTAAATGTTATGCGGGTGGCTTAGGCTGGGTATCTTTTCATCTGTCATATGGGCGGGTGCTCATTGGGTCCTTCGGGCTAGAAATTAATGTCTTTCAGTTCTCTGAAATTTCCTAAACTATGTCATGATGCTTTCCTTTCCCACCTTTTCCTTGGTTTCTCTCTCTCTCTCTGGAACTCTGTCTTCATATGTTGAACCCCTTGAACTAATTTTACATTTTTTTGCTCTATTTTCTCTATTTCCTCTGTTTTGTCTTCTAATTTTTCGAATGAACTTTACATTTATAACACGGCATTTTAAGCTTACAACTATTCTTTCTGTTCTCTAAATATTCTTTAAAAAACAAACAAACAAACAAACAAACAAACGTGTTTGTGCCTGGATGCCATCTCTGATTGTCTATCTGAGGATACTGATAATAGCTTCCTGTTTTATACTCTCTCTTCTCTATGCATAATCTCTGTTTCCTCCAAGTTACCTTCTTCTCTTTGTTTTGGTCACGCTCTCTCATGTCAGGGGCTTTCTTCAGCTGAGACCCTCAGTCACTGGTTTATATTTAAGAGTGGGGCATGAAAAGTTGATTGGAAGCACTAAATGTGTGATTAAGATTGTTGATTGTGGACTTCCTTGTAAAAGAATCTGGTTGGACTATTTTCCTGGGGAACTACCAATATCGGCATCTTTAGATTTTTCCTCTTGCACTGGCTTGAGCTCAAAAAAGCCCTTTAATCCTCTCTTGGAAGTGACAACCTAGACGTTCTGAAGGCCGAGAGAGAGAAGAGGGCTGGAGCAGGGCTATCGCAGGTCAATATTCCATATACAAACCTTCCCTTAATCTGCTACTTCTGTGTGGTGCCTTGACCTTCAGCTGTGCCTGGGATCTCCCCAACTAGAGACCTGGTCTCCTCTCCAGAGAATAAGCCTTCAGTTTTTTGCTGGTGTCGGAAAGGGGATTTGTGCACCTCACTACTTTGTGAGCAGGTTCCTTCTCATTTTCAGAAGTTGTGGACACCCCCAAATCCTGAGCCCTCTTTGGGTTCCGCTGGTAAACCTGGCTGCTTCTTGGCAGGAATGCCCTTAGACCTGGGCCACGGCCTCAGAGAGTGTATGTTCCCTCTTCTAGCTGTGCCCCTTCTCAGGGGCCAAGAGGACATGCCCACTCAGAGTGCGCACCTCATTCCTCCTTCTAGAACATTCTCCAGGGAAAGGAGGCCTTGGAATTCCCTGTCCAAAGGATCCCAACCCTGCTCCCTGGGCCCCGGGGCGGGGGGGCTCTTTCCAGAGCCCTCCTTCCAGAGTGGACCATGCTGCCAGTGTGAGCCACCTAGGCTGAGGAGTGGCTGGGGGCAAGGGGTTGTGGGAGGTTTGGATGGAGCCATGCAAGCTCCCTCAGGTGCAGGATGGAGCTGGGCTGGGAAGGAAGGGGAATGGGCCACGATCAGGGATCTTCCCATGTTGCTGTGTTTTGGTGCCGAACTGAGAAGTCCAAGGAGGACTATCCATTTGAACCTGCAGTTAAGGGTTGAATTGTGTCCCCTCAAAAAGATCCATTGCAGTCCTAACCTCCAGTTTCTCAGGACATGACCTTATTTGGAAATAGGTTCATTGGAGGTATAATTAGTTAAGATAAAGTCATACTGGAGTCGGGTGGGTCCTAGTCTAAGATGATGGGTATCCTTATAGGACAGCCATAGGAAGATGGAGGCAGAAATGTATCTCCAGGCCAGGGAGCGCCAGCGAGTGCCGGTCATCATCAGACACTAAGAGACAGTCCAGGAACAGATTCCTCCCAGCCTTCTGAAGGAACCAGCCCTGCAGACGCCTTCATCTTGGACTTCTAGTTTCCAGAAGTGAGAGAATAAACGTCTGTGGTCCTAAGCCGCCCAGTGTGTGTACTTTGTCATGGCACCCTAGGAAACTAACACATGGGCCTTTTACATCACCAAGAAGGTATATTTGTCAAAGCAGAGAATAGAAGGATTTTTTTTTTAACCTTTAAATAAAGTCTATGACCTTAGTGTAGAATTTTCTCTTTATGAGTGAGGGCACGTGAGCTTCCTCCGCTGCCCCTGCTCAGGCCTCCTTGAGTGCGAAGGGTGAGTTGGCTTCTTGGCTCCCCCCAATCCTGGTGTAGGGCTCAGCTGTATCCTGCGTGCTCAGCCAGCCCCCACGCACTCTTCCCTTCCCAGCCTCCGGCATTTTACCAGTGTGTTCTCCCGAGATTTTGCTCCTGGAGGTTCCGTCCCAGTGCTGTTCAATAGGATTTTCTGTGATGCTGATGGAAACATTCTTTTTCTATGCTGTTCAGTATATCAGCCACTAACCCTGTGAGGCTGCTGAGTGCTTGAGATGTGGCTAGTGTGATCTGGAAGCTGAAGTTTAGAATTGATTTAATAAAAAGGTAAATGTAGCCCGTGTAGCTAGGGGCTACCACATTCCATAGCACAAAGCTACACTGTAAAATAAAACAAAACAAAATGTTTGTCTTTGATGGATTTAGAGAGAGAATGGAAGTAAAGGAACGTGTTTCATCTGCCATCTTTACCCTAGTATCTCTTGTGTGTCTTAATTTTTATTTCAAAGAGATTTTAGAACTAAACTAGCAGTGGTGAGTTTAAAAAAAAGTCCCGGCTCTCAGATGCATAGTAGGGTGAACGCTGGTGCTTGGTTCTGTGTGCAAGGAGGCAGCTTTCGTGGCCATCCCTCTTGTCACAGGTAAGGGCAGGCAGAGGCTCTGTTCGTGGTCACAGAATGAACCTGGGGTCTTTGGCTCCTGCCAGGTAGGTTTGCAGCCTCCAGGGACCTCGCCAGGCACCCTTCATGACTCCTAAACACCAAGCGGGTGTCCAGGCCCTGCGGCCACCCGGCTGCTGGAAAACAGATTGGGTTGGTAAAAATATGTGTGTGTGTTCTCACAGAACCTGAGAAAATCACACCTCCACTTTGACAAAAAAATCTGTTTGTGCAGCTCCAATAATCACTTCCTAACTGGTGGGATAGCAGGCCATATGTCTGTGAAGTGGCTAGCTGACGAGACATTCTACCTCCGTTGCGCCTCGCAAAATACCTTTTTCTAGCAGATCAGCTCTAAAATAAAAAGAAATGAAGCCACAGGCTTCTGCTTCCAAATGATGCTTCTGAGGCAAGGCAAGACAAGGCAAGTGGTTCCTGGAGACACAGGAGTGGGGGCTTGGAAACGGGCCTGGTGGGGCTTGCGACTCCGATGTGTTTGGGGTGAGGGAAGCCAAGTAGGATTTTCAAGTTCAGGGGCTGGTCCCGTGTTGGGGGAGAGGTCCCTACTGAATGGCGAAGGAGCTGTCTGCAGAAAGTCGGACTTGTTTGGGGGTTTGAATTTTGGAGGAGACCGCCCCCCGGCCGCCCCTCCTGGCATTCCAGCTCTTGCAAGGTGTCTAAACACCTTGCGCTCATCTCGCACCAGTTGTGAAATTCCATCAGGCTTGAATAATCATAGGAAGCCGCTCTGGCATCCTCATGACCTAAGGCAAGCACATCTCCATGTCTGTGTGTGTAGGGGCTTCCCTTTGGACTCCCCTCCGGGCCCGCCAACCTTTTTTGAGTGTGTGGCTCACAAATTTCACCTTGGAGGTGACCACCGTCCCTCGGAAGCTCATGTACACACAGAAAAATGGCAGTCCCTGGAAGGAGCTTTTCTTCTCCCTGCATCCTTTCCCCAGAGTCAGCTGGAAAGATCTAGAACGACAGACACCCTTCCCCGCCATGCTGTTTCTGGAACAAGCTTGTCTTTCCACTATTCACTTTGCTGCCTTAGGTAGAACCACATGTCATGTGTCTTGCTTTTCTCATCTGTGACTCCAAAGGGTAGTGTCAGAAAAGATCAAGTTAAGAAATGCAAAATCATTTTAATAAAGTTATTGACTTTTGTGCCCATTTCAGTATCATATTTAAAAATTCACATTATGGAAATAAATCTGGGTTTTCAGTTTGCTCTGTGCAGTACGCAAGATGCCTCATTCCCTTCCCTTTTTTAAGCGTTTGACATTATTTTATGGCCTGAATTCAATGACTATTCAGAAGATCTGAGAAGCAAACTTTACCTGTTGGATTTTTCGTTATCCAACAGGGAGGACTTGATAAAGGAGGATGGTCTGTATTTGTCAGAGCAGGTGCTGTGGTTGTAGCCAGTCTTGCCGACTGCCATGAGCTGTTAACACTTGCTCATTTTTAAAGTCCTGCTCAAGTTCCGTCTGTGCCCCAATCCCAGGAGGTGTCTATGGAGCCCTGTGACTTTGCTCTTGTTCATGCATCAGATTTCTGATGCTGCTGGTGATCGGAGGAACAGGATGCTCATCTAGCGCGAGCTCACTGACCACGGTGGGAGCAGGAGCTGGAGCTGATGGGATGGAGAAGGGAGCCCCGGCGAGAAGAAGGAGAGACAATTTACTCCAGAACCCGGCAGAGACACTGGCATGCAAAGGTTAGGCCTGGGTCCCCAGGCCCTGCGTCAGTGTTTCTTTCTTGATCTCTTCCAGCAGGAGGGAGTCTCCCTGTGAACTCCCTCACACATTATCTGCTCCTCTCCCTGGCACTTACCAGTTATCTGTCTGCTGCAGATGAGTTATTTCTGAACTTGCCTTATCTTGCTCCTGGACTGCTTTAGCTCCTGAAGGGTTGCGACTGTCATAAACACTTTGTTATCTTCTTCGGTGCCCAGCCAAGGGCCTTGCACCAGGGCCACGTGCAGAGGGCACAAACCTCTGGTCCCTGGGCCATGGGGCTGAATGGTTTCTGACACCAGCAGGCTGGCACACTGGAGAGGCTGCGGCAGCCCTAGTTGGCTGCCATCTTAGGGAATTGGAAGCCTCTGGGGTGGGGTCGGGGGAACGTTGCTCTGGGAAGGTCTTGGCAGTTGGAGGTTTTCTTCTCCATCTCTCACCATGCCCTTTGCTCCTTGGGGTTAGATGTCTCTGCACCAAGTGCCACCTCTCTCTGCTATATCTTCTCCAACCTCCCCTCTGCTGCGCTTTTCTGCCATCTCTCTCTGTTTGGCATGAGCATCTCTCAACTCAGCATCTCCCTTACCTCCCTCCTTCCCTTCTGGGCTGGGCTTCTCCCGGGGACACCCACTGCACCTTTTATGTCTCAGACCATGGTATTGGTGCCCGCCCTCCATCCCCTGACCCGGCTTGGCTCTGTATGCCCCTCCAGGGCCTACTGTGTGCCACATCCAGGGCGTGCATTTGGTCTGCATCAGACTTGCCTGTTGATCAGCATCTTGGCATTGATCACCCTCTCCTCATTCTTCCCCTTCCCGAATAGCAGACTCTTTCTGGCTCCTTCACCGGCTCCTTCTCCTTTTCTTTTCCTTGTGCATTAGTGTCCTTTGCCCTGCACACTCCAAGGCACTCCCAGACACTCTCTTTCCTTCCACAAGACATCAGCGACCACCTGGAGGCCAACAAACCCAAGTCCACAGCTCTAGCCTTTTCCCTGATGCTGCTTCATGCACGTATTGCAGGGGGTTCCTGCTTGTTGCCTAAGCTCATCAAACACACTTGTCTAAGATAGAAGTACTGACTTAGCACCCAGCATCTCCTGCCACAGTTAATGGTGCCACCATTCACCTGGTCATCCAGGAAGTCACCCCTAGACTCCTTTCTCTCCCCCAGTCCTGCTCATTCTCCAAGTGCCCCAAGTCCTCCTGGCGTAGTCAGGTGGGCTAGGTCATGCTGCTGTAACAAATATCCCTGCAATCTCAGTGGCTGAACACAGTGTCTGGATGGCCGGGCTGGTCTTCTGGCAACTCACCTCTAGGTCACCACTCTGGGATCTCGTCTAATTCGAGCTGTAGCTCTGCCATCTGGAACCAGTACTTCTGAATTTGCTGCAGAAAGTAAGAGCAGATGAGAGGGTCCTGCAAGATGTTAAGGGCCAAGCCTGAAATGGGTTACATCGTTTCTGCCCCATTCTATTAGTCAGAACTCAGTCCTGCGGCCCCTCAGCTCACTGCAAAGGAGGCTGGGAAATGCACTCCGGGAGACGGTCTCCTCCCCGCGTGCTCAGGGAGGGGAAGGGATGTGGTGCCTCTGCAGTACTGCCGTTAGGGCCCTGATCATCTCCTGTTGGACTTACGAGTCTCCTTGCTTACAGCCTCTGTCCTTCCAATCTAGCTTCCTCCCAGCAGCAGGAGCAGCCAGTCATTCTAAGCTGCGGATCTGACCACACCACCTCCTGCTAAACCCCTTGCTCTTGGGATAAAGTTGTGGCTGGACCCTCTCAACCTCTCCAGTCACATTTCTTACCACCCTCCCCAACACAGCCTTCTCCCCAGCTACAACAAACTCCCCACATTTCCCCAAACAGGCAGTATTTCACAAGGCTCCCCTTGTCCCCTCTTTGCCAACAGGGGTTGTCCCTTCCAGAACAGGCTCGGATCTGTGTTCCGGAGTCAGCTCCCCAGGCCCCCCTAGGGTTCATCTGTGCCCACCCACTGTAGGCCAAGTCTCGGGCTCCCCATGCGGGGTTTCCAAAGCCCTTCATGTGCCCTCATTAGGATACTCTTGGCATTGTTAGTTATTGCTTTTCAGAGGGTCTGACTTCACCCACAAGCCAGAAGGGTAAAGCCTTACTGTGCGGCCTCCATTGTGCCGAGAGCACCACATGCTTTACTCACTGGAGCCTTAACATCACCCTGTGAGAGGCACTGCTAGGGCTTCCATGTAACATCATGGGGAACCAAGGCACAGAGATGTCAAGGAACTTGCCCAAGCTCACACAGCCAAGTGGTGGAGGCAGGTTGGCTCCAAGTCCACATGTGTGACTACTGTGCTACAGGGCCTATGACCCACAGCCCTCAGCCACATGGCACCTTCATCTCCGTCTCTGCAACCCAGAATGCTGGTCCAGAGTGCATGGACACTCACAGGCAGTTGAACACACATGAGCAAGTTCCATTTTAAAGCTTTCTTTTACTCTGTCCTCTGCCTACTTCCATCCATGCTTCCATTAGAAATTCCCCCTATGGGCCGGGCACGGTGGCTCACGCCTGTAATCCCAACACTTTGGGAGGCTGAGGTAGGTGGATCACCTGAGGTCAAGAGTTGGAGACCAGCCTGGCCAACATGGCGAAACCCCATCTCTACTAAAAATACAAAAAAATTAGCTGGGGGTGGTGGTGCACACCTGTAATCCCAGCTACCTGGGAGGCTGAGGCAGGAGAATTGCTTGAACCAAGGAGGCAGAGGTTGCAGTGAGCTGAAATTGCGCCACTGCACTCTAGCCTGGGTGACAAGAGCAAAACTTTGTCTCAAAAAACAAACAAAAAATCCTCCCTATGGTTTCCTTCTCAGTTCAGTTCAGGAAGCAAGAAAATAAATCCATGAGACTCTCATTAGATTTTTTCAAACAAAGTAACTTGATCTTATCCCTGGAAGGGAGCACCATGCCTCGGACACAGTTACTCCAGAGATCTCATCCCTGCCTCAACTATTCTGAATGGCTTCTTTGGGAGGTGGTTGCAGAGACAGCTTACTGATCACACAGGAAAATGATTGCCATGACCTTCTATCACTATCTGCGCAATACAAACAACATCAAAGGGACTCTCCCATACTGTGTCTACTCATGAAAAGGGCTTTGCCAGCATCTCTTTAAGTAAGTGTGCAGAAATGATGTCCTTCAAAATCCCTGTTCCCCACGTGGTTGCCGTGACATGGAGACGCAGAGGGGGACAGTGTTGCTGCTCAGGGCTGCCCTGACAAAGGGCCGCAGACTGGGGGCTCCAACAACAGAAGTCTGGCTTCTCAGAGCCCGGAGGCAGGAAGTCTGAGATCTAGTTTTGGTGGGTGTGCTGCTTCTGAGGCCTCTGAGTGTGGCTTGGAGGTGGCTGCCTTACCCCCTGTGTCTCCCCGTGGTGTTCTCTCCATGTGTGTCTGCATCCTAATTCCTTTATTTTTATTATTTTGGAGAAAGGATCTCACTATGTTGCCCAGGTTGGCATGCAGTGGCACAATCACAACTCACTGCAGCCTTGACCTCCCAGGGTCAAGTGATTCTCCCACCTCGACCTCCTGAGTAGCTGGGACTGCAGGTGCATGCCGCCACACCTGGCTAATTTGTATATATATTTTTTTCCTTTAGAGATGGGGTCCAACAAAGTTGTCCAGGTTGGTCTTCAACTCCTAGGCTCAAGCAATCTGCCTGCCTTGGCCTCTCAAAGTGCTGGGATTACAGGTGTGAGCCACTGTGCCTGGCCTTAATTTCCTCTTTTTAAAAGGACACCAGTCAAATTGGATTGGAACCCACCCTAATGACCCTATTTTAACTTAATCTCCTCTTTAACAAACGTTTCTCCAAATGCAGTGACTTTCTGAAATACTGGGGGTAAAGACTTCAACATATGAATTTTGGGGGTCTCAATTCAGCTCCAAACAGGCCCTAATGGAAGCTCTGGTCACTTGCTGCTCTGCGTCCAGCACCTCCGTGACCCTGGATGAGTCCTCGCTCGCTGGGTTTCAGTTTTCTTATCACCAACATGGTCGGGGGGTGGTCAGACAAGCTTACCCAGGGCCTTTACAGCTTGAAAACTCCGCAGTAACCTATAAAAGCATCACTCCAGGAAGATATATTGCTTTTGTGACCCAGGCAACACCACAAGGGCTTTCAGCGTTCAAGGCCATGCATCCATAGTGTGCTCTGATGTTTCTCAATATTTGACGACAAACTTTATGATCGCTGTTGGCAGGTTAGACATTTCTCCTTGGTTTGAAAGTAACAGCAGCGTGGTCTCAGTGGGAAACGTCCTCAGAGAAATGTTTGATCTTTTCTGGTGTGTTCAGTTCCGAGGTGGAAGACCCCGACCACTCATTGAGGGAAGGGAGGTGTCTGATACTTTTTAATCAAACAAAGGCATTTTCTTTTCAGGGTGTCTCTCTATACAAACACCTTTGATAAAAGATCTTGATTTGATCTTTGGTTAAAGATCAAAGCCCAAATAAACCCACCAGGGAATGAAAAAGATCAAGGACAGCACAACCCTCTTCTTGTGGGCACAAAGGCGGGCTGGCTAGCACTTTGCACTGCTTGGCCAGCCAGGAGCCCATCTGTGACTTCCAGGATCCCAAGAGTCACACAAGGCTGTGGGAGCTTCAAAAACAAGCCTGAAGCAGAGGCCCTTAGCCCATCCTCAATCGGGCAGCAGTGTGGTAGGGTTGGTATTCTCCCCGGAGCTCTGCCTTCTGCTTTGCCACACGATAGCCGTATTGGACCTGGCTGGTTTCCTTCCACTGGCGTGGATGGAGAGGAGAGGCACGGCCCCCAATGGGACCAAGGGTCCCCTTCATAGTCTCACCTTGAATGAGTTGCTTTAGCCTTCTCCCTCCTTCTTGAAACTGGTCTTCAAATCCAGCTCTACATATTTGCACAGTGACATGGTTTGTCTGTGTCTCCACCCAAATCTCATCTTTAATTGTAGCTCCCGTAATTCCCATGTGTCCTAGAAGGGACCTGGTGGGAGGCAATTGGATCATGGGGGTGGGTTTTTTCTGTGCTGTTCCCGTGATAGTGAATAAGTCTCAGGAGATCTGATGGTTTTATAAAAGGGCAGTTCCCTGGCACACACTCTCTTGCCTGCCACCATGTAAGATGTGCCTTTGCTCCTCCTTCACCTCCGCTGTGATTGTGAGGCCTCCCCAGCCATGTTGAACTGTGAGTCCATTAAACCTCTTTTTCTTTATAAATTACCCAGTCTAGGATATGTCTTCACAGCAGTATGAAAATGGACTAATTCATGCAGACAGCTGAACTTTCCAGATTCTAAGTGTCCTTTATCCATGAAATTGCAATATTGGTACCCAGGAGGCAGCTGGGAGGGATAAATGAGGTCTATGTGCACAGAGCTAGGTGCACAATACATGACAGCTAGTATTACATTCTCTTTGAGAATCCATTAATTTGGGTCAGATTGGACGTGTCTGGACATTGGGGGGAGTTTCCTGTTGGGAATACTACATGTAGCTATTCTTGAGCTTAGCACAGTCATCTTTGTAATCAACGTGTTTGTAGGATTTTACAGATTTCACAGCACTGTTGCACGCCTTATCTACTCTAACCCCCTCCGTTGTACTGCGAGATCCATCTTGTTACTTCTGTTTTACATGAGGAATATCCTGAAGAGATGGGGGCTCATGGGGATCACCTGTCCAAGGCCCTTCAGTTATAAGAAGACAAAGACTCGAGGACAAACACAAACTGATGGTCTGTACTTCTGTATCCCAGAAACTAGGCTTGTTTTACAGTCTTCATGTCTCACGACTTTCTTGCAAAAAAACCCTGCGTCCGGCTCTGTGCATGCCCATGCTGAATGCTGGAGGATTTCCACATCCAACACAGAAGCTGAGTGGGCTTCAGTTTATCTGAACATGCTAGTTTATAATCCATATTGGAGGTGCTGTGCAAGTATTTTGAGTTAGAGTAATTACTTGGCTTTATTGAGGTGTGTCCTCCTTACCTCATTAGTAAAATCATTCGTGCACAATCTGCTGAAGAGAAACATGCATTAAAAACTGAGATGGATTGTGGCCCCATGAGGCCAAATTATTCGAGGCTCTGTTTGGCCTATTTTCAATGTCTGCAAAGGACCAATACCTGCTTCTGTCATGGGAAATAGTAGATTGATTGAGAATATCCATAGTTGGAATTCTACAAGGCATAGAACTTTGGTTTATGTGGAGTTAATCAAGAGAAAGCCCAAAGAAGTCAACTGTTGGTTTCCGCCTGGAATTTTCTTAATCCTAGTTAAAGCACCAAAGATCTTTATGGCTTCAGGCTGGGCCTTGAAGGGGGAGGAGAGGCGTCTCCTTTTTCAGCCGACTTGCCTCTCCAGCTGCATACCACACTTGTCCTATCAGCATGGCATTCTGCATGTGGTTTTTGTCACGAGGAGAGGCAGTCAGGAATTTGCACTTTGATCTTCCCCCCAGAGGTGGATATCTTCCCAGGACAAAGGGCAGGGAAACAAATTCCAAACGCATGTGACCTTGGAACACCTGTTTAAGGCTCTTGCTTAAATGGTGACAATTGGAGGTGAATGTGGCAAAATCATTAAAATTAATATAGGACATCAACCTCAACAACAAGTGAGAAGGGGGTGCCCACCGATCCTGAAATGTTGGCACTGCCCAAAGAGCTGGTGATACTCAGCACAAGGCTGGGGGCCAAGAATGTCCCCCCAAATCATTCTCAAGGGGTCTATAACCTGCAAGTGGTAAGCGTGGAGAAGGCAGCGAGTAGAGTAGAGTACAGTAGAGTAGAGTAGAGTAGAGTAGGGTAGTAGAGTAGAGCGGACACCAGCTTTGGAAGCAGATGCATCCAGTTTTAAATCTTGTTCTGAGACTGACTGACTGACTGTTAGGGATTGAATTGTGCCCCCGCCCTCAGCTTTCTATGTTGACATCCTAACTCCAAATGTGGTGATATTTGGAGACGGGTTTCTGGGAGGTAATTGGAGTCAAATGAAATCATAGGGGAGAGGTCCTAATCCAGTGGGATTGGTGGCCTTATAAAAAGAGGGAGAGAGGGATTTGGCTGTTTCTCTCTGCCACGTGAGGACACAGTAAGAAAGTGGCATCTGTGAGTAAGGAAGAGAGCCCTCACCAGACACTGAATTTGCTGGCACTGGAACTGAGAGGAAATGAAGTTGTGATGTTCAAGGCATCCAGGCTGTGATATTTCGTGATGGCAGCCCAGGTTGACTAAGACAGTGACTTAAATTATTCAACCTCAAATGCTTCTCAACAACCTCATGATGTAAAATGAAGATTATAACACGGACCTCAAAGTGATGATAAAATTCAGTGAAACAATATCTGTAAGAGGATCGGCTCCTTGTAGACACACCAGCATTCTGTTTTCATCTGTGAGCTTCAACCACCAAAGCCACATTGTATTCATTGTAGTTCCCCAGGGCCTCACACAGACGAAGTTCTCAGTGAGTGGTGGTTGGATGAAGAAATAATAAATGATGGATGGGTAAGTGTGCACAGCCTCTGCTCTGAGTGCCACTCTCATTTGACCCACCGCCCTGGCCATACTGCTCACTCAGGGGGTTTTTCCTGCAACTTCCAACCTGAGTCATTTGATCACTCCACCGCTATCCACTCTCAGACCAGGACAGAGGGCCAGTGTTGGTGGAAGATGCCTTTGGAGTGATGTGATTAATTTCAGTCAATCATGATACTGGCTTTGGGGTTTTTTTTTTTTAAAATTACTTTTGAAATAGGGCCCTAGGATGGAAGAGCTTCCATCCTGGCAGCCCTGGAGCTCCTGGCAGCAATTCCCGCTCATGTGCCCTGAGTACTCAGGGCCCCACCGCTAGCCATCAAAGAATCGAGATGAAGGCTGGGTCCTTCTGGCTTTAATATCTGGGTGTTTCCCCCACATTGAGCTGTCGCCCCTCCCCCCCCCATATCTCTCTGCTACAACTCTCAGTTCAATCCTGAGGCCGCAAGCCCCTAGACCCTCAGCCACGAGGTATCATCATCTGCCTGCTGTTTGCGAACTCCTCAACCAGGACTTAGAAGTGCTGAATACTTTAAATGGTAAATCATCTTGATTGCTATAAAAAATGGGTTTGGCCAAGATGTGGGGCCTTCTCTGTAGCCAGCTGTGTCCTCAGTTTCCCTCCAGAATTACACGACGTCATAGTTTCAACAAGCATTTCACAGTGGAATGAGTGGTTTGTGGCCGGCAGAGTCAGAGGAGTTGAATTTATGATGGCATTTTTTTTTCTTTACAGGAAATAAAGGAAAAGAATGTCTTGCTAAATCAACAAAGCTGCTGTATCATTGTTCATTTGGCCAGGCAATTCCTCATGGGACCAGTAATAAGCTTCAGCTCGGCCAAACCCATTTTTGATAGCAATCAAGATGATTTACCATTTAAAGTATTCAGCACTTCTAAGACCTGGTTGAGGAGTTCACGAACAGCAGGCAGAGCTGGGCAGAAGAGATCAAGACAGACGGGACCTCAGCGATCATGGGTTCCAGCCTTTTCCTTTCACAGGTGAGGACACTGAGGATGCCTGGGAGAAGGAACTTGCTGGAGGTCCCTGCGAGGGTGTCTGAGGTGAGGCTCATCCCCGTGCTCTGTTCATCATTGCCGCCCGAGTCCCTTCTCAAAGCCCTTTGCGGGTGATTCCTATGCAAGGTGCAATTGCCGGTGGGGCTTGAGCAGGTCCTTCCTTGGGAAACACGAGGAAGGGCTAAACAGGGAGAGAGAGGATCCCACGCTTGGCATCTGCAAGGTGGGAGGAGAAACGTGGAGAAAGCAATTGCCATGTGCCTTTGTCGCCGTGAGGCTCAAAAACCTGGACTCACCCGGCTAGGAATTTCTCTCTTAAAATAAAATGGATTTGCTTTGTGCTTTACGGGGATTCCCTTAAAGCGTTTCTCATCTTAATCCTGGGGAGGAAGTGGTACTCAGTATTTTGTTTGTGGGCAACAGAGAATTTAACTTTCTGGGCCTAAGTGACAGACTCAGAGACGAAGATGAAGGTTGGAATTTGGTGTCTTTTAATCTCTACCCCCTGGTTTCATCTGTTCTCAGTGTCCCTGAAGCAATGGCCTAGACAGGGTTGATGTATTCATGAATCTGAGGGACTTTCACGTGAACTTGAGGCAGGCTTGGTCTGCATGCTGCTTTGTAGCATAAAGCTTGGACCTGTGTGCAAAGTGACAGTGCAACGAGTTTCAGCCCATCCCAAGAGAGAACACAGGCCTTTAGAGCTGCCTGTGGGGCGCTGACTGGTGTCATGCCCGGGTGGTCCAAGGTCTGCAGGACCCTCTACCAAGGGCACTTCTTGGACAGGGCTCCTGACTGTCTCTCCCACCTCTGATCTTCCCCCTGTCATCTTGGTGTTAAGATGACTGGAGCAAGGGCTTCGCTCCTGGGACTCATTCTGGGTTAAACTGAAGGGAGAGTGAGTTAGAACCCAGCGCCTTAGGGAGAAGCAGATGTCGTCTACCTGCACAGACTCTGTTTCCCCTCATCTGAAGAAGCCTCAGTCCTCCACATGTTATCACCTTCTCTAGGGCCCAGGCCCAGTGGAAGCTTTTACGGGGAGGTTTCAGAGCACAGTTTCAACCAAGAGCAAACATGTAGTAGCTTCAGGGTTTCAGAAAGCTGATTTTCTGCCCACAGCACAGTTTCGGGCCTCCTGAGAATGCTTTTCTTGGACACAGTGATCTTTGGTACAAAGAAGGGCAGAGAGGAAATGGCGTGTGGATGAAGAACTGTGCCTGTTTTAGTGACTGGCGGGACATATAGGCGACTGTAGCTGCCACACTTTGTGCCTATGAATTACTCAAGCCGGGACTTTAGGTTTATGATAAATAATAATAATAATTCAGGTTTGACCGTTCCTATTTGGGTGTAAATAGAAATCTCTGATTAGGTAGTAGAGTATTTGAACCTATAGTTTGATTTGAATTCTTCAAGCAATGTGATTTTTCTCCCTAAATCAACACACTATCTGAAATCCCCCTATGAACATTGCCTTTTGTTATGAAATGCAAGGAGAAAGCACTCAGCTTGTTCTCTAAGTTCATCTTAATGTTTTTCTTGTGACTGTCTGTAGGAAATTCAAAAGTTCTAGGAGATAGAGTCCCTGTAAATCACTGTTTGGGTTTAAAATGACCTGTAAATAATGACTCATCACAATGTACTCGTAAGTATAGTTAGCATCACTTAACGACGGGGATCCGTTCTCAGAAATGCATCATTAGGTGATGCCATGGTGAGGCCGTCCCAGAGCAGTCACACACACCTTTGGCAGAGCCCGCTACACACCTGGGCTATGTGGTGTAGCCTATTGCTCCTTGTCTTCAAACCCGAACAGCATGTCACTTTGCTGAATACTTTAGGCAATTGTCACACAATGGTATGAATAAGTGTTTATATAAATATAGAAAAGGTCCAGTAAGAATATGGCATAAAAGATGAAAACCTAGTACACCCATCTAGGATGCTTACCGTGAATGGAGCTTGCAGGACTGGAAGTTGCTTTGGGTGAGTGAGTGAGTGAGTGGTGAGTGAGTGTGAAGGCTTAGATATTAGTGTACATTCCTGTAGACTTTGTAAACACTGTACACTTCAGCTATGTTAAATTTATAAAAAAAAATTTCTTGCTTCAATAATAAATTAACCTTAGCTTATTGTAACATTTTTACTTAATAAACTTTCTATTTTTTCAACTTTTTGACTTTTTTGTAATAACAGCTTAAAACACAGACACAATGTACAGCTCTACAAAAATATTTTATATCCTTATTCTATACGTTTTTTTTCTATTTAAAAATTTTTAAAAATTTGACTTTTTTGTTAAAAGCTAAAACACACACACATTATCCTAGGCCCACCCAGGGTCAGGATCATTAATATCACTGTCTTGCATCTCCACATCTTGTCCCACTGGAAGGTCTTCAGGGGCAGAAACACACATGGAGCTGTCATCTGGTATGATAGCAATGCCTTCCTCTGAAATATCTCCTGATGGACCTGCCTGGGGCTGTTTTATAGTTAACTTTTGCTTTTTAATAAGTAGAAGGAGGCAGGGTGCGGTGGCTCAGGCCTGTAATCCCAGCACTTTGGGAGGCCGAGGCGGGTGGATCACCTGAGGTCAGGAGTTTGAGACCAACTTGGCCAACCTGGTGAAACCCTTTCTCTAGTAAAAACACAAAAATTAGCTGGGCGTGGTGGCGGGTGCCTAAAATCCCAGCTGCTTGGGAGGCTGAGGCAGGAGAATCGCTTGAACCTGGGAGGCAGAGGTTGCAGGGAGCCGAGATTGCACCACTGCCCTCCAGTCTGGGTGACAGAGCGAGGCTCCGTCTCAAAAAAAAAAAAAAAAAGGTGGAAGCAGTATACTCTAAAATAACGATAAAACATATAGTAAGTACATAAATTAGTACAACATACTATATTATGATAATAGTCATTTATTATCATTATCAAGTATTATGTACTATTCACAATTCTATGTGCTAGATTTTTATACAACTGGTAGCGCAGTAGGTTTGTTTACATTAAACACGTGAGTAATGTGTTGGGTTAATGCCATGATGACAGCTATAGCATCACCACCAGGAGACAGGAACTTTTCAGCTTCATTATAATCTCATTGGATGGCCATGGTACATGTGGTCTGACATTGACTGAAGTACTGTTATGTGGTGCATTATTGTATATATTTGCCATAATTTAAAAATTGAGATATGATTCATATGTCATAAAATTCACCTCTTTAAAAAGTACAGCCCAGTGGTTTTTAGTATATTCACAAAGGTGTGCAGTCATCAGCACTATCTAATTCAAGGACATTTTTGCTGCCTCAAAAAGAAACCCGGAAACCCATTAGCATTCACTTCCCATTCCCTCTTCCCCCAGCCTCTGGCAACCACTGATCATCTACTTTCTGTCTTTACGGATTTGCCGTATTTCCTACAAATGAAAGAGTATAATGCACACCTTTAGTGTCTGGCTTCTTGCACTGAGCATAATGTTTCCATGATTTGTTTATGTTGTAGCATGCGTTAATTATTCTTTCTTTTTATTGGCAAATAATATTCCATGGTATAGATATGGATATATCATGTTTTATTTATTAACTCATCAGTTAGTGGACTTTTGGGTTGCTTCTCTTTTTTATTTTTATTAATTTTTAGACAGAGTCTCACTCTGGTCCCCAGGCTGGAGTGCATGGGCGCCATCTTGGCTCACTGCAACCTCTGCCTCCCAGGTTCAAGCGATTCTCCTGCCTCAGCCTCCCAAGCATCTTGGATTACAGGTGCCCACCACCAAGCCCGGCTAATTTTTGTGTTTTTAGTAGAGGTGGGGGGGTTCATCATGTTGGCCGGGCTGGTCTCAAACTCCTGACCTCAGGTGATCCACCACCTTGGCCTTCCAAAATGCTAGGATTACAGGCGTGAGCCACCACGCCCAGCCCTCCTTCCCTTTTTGACTGTTATAAATCATGCTGTCATAAACATTCTTGTACCAAATTTTGGGAGGACATATGTTTTCTTTTTTCTTTCTTTTTTTTTTTTAGTACAAACAATCCCACAGCATTTATTGCCATCTTGTAATAACATAAGGGTAATCAAAACAATATGAATAAATGTTCATATTGGACATCTAAAAACAAACTGTATCCTTCTCAACAATTTCTCACTTCATTGATCATTTCTAGTTGGAGACACTTTGCAGCAGAGGAATATTATCTCCTTTTAGCATGAGCCGACCCAGTTGTTTTCTTGACTTTGTTTTAGAATGAATCTCTTCGCATAATCTAATACAAGGTTCATATACTCATCAAAACCAATGATACAGCCTTCTATCCTCATATTCACTTGCTCATAGAGCTACACTTGAATCCGTGATCTATTTTGTAAGTATCTGAAGATGAGGTTGATGGGCTGCACCATAACCCTTTGCACTTTCTGGCCCTGGCCATGGTACACCATGGTGGAATTTCACAAGAGGAGGACATATGTTTTCAGTTCTCTTGGGTACATACCTAGCAGTGGAATTGCTGAGTCAAATGGTAACATTATGTTTAACTTTTTGAGGAACTGCTAAACTGGTTTGGTAAGTGGCTGCATCATTTTCCGTTCTCACTAGAAATGCAGGAGGGATCTAGTTTCTCCACATCTTCCTTAACTAAACTTGTCAGACAATTACAAGATAGACCATATCTTTCTTTCTTTAAGTGGTCCTAACGGGTGTGAAGGGGTATCTCCTTGTGGTTTTTGCTTTATATTCCTTTAATAACTAATGACGGTGGGCATTTATTCATGCACTTGTTGACTGTTTGTACAGCTTTGGAACCATGTCTATTCAAATCCTTTGCCCATTTTTGAATTGGATTTGTTGTCTTTTTATTGTTGAATTTTAAGAGTTCTTTATAGATTTGGGATATTAGGCCCTTATCAGAAATATGATTTGAAAAAATTTTCTTCCATGTCTTTTCTCTTTCCAGTTTATCTAATATTTTTTCTTTAGTTGTCACATGTCTGTTGTTTCCTAATCCAAGGTTATAAAGATTTACAACTATGTTTTCTTTCAAAAATTTTATAGTTTTAGCTCTTAACCCTTGGATATTTTTATTCTTAAATTATCAGGCTCAGCTCTGGAACACTTTTTCCATTTTGAATTAACATTTATTATATATAAAAGAAAAATATTAAGGAATTAAAATTAAAAATATATACCTTTTAAAAAACAGAAACTAATCTTTAAAATCGATTTTGTAATTTACTTCATTTAATATATCAGAAACATTTTCTGATGTCATTATTCTCCTACAACATAAGTTTGATTGGTAGCACAATATTCCATTGTTTGGGTATCTATTATTTTTTAAATCCCTTATTATTGGACATTTATGCTATTCCCATTTAGAAAATAGTAGCAGTACAGCAATGAGTGCATGATAATTTTCTCAGAATAAATTGTCAAAAATGTTTTTAAAGGAATAAACCCCATTTCCAGCATCCTAGTAAAGCATGTGTACAAGGGTTCCCTGAGAATTTTCTGGAATAAAGTGAAGGACAGTTAGATACAAAGGTAAATAAATGACTTTCATTTTGGGGGAGTGCCTTCTTGACCTTGTCCAATATTCAGATATTTTCTGTAAGTTATTTTCTTTGTTACTATACTTAGCATAATTACAATTTTAAATACTACATAATATTATATTGATTTGATGCAAGATAATTTACTTATGATGCCCAGATGTTAAATACTTAAGTTGCGTTTGACTTTATTTATTTCTTTTTTACTTTAAGTTCCGGGATACAAGTGCAGAATGTGCAGGTTTGTTACATAGGTAAACATGTGCCATGGCGGTTTGCTGCGCCTATCAACCCATCATCTAGGTTTTAAGCCCCGCATGCATTAGCTATTTATCCTGATGCTCTCTCTCCCCCCACTCCCCACACCCCCTGGTGTGTGTTGTTCCCCTCCCTGTGTCCATGTGTTCTCATTGTTCAACTTCGACTTATGAGTGAGAACATGCAGTGTTTGGTTTTCTGTTCCTATGTTAGTTTGCTAAGGATGATGGCTTCCAACTTCACCCATGTCCCTGCAAAGGACATGACCTCGTTCCTTTTTATGGCTGTAGCATTTGACTTTTAATTTATAGGGAATACCACAGTGAACATGTTTTGTGCATACGATTTTGATCTTTTGAATTGCTTCCTTAGGGCAGGTTCCCAGCAGAGGGATTTGGGGGTGAAATGGCTAGAATATTTAGAGAATATATATATTGTCTTGTCGCTTCTGGAAGGGACTGTAGCAATTTGCACTCCCTTCATAGTGCATGAGGGTCCCGCATCCGGGCAACTTGCCTCCAGCCCCCCCACACACTTTGAAGTGTTTCGGCAAGGATTTCAGGTGAATGGTGGTTGAGTGAAGGGAGGGAAAAGTTACTTCCTATTTTACTTCTATTTTGTAATTTTTAAGTTTACATTGAAGGATGGTTCTTTGTGTTTCTGCGGATTTCATGTATATCCTGTTCTTTTCTCCAGAGAGTGAAGTTTCAAACTTGATCTTCAAGAAAACAGACTATCTATCTGAGGCTCTATTAGAAGGACTGGTGCTCAGTGACTTCCGAATTGGGAAATCTTTAATACGCACGTGGAGACATGGCATAGTTTCCAGGCTTAAAAAGATGGGGCTTTTCCACCCAGAGCTGGACGTCTCCCCGTTTTATTTTCTGTGACCATAAGTTGTAACCAGCCCATAACTGCTCCCCTCCCGTCCCTGCGGTGGCTGTGGGTGGCTGCCTGTCACCACGGCCATGGCTCTGTGGATTTTCCCAGAGTGGACACCGGGCCCAGGCCCACGGTTCTCATGTAATGGCTTCGGCTGCCTGGGTTCGAGGCTCAGCAGCACTGTCTGGAGGAAGGTTTCTGAGCCCAGCGTGGGATGGGTCCAGCCTGCCTCAGAGGGGGTGCCCTCGGCTCTGGGGGACCCACTCTCCAAGACCTTTATCAAGAATCCACTGCGTCAGAGCACTTTGGGGGCCTCGAATGTTGTATCATTTCCAGTGAAGCCGACCTTAGGCAGTTGTGGCCCAGAAGGGTGTTTGCACTCTATTCCTTAGAAGAGTGGGACCTCAGCCCTCTCACCACCACCATGAGACCCTCGAGAGGAAATGGGTTTGGTGGGAGGGTCTGAGTTTGGAGGGCTTGGAGAACTGTGGAGGTAAAACCGAGCACAGCTGGAGCGGGGTACTCTTGTCAGAAAGCAAGGGGCTTTGGGACAAGTTATCCAAAGCCAGGGGCGGCTCCCCACTTGCTGGGAACGCATAGCATTCTCTCGGGCTGCTGATGCTGGGCCTGGCTGTGGAAGGGGCCCCGTCCTGGGCCTCTGTTCAGAGGGTGTGCAGGAGGCCCTGTGGAGAGTGCTGGGCCGAGGGGCTGCAGTGCTGAAGTCACGCCCGGATGGGATTCCTGCAGCTCTGACTGGGGCTTTCCACCTGGGGCACCAGGGGCAAGCCCCGCCCCTTTGGGTGGCATCTCCCTGGGAAGGGACAGGCATGGTGGGCCTGCCCCAGACCCTTCCCTCTCTGACCGTCTGGCCTTCTCACCGGGGTTCAGACCCTGGGCTCCTCCCACCTGTGCCCCTGCCTTTGCCTTCTGGACTTTGTGTCTGCTTGCGCCCAGGCCCTCCCCTTGCCCCAGTGGACTTGGGTCTGGCTTCTCCCACATGGTGGCCTCTAGGAGCACCTGTGGCCCATTTTTAGCCCTCTGAACCCAACCCTTCCCACCAAGCTGCCCCAGCGTCCCCGAGGGGGCAGCAGACATGCCTTTTTCTGGTTAATCCTCCGGAGGGGACATGGGCAGGATATTTTCCTACAAACCAGCTGACCTGTATGCAGGTGAGGCTTCCTCAAATCCTCTAGCCCCAGTGATGGACCGGCGGCCGGAAGACTGAGGTGGGATCCTCGGAAGGCTTCCAGGAAGTGGTAGAAACGTTTCCAGAAAGGTTTAATTGTTCTTAGAGGCCACATCTTCCTCGTCTTGGAGATGGCGCCGCAGCCCTGGCTGTCTCCCAAACTAGAGAGCAGAGAGTCCTGCTTCCAGTCGCCGTCACTTAAGCCCGACATCCTCCTGCAGCCCAGTCCTGGTTATTCTCCCCAGTGACCTTTCCAGCCTCTACTCTGCTCCCACTCCCACCACCTGGGCTCAGGCCTTCACTGTGTATTGTATATTCGTTGTATATTGTATATTCGTCATGGATTTTATATTCTATATTGTAGAGCCATTGCATGTTGTATTCTCATCGTATGTTGTATACACACCGTGTGTTGTATATTCATTGCATTTTGTCTATTACATGTTGTATGCTAATCATCTGTTGTATACTCATCCATTGCATATTCATATTTCATATTCCTTGTATATTGTATATTGCAGACTCATATATTGTATATTTACATGTTGCATCCATCATAATTGAAGACTCATTGTATATGTCCATATGTTGCATATTCATCATGTTGCATACTCATGTTACATATTCATCATGTTTTGCATATTCATGTGTTGCATATTCATCCTATGTTGCATACTCAAGTGTTGCATATTCATGTGTTGCATGCTCATTGTATATTGCATGCTCACTGTACATTGTATAATCATCATATGTTGCATATTCATCTTATGTTGCATACTCGTCGTATATTTCATACTCACTGTACATTGCATATTCTTTCTTTTTTTCTTTTTTTTTGAGACAGAGTCTCTCTCTGTCACCCAGGCAGGAGCACAGTGGCACGATCTCAGCTCACTGCAACTTCTGACTCCCAGGTTCAAGCGATTCTCATGCTTCAGCCTCCCAAGAAGCTGGGACTACAGGTGCGTGCCACCATGCCCAGCTAATTTTTTTATTTTTAGTAGAGATGGGGTTTCACCATGTTGGCCAGGCCGGTCTCAAACTCCTGGCCTCAAGTGATCCACCAGCCTCGGCCTCCTAAAGTGCTGGGATTACAGACGTGAGCCACCACGCCCGGCTAATATTGTACACTCATCATATGTTGCATAATCCTCCTAGAGTGACTCACAGTGATGCAACAGGACTCCTGCGTGATGTCTTCCTATCAGGTCTCACTGTCTCCAAGTCAGCCCCCATGTCTCGTCCCAGTGCTGACTGTCCCATCTCCTGCTCTGTTTAACGGCCTCCTTTAGCCTAAGGGCCCTCTGCTGGGCCTTGTCCCCCAGCTTCCTCTCCTGCCTCTGTCACTCCTCCCTGGTTCGTGTGGCCCTTGGTGATGCCTGGCGGCCTCACTCTCCCGGCTTTACCAGTGCCTCTCTCTCTCTGCTGGGACCTGCCATTCCCACATTTTGGATCAGCCCCCAGGTACTTTTTGGAAACTAGCAATTGAGTAGTATGTCATGGGTTGCAGAGCCCCTCTGTGGACTTGACTGCTGTCCAGGGACTGCTTGTTATAATAGCATCTGAGTGTGCGAGTGGAATAAGGCCAAGAGAGGGTGAGTGAACAGCCCAGGGTCACATAGCTCCTAAGAGTTCAGCTGGGCTCTGACCTGGCTGCTCCGTGTCCTGAGCCAGGGCATTTCCATGCCCCTGCGCCACCCCCATGGGATCCACTGACAGTTCTGCATTCATGGTCCTTGATTGTGGAACTGGATTTGCCCTCTGCCCCTCACTAATCAGCTAATTGCTGTCAGCCTTAGTCGGCCTGTGGTCCCTGGGGCTTACCTGGTTTTCCGTGGAGCCCTAACCCAACTGATCTCACTTCAGCTCTGCCTTTGATGGGGCGGTGGCAGATGGGAGGCAGATCCCTTCTGGTCCTTGCGAACCTGCCCCTATGTTCGAGAGGGCACAGGCTCAGGAGAGGGGTTTCCCTGGTCCCCATCCTGCTGTGCACTGGCCAAGACTTGGAATCCACACCCCAGTCCTGCTCTCTGCAGGCTTCCTCAGCATATCACAGGCACAATGGTAGCAGGCTCACACACACACACACACGCTCATACACATGGCACACACTCACACGCAAAGAGCCACACAGGGCCAACATGCTCACACACACTGTGTAAGTGTGCATGAGTGCACACACACCACACATGCAAACACACCACACATACAACACATACATATACACACCACACATATACACACACACCACACCACACATTACATACACCTACCACACACACCCCACACATACACACCACATATATACACACACACACCATACCCACATTACATACACCTACAACACACACCCCACACACACACACCCCACACCACATGTATACACACACACCACACTGCACATACATTACATACACCCACCACACACCCCACACATACCCCACCCATACACACATACCACACCACACATGCACATTACATACACCTAACCACAGACACACCATACACACCACACCACACATACACACCACACATATACACACACCACATCACACACACACATCACAGCACACAACACACACACCCCACATACACCCACACCACACACACCCCACACATATACACACACCAGACCATATATGTACCACATCACACACATATATCACCAACACCTACCACATATCATACACCACACATATACACACACACACACACACAACACACATACCGCACATACACCACGCAAACACCACACACATACACACATACCACATATACCTGCCACACACACCACACACAGAAACAGACACTACACCACACCACACACACACCACACCACACCACACATACACCTGCCACACACACACCACACAAACATAGACACCACACATATACACACACACCACACCACACACACCATACATACACACCACACATATACACACACACACACCACACACACAATATACACCACATTCATTCATGCCCTTCCCACACCGCATGTGTACACCACACACACACACACACACACACACATACCCCATACCACACATTCCCTCACACACACACACACACACCCCTAAGTGCACACACACTTACAAACGGTCTGCATGTTCACACACACTCGCACTCCTCTGGTCACACATTGGCCCAGGAAACAGGAACCCCTGGCGGGTTCCCAGGCAGCCTCCGCCCTGCCAGGCTCCAGGGTTCCATTCTGAGGGCCCATCGTTAGCCCGGGCAGCCGGGTGTCAAGATACCCAGGTCACTTCCTAGCAGACTAGTGACTGTGTGGCCGGGGCATCCCTGTCGTCTGAGTGGGCAACGAAAAGAAGGAAAGAAGCAAAAAGGATGTTGGCCACGTGGGAAACGCCCACATTGGTGGGTGCCAGAGTCCACTGGGAAGAACAGGTATGGCCATGGCTTGGCGTCTGATCTCTAGGCAAGCACCTGTTCCGTGCCTCCTCTGATAAAACCAAGCATTCGATTCCTTTTCTCTCCCGAATACTGCAGCTTTGGCCACAGGTCCACACGTAGGTGAACGAAGGGGCTGTTGAAAGTGAGAAAGGGGAGAAGGCTGATGCCTTTGCGACGGGTGGATGTGGGAGGCCGCTGGCTGCTTGTGAACCTGCCTCGCTCAGATGTCAGCAGAGAGGAACGCGCAGTGTGTGCACTGGTGTGTGTCTGTGAGCCTGTAGGGAGTCTAGTGCATGTGTGTGGCATGCGTGTGTGTCTGGCCCTGTACCAGCATTATTTTGAAAAGCAGAAAAGTGTGGAGGGATGAATGAGAAAGTTCCTGGAGAATGCTCTGGAACGCATGAGCATTCGGGCTGCCGTGTGGCTGCTTTCTTACTTTGGTGGCTTGTTCCTCACGCTCTGGCCTGGGCCGTGGCGCCCTGGCACTGGCGGCGGGATACAGAACTCGGTTAGGGAGCCTGTCCTCTGCTCTCTGCCTTTCCTTCCTGGCTCAGAGGACCTGGGCTGCTGCTTCTGCTCAGGGGCCGTGGGGTGGAGGCAGGGCAAGCTGAAGACAGGCTAGCAGAGGACATGAGTGACTGCTGGTCAACCCATAGGCTGGATGAGCATTTGGAAGTGGGGCCTGGAGCTGGCTTCTGGGCCGGAGTCCCGGAGCAGGAGTTTCCCAGAAGTCAGGAGCCCGGAGGTGGACGGGGACTCTGTCCCAGCCTGATGGGGAGCAGGAAGAGTGGGAAGCGGGTTCAGTGCAGCATCCTCACTGCCCAATGCTGTCTACACTACAGCAGGGGACCTGATTGGCAGGGTGGGGACCCTCCGGGGAGCTGCTCACGGGGAATTCAGCCCCCGCACCCCACAGCGGGCACAGAGGAAGCTGCAAAGAGGTGAGCACTGGGCCCTCCGTCCCTGGGACATTTTCCTGCTGTTGATTACGATTTGTTTGAAAAGAATATTTTGGAACAACTTGTCTGGGAAGGAATTAAGTGAAGCTTTTGCCCTCTTGAGTCGGCTTGCTGGCTGAAGGGCCCGCTTGTAGCAAATTGGGATAAGGAGAGAAGGGGCACCCCAGAGGGAAAATATTCAGATGTGAACAGGTGGATTTTCCCCCAAGAGGCAGCACACTTACAGACTGAGAGCGAGTGTGGAATCGAGTGGGTGTGTGTGCAGAAGCGCCTTCTGGAAGGGAAAGTGCTGCCCCATGGCAGGGGAGCTCACTGCAGTGTCTGGGTCTGCCTGCAGCATCCAGCGTGCATGGCCGGCGCCCCCTCCCTCGGACCTGGCTGCCGGATCACAGCCCATGACTCACGCTCTGGGTGCTTTTCACTCATTTTCATGTTTTACCCTCGTGTCCTTCCAAGGAAATCACATTTCTCAGAAAGAAAAAGCAAACTACTTGTTATTTACTTGATTTAAAAACTATTTTTGTGAAAACTACATCTGCAAATGGGCAAGAATAATTCAGATAAAGAGAAACATGAACTTTTCTTAGGGGATGGACTTGAGGATGATTTTGGACTTGAATTCTTATTTTAATCTTATGGCTTTTTTTCAATAAAATAACATTATAAAAATAAAAATGATTTGTTTCATAATAGATAAATCATTTTCATTAGGTAGAGCGAGACAGAAAGGAAAAAGCCTCTATTACAGCTTCTATGCATTGGACTTAATACTATCTTTGGAAAGCTGATAAGGAGAACAAGCTGTCACACTATGGTGCCCCGTATTTGGTGGGTAGATTTCCTGCTGGCTGAGCTCTCATCCTCAGTTTCAGGACAGCCTCTGCCTTCAGAAAAGACCAGATTTTAGCAGTGAACTAAAATGGCTTCCAAGTCCCTGGTGATACTTCTGAGCAGTTGGCAGCTGAAGTGTTCTCCAGTGAGGAAGACTGAGTTAATGGGTGCATTTTGGGGTTGCTGGGGAACCCTTCCTTAGTGCAGGGCAGCTTCTAGCCAGCTCAGGCCCTGCTCAGCCACCACAGGCTGGGCGGTGCACATGGAGCCGCCAGGAAGTAGACGTGTCCCTCATGCTCCCTATGGACTCATTCTGGTGGATGGGATGAATGTGCTTTTAAAATCATATACGCATCATTATTTATTGAAGAGGAAGGGAAAGATTTATCCTCTTCCCCCAAATGCATGGCTGTGGATATTTGAGGCAAGTATGCAATGATTTGGGGAGGCATGAGGATCACCAGGGATGGGCTGGGAGAGCACGCCGGAAGAAGGCAGGGAGGAGGAAAAGGAAACACCTATCAAGGTTGTTTAACTGCACAGGTCAGCGGACATGGGAGCCCCTCTTGTCACGTTGGAGAGGGGCTCTCTCATTTTAAGGTGGCTCATAAATCAAGATTTACCCATGGACTATAACCAACGCTTTAATTGGTTGGGGGAACATTTCTTGACTGAGAGATTATTGGATGGAGAGGCAAGACAGTGTGTGTGTGTGTGTGTGTGTGCGCGTGTGCGGATTTGCAAGTATGGGTTTTATGGGTTTGCTCGTGTGAGTGGGAGACACAATCTATGGCTTCCTCTCGTAAGGACTTGTAATCTACTCTTATAGAGAAGGAAACCACAAATGGCTCAGAAAAGAAGAAAGATTAAAAACACCAAAGGGATAAATAATGATGGTATCAGTTTTCTAGGACTGTGATAACAAAATACCACAGGGCCAGGGAGCTTAAACAACAAATCTACTTTCTCACGGTTCTGGAGTCTGGAAATCCAAGATTAAGGTGTCTGCAGGGTTGGTTTCTCCCCAGTCATCTCTTCTTGGCTTGCAAATGGCCCTCTTGTGGGTGTGTCCTCACATGGTCACCGCTCCATCTGTGTGTCTCAAGTGATTCTCCTGCTTCAGCCTCCTGAGTAGCTGGGATTACAGGCATACGCCACCATGCCCAGCTCATTTTTGTATTTTTAGTAGAGATGGGATTTCACCATGTTGGCCAGGCTGGTCTCGAACTCCTGACCTCAAGAGATCCACCTGCCTTGGCCTCCCAAAGTGCTGGCGTTACAGACGTGAGCCACCATGCCTGGCTCCGGTGGGCATTTTTGACACCTGCACAAGGTGAGAGGGGACCAGGTGTCCTGGTTGTTCCAATGGGGAGGACCCTGGAAGGGAGGCTGGTGGCTGTCCACAGCTGAGACAGTTAGAGGCAGTGCCCAGGCCTCTGGATTCCTTTCCCATTTGTTGTCACAGCTCCAGGATCCCACAGTGCCACTCCCGGCCATTCCAAGAGCATATCAGTCACACCATTGTGACGCCTGATAGGCAGGGAGGCCATGAGGAGTGCGGTGCAGAGAGGCTGCCTCTCAGGATTCAGCTTCTGGAGGAGCCGTTCCTGTTCTGTTCTGCTCTCCATTGCCCCGTCCCACTGACTCTTGACACCTTCTCCATGTGCCTCTGTCTGCTACCTGGCTAGCTGTCTGGCTCACGAACTCCCCGTGCAGTTAGGAAATGTGTGCACTGAAAAACCTGCAACCCTGTGCACAACAGCGCTGGCCTCGTCTCCCCGAATGCAGGCAGGGCTTATGATGCAGCTCTCTGCAGGCACTCTCTAGCACGTTGGTAGGCACACAGGAAGCTGTATTTATATATGTGTGTTGAATACATAAATTTTAACGTGGAATTCCGGAAGTGGAAGAAGTCTCATGCTCCTTTCTCCTGACACCTGTGGAAAGCTCTACACTGTCCCTGGCTGCATCTCTTTGAATGCTCCCAGGGATGAGGTGCTCACTCACAAAATAGCAATGTCCCTCCTGGGAAATGTTGACGGTGAAAACATTATTTATGTATGGCAGCTGCATTGTGGCTCCCTCTCACGTTTGCCGCATGGTCTTCGTCATGGACAGAACTTTGGGGATCTCTCTTCCAGGGCTTCTCAAAAGGGAGGAAGATGCCTGCTGGGTAGAGGTGAGTGGAGCAAGATCGTTTGAAAAAGCCTATGCACTATTATATATTTTGAAATTTAGAAGATCAATTCAAAACCCCTATTATCTTCTTTCTTTTTATGAGACGGTGTCTTGCTCTGTTGCCAAGGCTGGAGTGCAGTGGTGTGATCACGGCTCACTGTAGACCTCCTGGGCTCAGGTAGTCCTCCCACCTCGGTCTCCTGAGTAGCTGTGGGTGAGCGCCACTGTACCCAGCTCTGATATTTCCATAATAAAAACTATTGACAATAAGGAGAAGAGTAATTATAAGGGGTGGGGGATGAGATGATGATCAAGTCGGGGGTGGGAACCAGGCTTCTCAAAGTTCACCTGGTTATGTTGTTTTGAGGTTTGAACCATGTGAATGTGTCACCTGTTCAGAGCAAAAATGAAATAAAACATTAAAATCAAAAGCAGGAAAAACAAAAAGAGACACATTTTGCTAGGTCGGGATAAGACGTAATGATTCCAACACCACAACGTTCCATTCCCCCACCAGACTTCTCTTTTGTACCAAAAGAGAGTGTGTTTTAACAAAAGTTAACAAACACTTCAGTAATGGGGCCACTCTGGAAGGAGGAAGGTGCAGCAGAGAGAGGAAAGTGTCGTGTCCAGTTGCCGTTGAGTTGGGCTCAATCTCTCCCCCACTCGGAAGCTCAGGTGGTAGATGAATTTGGTAGAAAGCATTTTGGCCTGAATATGAAGCTAGTGATGTTTGTTGACCCCTCCATTTGGATGTTTATAAGTTACTAACGTGGGGCTGACATGAGCATAGCTGACTGCTCTATAGCTATTGACAGTAACATTTAAAACATTTCTTTCTCTTCTCTGGATCTTAGCCTCACTTAAAAACAAAACAAAACAAAACAACACAACACAACCTACTATATTGCGAATACATGAAAAGGAGCTCAACTTCACTGCTTCATAAATGCAAATCGGAAGACGATGCCATTTTTCACCAATTATATTGACAAAGATGAACAAGTTTGATCATCTGCAGTGATGACTCAGGTGTGGTGGAACAGGGCTCTCAGCACTGCTGGTGGCAGTAGAAACTGGACCAGAGTTTACGTTGGTGGCAATTTTGCCTTACGTACATAAGTGCATGTAATTTGAGACTTCTAATTCCACTTCTAGGAATTTGCCCTTTAGATATCCTGTGGCAATATGAACAAGGGCGCTCACTGTAGCAAGATTTGTAATGGCCATAAACTAGAAGCTGGGGATATAAATTATGATGCATCTATATAATGGAATCTTATACTGACGTCTAAATGAATGAGACAGATTTTATAGGAAAAGCACGCCAATTTATGTTATTAAATTAAAACAAAAATGCAAAAACTGGTGATGATAGACAGCTTTTTTTTTTTTTTTGCAAAAAGATATTTGCATGTGTTTGTGTAGGTGGGGAATTTCTGGGTGGATGGGTTGACAACGGACCCCTCTGGAGAGTGAATGGGGGCATGAAACGAGCAGGAAACTAACCTGGATTGTATAACCTTTCATAGTGATTGAATTCAGTCACTACGGGCATGTGACTTTTATTTTTATTTCTATTTATTTATTTATTTATTTGAGACACAGTCTCACTCCGTCACCCAGCCTGGAGTAGAGTGGCACGATCTCGGCTCACCGCAAACTCTGCCTCCCGGGTTCAAGCAATTCTTGTGCTTTAGCCTACTGAGTAGCTGAAATTACAGGCGCATGCCACCATGCCCAACTAATTTTTGTATTTTTAGTAGACACAGGATTTTGCCATGTTGGCCAGGCTGGTCTCGAACTCCTGTCCTCAGGTGATTTACCTGCCTCTGCCTCCCAAAGTGCTGGGATTACAGGCGTGAGCCACCGCGTCTGGCCGAGTTTTATTTTTAAAAGGCAACTTTTCCCTCTGACAAAAACCTAACCCTTCATAGGCCATGTGAAAATCAAATTGGATAACTCAATTCAATTCAATCAACTTTTATTTAGCGCTGATTACATTTCAGCCACTGGCTAATGCATATAAAAACTGCTTCCCAAACTGTTAACCACCAGAAACACCGAGAGCAAAGCATTTATTTGAGATAGTACAGCCAATTAACCAAATATTTATAAGAGCCAGCTTCCATTTATACGACAGAGCCCTCCCAAACAGCAAGATTCATTGCAAGAACAGTCACTGTTATTTTATCAAGGTGCTAGATTTCAACAATACAGAATCACCCTATAACTTGAAAAAGCAGACACATAACAACTGCCCCCAAATCCTTCCAGAAAGCCAAAAAGGGGTGTGAAGATAGTTCAAGACCGGGGATAGATCACTATATATCACAAGACCTGTGATAGTATGTAATATCTCTCCTCTCCTGTCCTCTCCCCTTTCTTCCCCTGTCCTCCCCTCCCCTCTCCTCTCCCCTTTCCTCCCCTCCCCTCTCCCCTTTCCTCCCCTCCCCTCTCCCCTTTCCTCCCCTCCCCTCTCCCCTTTCCTCCCCTCCCCTCTCCCCTTTCCTCCCCTCCCCTCTCCCCTTTCCTTCCCTCCCCTCTCCCCTTTCCTCCCCTCCCCTCTCCCTTCCCCTCCCCTGCCCTCCCCTCTCCTCTCCCCTCCCCTCTCCCTTTTCCTCCCCTCCCCTCTCCCTTTTCCTCCCCTCCCCTTCCCTCTCCCTTTTCCTCCCCTCCCCTCCTCCCTCTCTCTCTCTATATATACACATATGTATATGATATTTGCATGTGAGATATATATTATGTATACATACAAACACATATATATACAGAGAGAGAGAGAGAGGATTTATACCACTTTAGTTTTTTTTTTTTTTTTTTTTTGAGACAGTCTTGCTTTGTTGCCAGGCTGGAGTGCAGCGGCGTGATCTCGGCTCACTGCAACCTCCATCTCCCAGATTCAAGTGATTCTCCTGCCTCAGCCTCCTGAGTAGCTGGGACTACAGGCACCTGCCACCACGCCTGGCTAATTTTTATATTTTTAGTAGAGATGTGGTTTCACCGTGTTAGCCAGGATGGTCGCGATCTCTTGACCTTGTGATCTGCCCACCTCGGCCTCCCAAAGTGCTGGGATTACGGATGTGAGCCACCGCACCCAGCCACCACTTTAGTTCTTTTACTCATCCCTGCTGTGAGTTCTTGGCTTGCAGATGTTGTAAGATGTCATAATATTCGGCTATTCCATTAAACAGTGTCTGCTTTGAGTGCCCAGCCCCTCTGACTGCAGTCCTCCAGGGGTAACAATGCCTCTGATGTCCCCTGGTGCCCCGGGAGTGCACTGGTGTTGTCAGGTGAGACTGTTTTAGCTGAGATTTCTACTGTACCCAACTGACCTGACAGCTCTGTATAAACTTCTTCTTGGGATGCAGGAAACGGGCTATAGGTGTATCCTAATGATCCTACGAGGCTGTGGCTGGTGCATATTTCAAAATCATCTTCCAGAGCAATATGAATCAATAGCTAATGAGCCATCTATTTTTGCCCTCCAATGACTATTCTTGTAAGGTGGGAAAGGATGTGGCTTCTTAAAATGAAAAAGGCATCACAGCCCTTTGGTATCTCACACCATCAACCTTCCTTCCCCTCCTGTATGAGCAGCAGCATGGTCAGGATGGTGTATAGCTTGGAGGAGGGAAAGTAAGGGCTGCTCTGGGGCAGGGAGGGTGACTGAGATCAGTCTCACCAGGTAGTCCCCTCCTTGGAGAGAGACCCTAGAGCCGCATGGTCTGGGTTCAGATTCCAACTTCCCTACTTAGCGCTGGTAAGATGGTCCATGCAGCCACCCTTTGCCTTAGTTTTTCCATCTGTGAAATGGGAATGATATCCGTGAGGTGGCCCAGTGTGTTAGTACAGGCAGGGGGCTCCCAGCAGCACCCAGCATGCACTAAGATGTTGTTGAATAAGTAGAAGCAGGGACCAGACTTAGAGATGAATGAGGCTGCAGAAGCTGGGGGGAGACTTACGCATTCTTCTGCCTCCCTCCTTGAGTCACCATTTGGGTGGCAAAATTGTTCTGGCTGAACTGTTTCCGAGGCTTTTGACCTTCTGAGGACCTGTGGGGCTTGATGGGGCTGTGGAGAAGCCAGCAGGGTCAGTGCGGGGCCTGAGCAGAGGAGGCCAGGTGGGTTTCTCCAGGGTTGGTGGCACAGGGGCCTGAGCAGAGGAGGCCAGGTGGGTTTCTCCAGGGTTGGTGGCACAGGGTTCCACCAGGCAGGCCTGGCTTCAAACTGGGCTCTGCCATTTACCAGGTTCCCACCTGCCCCACTGGATCCTGGTTTCCCAATCTGTAGAATGGGGATGACTTTATACCACAGCATAAAGCCTTCAACTCGTGTTCACCACTGAGACAGACACTGGGTATTTAGACTAGAGCTTGGGACCCATATACAAGGGCTGCTAGGGCGGAGCTCAGGACTGAAGCACTACTTACGTGAGAAGGCGAGAGGCCCTGGAGGGCTTCACCTGGTTGTGCCTGGTCCCTGAAGCATTCAGGTTTCGGGTAAAGCCCTGGGCACAGCTCTGCGGCCCTCACATTGGGGGGTCCCTGATATGGAGGGCTGGTAGCTCACGCTGCATGTCACTGCGAGCCAGCTAGGAGGCTGTTGGAAGATGGCCGGAGGGAGAGAATAAGTTGGAGACCGAGGGGACAGCCATGGTCTGAGGACCACTGCTGAAGGAGATCCAACTACTTTGCAGAGTGGAAGAAGGACCCAGCAGCCATTTTGTGCCGTCGGGACAGGAGGATGGGGTGGCCGTGCTGCCGCGGTGGCCACAGGTTACATCCTACCTGGCATCTTTCTAAGATGAAGAGCTGCAGTGGAGGAGGGGCCCCCACGTGGGTGAAAGTTCCTCTCCCCTGCAGGCCTGGGAGGAGGGAGGGGAGGAAGCTGGAGTGCTGCCCCCTTGGCTGTCTGGAGCTCATCTGCTCTGCCCCCGGTCGGGGAGGTGACCAGGGAGCCGAGGGGGCCTTGGGCTCAAACGCGAAGTCCCGTTTTGAACGGTGCCACTTGCACTCCAGATGTGAAACTCCAGATGTGCTCCAGACCTCACTTTTTCTTACTTTAAAGCAAATGTGTTTAGACTGGGACTGTGTTTGACCTCTCAAATTCCAGGTTTTAGGTTTGCTGCAAACCTGTCCTCAACGTGGGGCTGTTTTCAGATTTGAAGGTGAGCTATCTTGACCTGGTTCACACCTTGTCTTGGTTTGACATGAGCTGTTCTGGCTCCTGAGGCGTGACCTGACCCGGACCCCGTTCGCTGCCCTGTGAGGCCGGCACGGGCCACCTCTGGCAGCGCTCGTGCCTGGCCATCACCCTTTGATTTGGTCCCACCGGCCGCCCCATGGCTCTAGCTGTTCCCCCACCATGAATCACAGCAGCCCTCGCTTCGGATGGCTGCCGTGAGAAGAAAGTGAATCAACCCAGCCCCTTTGGCTTTGAATCCACTGCTCTGTCTCCTGGCTCCAGGCCCCTGTCCTGCCTCCTGGACTGGCTTGGGGACCTCTTTGGCTCCCTCAGATCTACCATGGCCTCCCCCAGGGGTCAAATGCGAGTTCCACTTTTGGAAGAGGCCGGTCCAGCCCAGCTGGACATCCTGAAGGGGAATGGAGCATCCCAGGCCAGGCAGCCTCTACAGCTGCCAGCCCTCTCATGGAGCCCAGAATCTTCTCCTGCTCTTCCAGCCAAGGGGGAGGCCCCCTGCTTGGGAGCTCCTGGGGGCTGTGGCTTGATAGCAGCAATCTCAGAGGTATCTGGTGTTACTTGGGTGTTGCTGTGGGAACCTCACCACTCATGGGTTACCCTTTACACTGGTGACCTTTTCTTTCGTGTCTGAGCAGGATGACATCTCAAATGTCAAGAACTTTAATTTTCACTTAGCAACGTCCCTGTGAGGTGATTTCCAGCCAACTTGGAAGCGGAAAGTTCAGGCATTTCTGAGTGGGTCGAATAATAACAATTTAAAAAGGATCCTCAAACAAAATGAAAAAGGCCCCAGAAAACCCAGACTCTCACCGATCCCCAAACCCCGTCATGCTTCTGTTTCCTCAGGAAGGTGACGCGGTTTCAAGCTCTTGTTGCATGTCAGGTGCACTGGCTATAGTGGGAGCTGGTGGCACTAGTGAGTGGGACGTTTCAGTTCTAAATGGATCAGGGAAGTTGCATCCTCCCCCATCTCCACCACTCGCTTGCCTACCGCAGCCTCTTTCCCCACCCCCCACCTGCAGGTGTAGCTGCTGCTGTTTCTCCCGAGGCGGCCACTGAGAGCCACAGTGTTCTCCCCTCAGGGTGCCCTTTGGCTTGTTGCTTGTGGCTACTCAGCCAGGTAAGACAGCGACATACCATCTTCTCAACATCTTCCCCAAGACCTGGACTAACTGTGGCATCAGACGTAATTGGGGTTTGAATCCTGGCTCTGCAACTTCCACATGGGTGGCTTAACTTGGCCAGGCGCAGTGGCTCACACCTGTAATCCCAGCATTTAGGCGGGTGGATCACGAGGTCAGGAGATCGAGACCATCCTGGCTAACACGGTGAAATCCCGTCTCTACTAAAACTACAAAAACAAAATTAGCCGGGCGTGGTGGAGGGGGGTGCCTGTAGTCCCAGCTACTCAGGAGGCTGAGGCAGGAGAATGGTGTGAACCCGGGAAGCGGAGCTTGCAGTGAGCTGAGATCGCGCCACTGCACTCCAGCCTGGGCGACAGAGTGAGACTCCGTCTCAAAAAAAAAAAAAAAAAAAGTGACTTAACTTTTCTGATTGTCAATTTTCTTGCCCATAAAATAAGGAAAAATACATTTTAACCCGTAGAGTTGTTTCAGAGATGAAACGAAGTGACATATGAGGTATATTTGATATGACAGTCAACACCAGTTAAGGGTTTATCCTGTGCTGGTCACTATTGTAAGCTCTTCTAAGCACTGTGTGAACTCATTCATTCTCCTCTAATGACCCTTAGAGGTAGGTAACATTATTATTATCTCCATTCTTAACATTTTCTAAAAACAGTTATAGTGAGAGAAATTAACGTACTATACAATTTACCCATTGAAAGTGTACAATCCATTGCTTCTTGGCATATTTTTAAAAATTGTGGAAAAATATATAAAGCTTATCATTTTTATAATTTATATTTTATAATTCATATCAGAACCTGGCGATGTGAATTATATTCATAGGGTTGTGCAGCCGTCACCACTATCAACTTCCAGACCATTTTTATCCCTCCCAAGTAGAAACACTGCACCATGTTATGCCCATTCTACAGATGAGAAAACCGAGGCACAGAAAGATGAGGAAACTTGTTCAAGGTTATGCAACCAGTGTCTGGCAGAGCCCGTGTGTGAGCTCAGGTCATTTGGCTCAGAGCTGGTGCTCTTCACCTGCAGGAGGAGCTGGGTATTCTGTAGCCTCTAACTGAGAACCCATTCCGTGCCATGCTCTTTCCTTCGGCCATTGTAACAAGGCTGCAAGACAGACAACGATTGCTGTTCCCATTTTGCAGCTTAGGAAACCGAAGCTCAGGGAAGTTAGACAACTTTCTCAGGGTCACAGCCATGGTGAGCGGCAGAGCCAGCTTTTGACCCCGGGGTCTCACTGACCCCAGAGTTCACAGCAGAGTCGCAGAGCTTTCCTGGTGTCCAGCTTAGAGAGCACACAGTAGGTGCGCGGAGTGCGAGCTGAGCTGCCCTTCGAGATGCAGTTCCGAGGGAAGCCTAGGCCCGGGAGACCCCAGCGGGTCCTGCAGATAAAGGAAAGTTCTCCAGTCAGCCCCGGAGGAACGCTGATCCCGCTGATCCCGAGGCAGGGCCCGAGGTTCCTGTTCGGGGCCTCCCTGCTGTGAAGGAGTCCTGGACCCCCGAGAGGTCCATGGAATTCTGCAGGGGAAGGCCTGATATGGAGGCCTGTGGAAGTCACCGAGGAGCCCCTCTCATACCACCTCACACTTATTTCTTCAGGACTTCAAAGTGCCTCGCCGGGAGGAAACCATGGGGGTCTGCCTGAAGCTGTTAAAGTAGCCGGCAGGATTCGATGTGTGCCCTGATTGCCAGGGTAGGGGCGGGGGGTGTAAAAGAGAGAAAGATTATACACAGGCCTAGGAATGATGAAAGGTCTTAAGCAATGAGGGGGACTTGAAAAGAGGCGACCAACAGGTCGGCTGGTATGCCTGGAGACGGGAGGCGGTGCGTGTGGAGAGTAGCAAGCTGTGCGGAATGAGGCTGGGAAGGTGAGCCTGGAGGCCCTCCCTGAGGCTGGATTGTGGGAGGAGCGGTGGGCAGGACCTTGAACATGACCCTGCGAGGCGGGCCGGGAGGGGGCGTGGCATGCTGCGGCAGTGGGCGGGCTTTGGCTGGGGCTGGGCATAGTCACGGCAGTGGGCGAGGTGTCGCCTGGCCCCGCCCCGTGGGTCCCACCCCCGGGGTGCACCCCCCTCCCTGGAGCTCTGGCTGCGTGCTGGCTCCCAGAAGAGGAACCTGCTGCAGGCGCCGGCGCGGGCGGCGAGGACGACCTGTTTTTCTGACCCAGCCCGGAAGCGCTGGTGCAGGTGGTCTCTGAATGAGGGTTCCTCTTTGCCTCTGATGTCTGGAAGGGGAATTCAGCAAGAGGGACTCCAGTCTGGAGCTCTGACCCCAACTTCCTCAATCCAGGCCCTCAAAGAGGGCGGCCTGTGTCACCGGGCGCCGGATTCCCCGGGGGGTGCCCGGGGTTGGGGCGGCACATTCCCACCTGGAGTGCCCTCATGCCTGGCTATGCCGGACCTGCAGGGTCACACCCTCTCTCTGGACCTTTCCCTCCCCTGCACCCCCGCCCACGCCCCAGGCCCTCTGCTGCTTAAGCCATGGCCCTGGGTCTGTATCCTGACCTGGGCTGGTCATTGTTCTGCATTGGGTAGTTTAATTACAACTTTCTCTGCGCTTATCTGGTCTATGAGCTCGTGATCGCAGGGACCCTAGCACAGGGTCTGGGACTTACTGAGAGATCAGTAAATGTTCATGGATGGTGGACATGGGTGTGTAGGATGCCGGTCTCCTCCCCTGAGAAGGGGCTTGGGCAGAGGAGTCCCTAGTTCGCCAGGAGCAGCCTCGCCCCACCTGACCAGGCCTGGGACAAACCAACAGGTTGCTGTCCTGGAAGGAAAGGGGTGCCTCCTTCCACCTGGGGAGGCTGAGCTGCTTCTCTCCTCTTAGGCCCTGTGCTGCAAGGCGCCCATACCTCCAGTCCGCACCTCAGGAGTCCTTCCCGTGTCCTCTGGGAGTTCCTGCCCATGCTGGCTGAGGCCCCAGGTCTGCCTGGGAGCAGTCCCACAGAGGGAAGGTGGTGGAGGAAGGGGCAGGGATGCTGGCTGAGGAAAGGCCCTCTTTCCTACGATGGCTGTACCCAGGAAGCCGGCCGCAGGTTCCCTAAGCCGAGGCAGCGCTGGCTGTAGTTTCTCTGGGCTCCTGGGCTGGTGCACCTGCCCCTGCCTTCAGAACGGGCCCCTGTGCATGGCTGGCATCTGTGATTGGGGGTAGTGCGTGTTTCTGAGTAATGTGAAAAGAGCAGCTTCTTTGACTTCACCATTCCTAGAAAATGGCCTCAACTTGCTGGAAGAGTGGGGACAGAGGGTCTCAGTTTCTCATGTGAAGCTTGCAGGCCATTGTCTTCAGCACCCAGCATGTTTTGGGGCCTTTGAGGGACTTGAGGGGCTTTTTGAGGAACTCTGGGCATGGGGTTTTAGCCGAGGCTGAAAGTGGAGTTCCCAGGCTGCTGTGCTGAGTCCCAGCTCCCTGCAGCCTCCTGGGTCTGGCCACGTCCACCCGCCCTCCTCCTTTCTCCTGCAGTTGTGCCTCTTTTCCCTGCTGCCTCCTCAGCCAAGCCCAGGGAAGGACTTAAAGGGCAGTGGAGGGGGAAAGAGGCTGGTGGCCTTGATGCCTCTAGGCAGCCGCCTGTTCTCTGGGCTCTGGGCCTGGGTGCCCAGGGAGGATGAGTGTCAGTGGATTTATTTTGCATCAGAAGGAACAGACTGCTCCAGATGCCTTTTCTGGAGTGTTAGGACTTGGGGCAAAAGAGATGGGCCCATCTCCTGAGTTTAGTGCCTGGAGTTTGCTTTAGTGCTAAAGCAAGAAGTAAAAATGGGATTTAAAGAAACCAAATGGAATCACAGTCATGGAGTGTCAGACCTGGACGATGCCTTGGTGACGAGGTGACTCCCTTCCCTTGGCAGAGCAGTGGAAGAAACTGAAGCTCTGAGAAATTCAGGGATGTGCTAGAGGTTCCAGAACTAGGCCTGGAACTTTCTTCGGGGTTCAGTGCTATGCCCGAAACAGTGGAAGGAGCCCGCAGTGTGGCACAGAGCCCCTTCAGAGCTCCAGCAATCTTGAGCTTAGCGTATGAGTAGACCCTGGAAGCCAGAGGACTGCCTGCCATCTCCCCAGAGTTCTCAGGACCAGTGCTGCTGAGGTGATGCACTTGAAGTGTGTGTCCACAGTGGTCAAAAGTTAGCGCTGGGGCCCTGTGCCCTGGCTCCCACATCTCCAGGTCTGGCCTCCATCGGCCCCTCCCTTTCCTTTGTGGCCTTGGCCTTGGCTTATCAGTGTCTCTGCCAGGATGTCCTCATCCTAGAGGGTGAGCTGATAAGGCAGTCTCATAGGATGCAGGGTTGGAAGGTGCCTCAGGGACACTTCAGCTGAGCCCTCTGTGAAAACACCAACCCCTGCAGGAGGTGGCAGGCGGAGGGGCCCAGGCTGCACTCAGGCTGTAGGAAGTTTGTTTCTGTGTTTGCCCTCCCCATGGGCTGCACCATCCTCAGTGCAGGGGCTTCAGCTTCCACACCTAGCACAGTGCCGGCCTTGCTGGACACTCAAGAAAGGTGAGTTCCCTCCTGCTGGCTGCCTCCGCCGCTGTCTCACCAGCCTGGGTGCTGGGTGGTGCCCGCACTCCTGGTGTGCTGCCTGCCTGCTTGCAGGAAGTCCTGATGCCAGTGCACCCTTTGCTTGAAGAGCTAGTGAGCTCCCTGTGGGAGGTGGGGCCTCCTAACAGTCTCTCCGCACATCCTGCCCTGCTCCTCCCAGCTTCCAGATCATGGAGGATGCCCCCAGCTGCTGACTTGTACGCAGTGGCACTGCAATTTCCAGAAGAAACCTCAGACCTGAAGAATCTATCTGCCCAGGCATCTGCCCCTCCCACCCTGCTGAGAGTCCCTGTCCTCTCTGGAGCTGGCCTCCTGGGGCCCTTTTCCTCACTGTCATGGCCCTTGGGAGACTTTCCTTCTCCCTTCCCTAGGAGGAAGCCCTCAAGCCCCATGTCGGTGACCCTGGGGCAGCTCAGTGTTTCCTGCCTCAGCAGCTCTGCCCACCTCCAGTCCGTCAGCAGATTCTCCCTTGCTGGTCTGGCCTTTCGCTCCAGCAGTGGCAGGCACAGCTGCCCACGTATCTACTCCTGTGTCACCTGCAATCTTGTCCCAGAAAGAAAGGCTGTAAGGATGTTCTCATCTGCTCCATTCTCATGCTTAAAGGGCAGGAAGGACCGTGGGACCTCCCCTCAGGGTCAGGGCCTGATTGGACACAGTCACCAAAGGGCTCCCCGAGGGAGCTTCGTGAAAAATGCCTGATTGTCACATGGTCACAGAACAACATAAGCCATAATGCTATCGTACCATATACCACTCATTTCATGTACTAATTTCCTATTTTGTCGTATGGAAAATATTTGACAATGCCTCTAGGGGAACATTCGAGTGTGCACTGGGGGTGGTGCTGGTGAGTGCCTGCTGGAGTGATCTGTGCGAAGCTGCATGCTCACCCTTTCCCCCACCTACCCCACTTCCCTGAATGTTGAGACTCATTTAAAGTCGCAATTTTTTTTAAGTCTCCTTTGCTGAGTAGCAGAGTTTCGCCTTCCAAGCGTGGATGATCGATTCAGAAGTTCAGTTGTTCATTCATTAAATAAGTCAAATTTATTGAGCACCTACTATGCACCAGGTGCAATGCAAGATAGGCTGTGGGGTACAACAGTAAATGAGACTGGCACAGCCCAGTCCTCATGCAATTGTGGGTCCGTTGGTTTGAGTCCTAATTCTGCCATTCGCTCTGTAACCCTGGGCAAGTCATTTAATCTTTCTGAACTTTAGTGCTTTTATCTATAAAGTGAAGATTGGAATTCTTGCCTCACTGAGTTTTCCTGGTACATAGTTGACACTCAATAAATGGCAGCTATTCTTTTTACTATTTTCCAGGCCTTGAGCTTCCTTTTTTCTTCTCGCTGTGGAAATTGCCTGGAAAGCTATGAACTGTTGGTTCTTGAATCAGTTGGCTGCCCCGGATGTCTGAATCCCTTGGAAGGAACCTGGAGGAGTTGGCTGATGGGCTCCAGGTGCATGCCAGGCTGTGGATCTGCCGAGCTTCCTAGTGACCTGGAGTCTGAGCTGCAACTATGTTCTGTTCTAATTTCTGTGTCTCTGTATTCTTTGTAATTGGGCCACGCTCTTAGACAGCTAGAGCAATTAATGACCTTGAGAAATGATCCCAGCGCTGAATGCAGAATCCTGCTCTTTTGAAGTCAGCCACTTTCTTTGTGGGTCTAAACGTGTTTGTGTTTTCCCCTCTTGGGCATGTGCCTCCTCCTTCAGCTTTGATGCTGCCTCTATAACAACAGGGTTTAGAATTATTAATTCCTCTGCACAGCAAGGTGCAGTGTTATTATACAAAAAGGGGAAAATATAATTGCTATCTTGAGTAATCATTTTCTGAAGGCTGAAAGTGTAACCTTTAATTAATATTTCATCTGCAGCCAGGGTGGGTAACTTGAACAGGGCCTAAAAATATTCCTGTCCCAGTGCATGGAGAAATCATGAACTGTGCGACATGGAGCCAGTGTGTGCTATTGAATTGTTGGCAATTATTTCTAAAATTAAAATGTTTAACCACATTAACCCATAATAAAATGGGGGGAGAGCTATAGAGGTGCAACTCTTTACTGAGTAGGATAAATGTGCAAATTCCTGGCATAATTTGTCTCAGCCACCTGCATTGGGAGAGCCATCTCACCTGCCTGAGAAATGAATTTGGGGCCCAGGGGCCTGGTGGGCCAGGAAGTCACTGATCAAAGCTTGGCTTCCAGGCGGTGGCTGTGTCCACCAGGCACTGTGCGGGCTGGAGTTGGACTTCTACAGGTCACTGGGTTTAAGGGTGGGATGGGAAGCACTGTCTTTGGTGTTTTCCAGAGCGGGGCACTTGAGATGTTCAAAGTGCTTCCTGAGAGACGGCCAAAGGGTGTTCCCTGGGTGGCCTGGGAGTCCAAGAGACATGTACTCTGGGGCAGGAAGAGGGCAGGTGAGTACCTGGCTCAGGGTCTGCTGGGAGATGGAAGGAGGGAGCCAGTCAAGGGCAGGAGGAAACGGAGTTGCGAGTCATCTGGTGACCGACAGTGATTCTGGGTGACTTCCATCCCGGCCTTAGGGATTCCTCTGGATAGGATCACAGGGCTGGCTCTGGCGAGGGTACAAAAGTCCTTAGTCATGCGCATGTACATCAGCACAGCTTTTCATGGTATACGCATCATCTCACTGACAGGTGCTACCGGATCACCCTAACAACCCTCTGGGACCTGTGGCCATGTGTTCACAACAGCAGCCATTACAGGTGTTTCCTGAACTCTTGTCGCGAGCCTCTGTCGGCTCCATCTCATCGATCCTCCCAGCAACCCACAAGGAAGGTGAGGTTTCTTTACAGATGAGGAAACTGGGGCGTTTGGCTAAAGTTGTTGATTTGCCAGAGTCCCACAGCAGTGGGTGAGTTGGGACAAGAACTCAGTGGCCTGCTGGGTAGTGAGGACTGTGCAGAATAGTCTGGGTTTGGGGACCCCTGTGGGGCACATGTGTGAGGCTCGCTGCATGTTGCATTCGCTGGCCCTTCTGGATCTCCCTTGGGGTCCCCAGGAGTCCTCACCCAAACCTAGGACCCATCCATGCAAAGGGACACATCTCTTTATCAACACCATTGAGATGATTGAAAATCCTCCTGCTCGTAGGACCCTGGAGTTGCTGTGTTTCTGTGTTGGGCTTGTTGAGTCTCTCTTGAAAATAATATTGGCTGATGGGTTTATTGCCATTTTATTGATCACCAAGGGAATGGTCTCAATGATTAACCATCTTGAGATTTCTAGACATGTTTGCCAGCCCTGGTGTCGTCAGGAATGCCCTCAGCAGGGAGAAAGGCTGCTGGATGTGTAAATGGCCACCCCTCCTCCCCCGCTACCTGCTCCTCAAGGTGTAGGAGGCTGGAGAGGAGCAATTAATTTGATTTTTCTTTTTCTCTTTGGAGAGAAGAGTGTTCTGTGCCATGTACCAGGAAGCAGGGAAGAACAGGTGTGCTGACGACAGCTCATCTGCAATTCCCATGCTTTAGTTCACTCGATCTCACAGCAGCCCTGCCGGCTGGTGTTCCTATCCTTCCCATTTTATACAAGGGGAAACTGAATCCTTCAAGATGGGGCACCAGCCAGGGCACTCCCGTCAGTACAGAGAGCCAGGATTGGAAGCCTGCGGGGAGCCGACCTCCAGGACAGGCAGTGGCTCTCGGTCCCTCCGACCAACACTGGGACCTTGCTCTCCTCACTGTGTTGATGTGGGCTGCTTCTACCAGCTCCACTCCAGCTCATAAAACCACTTCTAAGAGGTTTAACAAGAGTGACTTCATTTTATTTTTCTCCCTTACTCATTCCTTTTTTAAAATTATAAAGCAATACTTGCTTACAAAAAGTTTAAGGAGTTTTCTTCCCTAATCATCTCTCAGAAGTAACCACGGTTAATAACTTGGTGTATAGTGTTCTTCCATGCAAATAGGAATCTTTAAAGATATATAGAGATATCTATACACATGTGACTTTTTATTGATACAAAATGAGCACATATAAGCATATATGTCACAGCAACTTTTGTAAAGGTCAAAGACTGGAAATACCAAACACGTCCCTCAAAAGGGATTCAGTGGAATAGATTATGATGCAGACATTTAATAGAATTATTGTTTGGTCATTAAAAAAAAGAGGCAGCTCTCTGTACAGATATGAGAACTCCTTACAACACATTGTTAAATAAAACATTGTATGCACATCATCAACCCACTTAATTTTCCATCACAGCTTCACAGAGAGGCAGATGCCACACAGGCCACCCACCCAGATGCAGAGCCAGATTCCCTGCGTGGACTGGACGGGAGTTTCCCAGCTGGAGTTCTCTCGGCCAAGCTGCCTGTGACATGGGGTTGGAGGTGCTCCAGAGAGTCATGGCCACCCCTGGAGGAAGTGACTTGTGGCTGACTGCTCAAGGGGAAGTCCTGTGGCAGTGGAGTCGTCAGCATTAATTCAAATAAGGTAAGTACTTTGGCAGGGATGGGGGAGGGGCTGAAAGGTCGGGAGTAACTGCGATGACCCCAAACTTGAACTGAAACCTCTGGAAGGGCATTGTATTCGAACTGTTTAAATGACTGCACGGAATCATCTCGTTTTTACATCAGCAGAAGCCTAGGTTCAGAGAGGTGAAGTGACTTGTCTGAGGTCACACAGCACGGTAGTGATTGGGCTAGGTCTGAGGGCCTCTCTGGGGGTGCATCTGAAGTCTCTGTGCCTCAGGGAAGCAGGAGGAGTGGAGATTGGGGCTGTGGCCAGGCTCTTCCCAGCCTTTCTAGGCGTCTCTCTCCTCTTCAGTGTCATCTCAACTTTCCTTTCCCTCCGTTTCTTCCTCCTCTGCCTACAACACTCTTAGTTTGTTCTAAATGCCCCCTTGTCAGAGTTGAGGAACTTGGGGTGACTTGCTGAAGACCCTGGGTGAGGATCCTGGCTTGATGCATTCTTCTTGGAACCCTTGGCTGTTCCTGGGGTGTAAGTGTGTGTGTATGGTGTGAGTGTGTTGTGTGTGTGCTTTGTGTGTGTGGTTTGGTGCCTGTGGTACGTGAATGTGTGTGCATGCACATGTGTGGTGTGATGTATGGAGTGTGTGCACAATGAGTGTGTATGGTGTATGTGCAGGCATGTGTAGAGTGTGCATGTGTGTGTAGTGTGAATGTGTGGTATGTGTATCTGCACGTGTGCAGGGTGTAGCTGGTGTGTGCTCACTTGTTTGTGATGTGCGTATATGTGCACATGTGTTCATGCATGTGTGTACTTGTGTGGGGTATGCCTGTGTGTGCCCGTGCATGCACGTGTGTTTATGTGTGTGTATACGTGTGTGCAAGAGGAAACAGATGGTGACTTCGCTACAGCATTGTTTAGCTGACCCCAGTGCAGGAGCTGCCCTCACCATCTGTGTCCCCCTTTTCGGCAGCCCCAGCCGGAGTTCTGCCTCATGCCACACGTGGGTCCATTCCCGCGGAGTCTGGACTCTGGGTTAAGAGAGGTAAGCGCTCAGAAATAGTAAACCACTGTTTTCTTGCCGGCTGTTTGCCCTTATTAATTCAGGTAGCAATTACCCATTCTGAATATTTGGCAACTAATTAGTTTTCCCGTGGAGATGGCAGAATGAGGAATGCTCTGCTCTGACCTGATCCACTTTCTCAGTTCCCGGGGGCGGGGGTGGGGGGGCTAGGGGAGGGAGGGCACCGAGCGTGGGAGTGAGAGCTGCAGAGAAGTCTCCTCAAAGCCCGGGATGCCCTTTAGCTGCCGGGGTCTTGGCTAAAAATCTTTAGGAGGATAAAAATAACCCACCCGATGTTGGTTTTGTTGGGGCTTTCATGTCACGGGCCCATTTCCTCTGTGGGTGCAGCTCCTGGCAGTGCGCCGGATAACGGAGGAGGTGCTGTCAGCGCAGGCTGAGGGCTGCTCTCCAAGCAAAGAGCCTCCTCTTTTGGGAACCGAGTCCCTCATTTGGACTCGGGATCCATAGGAGACTGGAACCTGGACTGCAGGGACCCGACGCTCAGGGTGAGGGCACCCCTCAGACCCCAAGAGAATGGGGCCTGTGGAACACGTAATTCGGGGACAGGTTGGAAGAGGCACTCAGATGACCGTCTGGCCGAGCTTAGCTGGGAGTTGAATCAGAGATCGTTTCTTAACAACCACTAAGCCCCTTGGCCAACATCTGGCCTATATTTGCCTTTTTAGCTCCTGAGCTTTCTGCTACTGGGAAGAGTTGTCAGTGACATGATCTGGTTCCCGGAGGCACCTCTGAGAAAGGGTTCTAACTGATAGGAGGGTGCATGGACCAAGGCCAGCTCAATCCAGCAGCCTCCTGCATTGGAACAGCCCTCGGGCAGGAATCTATTTTGGGGAAGTGGTAGATGGATGAGCCAACCCATTGCACTGCTTGCTATACCTTTTCTGGTGGTGGGGAGGGGGCTCAGACTACCGTGGGGAGTGAATGCAGTTCAGGGCACCACAGACCAGCCCGCTGGCGGGGGAGGCTGCCTCCAAACGCCTCCCCGCACACTATGTCTGCAGGGATGCAGAAGCCTGTGAGTCACAGGCCTTCTTTCTGCCCAGCACAGTCATGCATTTGTGTCTGTGAAAGGTGCTCTTTGCCCGATGGGGGCTAGGAGGCCTCCAGGCCGATGTCCCCACCCATAGCTGTGTTTTAGAGCCTTGTCTTAGCTGTGGGCAAGACTGGCTGCCCGCCTTCCTCCTTGGACACAGGTCCTCTCCAGAACCTGAGGTGGGCATCAGCATTCTCAGACTGGCACCGGCTGGCTGCATGCCCCCTCCTTCTTCTGTGTCCCTGACACTCAGCATGTACCTGTCCGTCTGCACGCAGCTGGGGCCGGCTCCAGTCAGCTGCACACAGTTTGCCCAGCTCACCTACTTATTGTAGTTCAAGGCCAGGGACCCTGCCTCCTGTGTGTCTGGGGTTTCCCCAGGGCCTAGCTTTCACTCTGGCGGCCCTAGCGGGTGGCCGATGCTGGGTCACGTATTCGGACTGGTTTCCCTAAACTGCGGCAGCTGCAGTTCCTGTACAGATAGGCTCAGCGAAAGTGCCGGAGCCTTGGGTTCAGACCTGGCAAGTCCCGGTTCTGCCGGTTGTGTGTGACCTTGGGCAAATTCTTTCAGCTCCAGGAACCTCGCTTTCCTGGCGATTGCTGTATTTTGGGGGTAGATGACACGCATATTTGTCATTAGAGAGAACCACATGCTCCGGTCCCCAGCGGCGTGCAGGGGCTTCAGGGAAGAGAGTGTGCGGAGGGTGACCTTTGCAGTTTGCAGCTGGACAAGTGGCTTTGGGCCTCCCTGTAATCCCTCACGTGTCTGTAGGGTGAGCAGGCGTCACTCCTTCCTCCCTGGAGCTGAGAGAGTTCTCCTGCTTTGGCCGGGAATGACCGGCTTAGAGCTGAGGTGGGGGTGACACCCAGGTGTTTTCCAGGTCACCCAAGGGACAGGGTTGAAACAAGCACCATCCCAGAATTCCCAGGCTGGGACGTGAAGTGGCTTTGCGGTGCAGACCGGCTGTCTCGCGACGTGGGCCACTGCTTGCTTCCTCCAGGCCACACCTGACCTCGGCCTAGGAGTGAGCTCAAAGCTGCACACACAATCCCTTCAGCTGGATTGGGAAATGCAAAAACACCAGGTGCAGGGCTGTCGGTTAGAGTTTCCATTTACATTACCTGGGGCTTTTCTGTCCGGCTCGCCCTTCCCCCACCACCTTGCACAGGCCTTCACTCCCACAAGCCCAGGGGGTGGCGGTTCTTCCCAGACAGTCCACCTGGGGAATGTGAGCACCAGGCAGGCCTGGCCTCCCGCTGCAGACAGGACACACAGCTTCTGCGGGGGACCTGGCTCTGGCTGGGGAATTTTGACCTGCAAAAGGCAGACAGCCATGTGACAACTGTGGAGGCCGGGATCCTCGGTCCAAACCCCTCATTACCTGGGTGGCCCTGGGCAAGTCAAACCACCTCCGATTTCTCCTCTGCACATGGGGATGTGAATACTTCCTTAGAGGCTAGTGGTGGGGATTAAATAAGCAAAGGATAAGAGAGGGGCCGGAACGGTGGTGCTTGATACGTGGTGGCTGATGTAATCATCACCCCAGCGTTCAGTGCAGGCTGTCTGCCTCTGGCTTCGCGGAGCTGGCACAAGTATCACCTCACTGAAATGGCATAACGCTCTCATAATGTAGACATTATTCTTCTTGTTCTTTCCATTTTACCAGTGAGGAAACTGAGGCACAAAGAAGTGAAATAACATGGCCAAGACGCAGCTAGTCAGCGGTAGAACCCGACGTTGGCATCTAGGCGTGCTGACTTCCAGCACTGTGCTGATGGACTCTGGGCGGGCTGAATTCCAGCACTGTGCTGGAGCTGTTCCTCTCACTCTGCTCCCTCAGTGGCCCCGGACGCCCCTGTGGGTCCCAGGCAGCTGGCATGACCCGCACGCAGAGCCTCGCTGTGGTTAGCATAGAGCCCTGGGGAGGCCAGCTCTAGACCCTGCTGCTCCATTTGCAGGTGGGCTGGGGCAGGAGAGGTTGTGGGGAGGGTGTGGGCTCCCAAGCCAGATGCACCTGGCTGTGCTTCCCAGCTGTGGCATTTACAACTGTGGATTTTGATTTTGTCACTAGTAAGGGTACAGTCAAGAGAAGCCACTAGGCTTAGGCTGTTAGCTTCCCTTCCTTGGACTTACCCAGGTTCCCCTTCTGTGAGCCTGGTTTCCTTCTATGCTTTCTTCATTCAACAAACCTTTCTGGGAAGCTTTTCCCTGTAAATCTCTGGACTAATGAGCAAGACTCAGTCCTCACTCGTCTGTTGAAGGGTGTGTGTGAGTGCATGTGTGTGCATGTATTTGTGTGCTTATGTGTTGCATGTGTGTGATATGTAATTCCAAAGACACAGGAGTAAAATAAGAGCCATCCACAAAGGCCAGAGGAGGGAAGCAGCAAGGCGCTTCCCAGCAGTCCTTGAGTGCAGACACTCAGGAAATGTTTGGAATGAATAGGAGGAAATCAAAGGAGGCTTCCTAGAGGAGGTGGCATTTAAGCTGAGGCTCACGGCATGAGTCCCGTTTTGATTACAGAAAGAGAGAGGCTGCTGTAGGAGCCAGACTCAAAGACATGGAAATACCTAGCCAGAGGCAGACGGCTCCCGAACTGCAGTCTAGCCAGGGTTCCATGGGGCCTTGTTTTGTCACAGGCTGTGTGTTGGGGTTGGGAGCAGCACAGGGTGAGTGAGTTCCTGGAGGAAAGTAATAAAGACCCATCTGTTTGTTCAACAAACATTTACTCGCTATGCACCCGGCCTAGTCTGCAGCTCAGTGAAGACCAGGATGAGGCTGTTGATGGAGCTGGCAGACTAGTGGAGGTGACTAACCCTGGAGCCACTTGGGGCCCCCACAGTGTCCCCGTGCTGGGGTGGGACTTCTGCAAGGCCCTGGGGGCCCTGAGCGGGGAGGGGGAATGGGAGAAGGAGGGCCATGCACAAGGGGTCAGGAAAGAGGGCATCACACAGCTGTGGCTTCCAGGCTACACAGGTGTTGTTGGGAGAGGCGAGGGAGGCCATGAGCCCAACCTATGGGGCCTCGATGTGGGGAGGAGAGAGTCGGTCAGCGTGGGGCAGCTGCTGGCAGATGGCAGGGGCTGGGCACTTGCCTTTTAGGGCAGCGGTGCTCATGCTGCATTGAGCTCAAGTTACCTGGGGAAAGTGCAGATTCGGGGTCCTACTCCCCTGAGACAGAGTCAGTGGGGGCCTGGGGATGTGGATTTTAGTTTTGTGGGTGTGTTTTTGGCACCCTAGGGAATTCTGACGTTAGTTCTTTGCTTAGTAGCCTGGGCAACAAGAGCGAAACTCTGTCTCAAAAAAAAGGAACACCTCTCTAGAAGCACTTCAGGCATCAAAGCTAGAAATTCTTTAAAGTCCATGACGCTGTTGCCTCTGCCTAGAACGCAGAGGCCCCAGGTAAGAGGCATGCAGGAGCATCACCGCGAACCCAGAGTTCCCACCTTCGTCAGTCTGCAGCCACCCGCTTATTTCCTTTCAGGTCACTCCATTTCTTGTATTTCATCACCTCTCTCCTCATTCAAGAAAAGAGTTTCTGATGGCTTATAAAGATATCACAATATATGAACATGGCATAGATTAAAAATGGGGTGAAAAGATGGCAAAACAAAGGCGGGCTCGACGCAGATGGGAAAGCAAGGCTGTTGCCTTGGCCGTCATTTCCTGTCCAGCTCCCATCATTTCTTTCGGAGCATCTGGCTACTTTGTGGGCTGTGTGAAGGATTCGGGGTCAAGCCGCCAGGGCTCCTTCCCCTGCAGAAAACCTCGCATCTCTATAGTAACTACAGCTATCAAATCCACACTTGGTTTGTTGAATGAAACGCGGTGCTTCTTAGTATGGGAGCAATGTCGAGGAAGTCTCGTCTGGCGACAGGAAGGGCTGCGTGCCCAGTGCCACCAGCGAGGTTTTGTGCCTGTGAATGCGGGCCCTGCGCTCGCTCGCTAAGCCAGCCCTGAATGGTCCGCACCGGCTGCAGGGCCACTTGGCCTCTGTGCCTGACCCAAGGTTCCCAGGCCCCGGGGCCCCCAGTTGCCAAGTCATCTCAGAAGGGGTTTTCCAGGAGCCTAAGGGGGCCCAGAGGCCCCCATGTTTTAGGGTGTTTGGTGGAAGGGGACTCAACCACATTGTGTGTGGTCCTTGGTGGAGAGAGATGTGTGCTTCAAGAAGAGCTTCAAAGCAGTGGACTCCATTGGAAGGGAGGCAGCTGAGGTTCTGGAATCTCTGTTTTGTAGATCTCTCCCTGCACACAATCTGCTTTCGTGTTCCTGATGGATTGAATCAAGAGTGAATGAGCTCCTACTTCGCGAAAGCAAAACAAACTAAACGCATCAACCACGACCGCAGAGCCCCCATCTCTCCCAGGAGGGTGAGCCCATGTTGTGTTTTCATTTGTCAGAAATCTATCTTAGGAAGCCATTCCTGAGATCTGTTCTAATTTAGGCCATTTTTAAAAAAAATAATGCAGTTGATTCTTTTCCCGTGATCTTTCTTTTCTCCATGACTTAAATTTCCCCAGGAACTATTCAAATGCCGCATCTGGGGTTTTGTTTTTGTTTTTTGATGAAGTCATGACTTTCTTTAAACAGTAATTATTAAACAAACCAAAGGGAAACCTTCTGTGAGGATGCTGTTTACAAATATCACCACTTTTACAATCAGTAATGGAGGTTGCAAAGTGCAGGATTCTGAGTTCCAGTGAGTCTGGGGAGTTGCTTGAGTCTTCCAATTGGTTCCTGCCTTGTCCAGAGGGTGGTTTCTCGCATGGGAAATGGTCTTCAATGCCCTTCCCTCCTCCTCCTCTCTCCTAACTCGATTTTTCCAGGGCTTTCATGTTTCGCTCCCATCGCAGGGTCGGGAATGCCCTGTGCTTGGTGACCATAGGGTGGTGAAGTCACCCTGCTCTGCTAGAAAAGGGACGAGTGCTGTGTTTTGGGTGGATGACCAAGGGCTCACTATCCCGGTGGCTCATTTCCTGGGGGCCTGTGGGCTGCCGGGAGCACCCTGAGGAGGACAGAGTGGAGTTGCAGCTGCCCATGCACTGCAGAGGGGACACGGGTGTTGTGCAGCATCTCGGGAAGGGCGTGGCAGATGTGGCAGGTGCATGGCAGGGCCATTCCATTCTGTCTGTTGCGGGACCCTCCATCCAGCTCAGGGCCGTGGATTGAACAGAGAGACAGGTATGGCAGTTGAAAAGCAAGGGTGCTCCCAGGTGAGCACTGGGGCTAGTTTTCCAGCTGGCAATGGGTGGGGTGTGGTGGTCAGAGGAGTGGGGTTTGGGTTGATGGCTGTGGCCTGGCTGTGGTGCTGGGAAGGGGTGATGGGAGATTGATGGGAGGTGGCACCCACGTGGGAGAGGAGTTGGCATCACAGCCATGCCCTCGGGGGTTGGCTGCTGCACTGACCCAGATTGGTGGGTGCTCCAGAGGGAGTGGTGAGTGGGAAACTGCACTAGGAACAAAGCTCTTCCTTCCTCCCGGCCCCTCTCCTTCCCTTCTTTCCTTCCTCTCTCCCCACCTCCCTCCTCGCTGTCTCCCTTTTGACCTCCCTCCTTCTCTTTCCCTTTCACCCTCAAAATGTGATCTGAGGGTCCCGGATGCTGGACTCATCTGGGACTGGGTGTGCAGGGTGAAATATGATCCTGTGGACTTTCTGAATTGGGATCCCGGGAAGTGTTCCTCATGGGTGCCCTGTTAATAGCACCTCTGCTGACACTGGAGTGTGACAGCCACCGTTTGAAGGCACAGCGGCCTCTTCCCCTGGGTTAGAGATGTACCGTGACTCCCCAGTCTCTGTTGAAGGCCACGTGTTACACGTTAGTGTCCTGTGGGATGAGCAGTGTATTGTCTGCTGCAGAGTGTAGCACCTTCTTGCCCTGTATTAGCCAGGGTTCTCCAGAGAACAGAACCAACAACATGTGTGTGTATATAGAGAGATTTATTTTAAGGATTTGGCTTACAAAATTACGGAATTGTGTAAATTCCAGAAAATCTGCAGGCTGGCCAGCAGGATGCAGATTGGGAAAGTTTGGGGCTGTGGTTCAAGCCCAGAGGCCTGGCAGGATTCCTTCTTGCTCGGGGAAGGTCACTCTTTAGCCTCTTCAGGCCTTAACCTGATTGGGTGAGACCCACACACACGATGGAAGGTCACCTGCTTTACTCAAAGTCCACTGATTTAAATATCAATCTCAGTCAAAGGCACCCTCACAGAAACATCGAGAATAATGTTTGACCAAATATCTGGGCATGGTGACTCAGCCAAGTTGACACATAAAATTTACCAACACAGCCCCTTATGTCTTTCAAATATCCAGAGGTTTCTCTGGTTCTAGAAGACCGCCATAGGCAAGGTAGGGGTCTCGACCCTGTGGAGCTACAGAAATGCATAAAGCCACGTGAGTGGGCCTGTTCTTTCTGTCAATCATTTGGCATAGAGTATCCATTTTGTGTCCATCATAGGCAAGTGCAAGCCTTATATAATGTTACCAACATAGATCACACCTCAGCATCTTGCTTGATGTGAGTGCTCATTTTTCCATCAAACCTATCCACCTACTTCCTCCCTCCCTCCCTTTTTGCTGTGATTCAGTCCATATTATTGGGCATCTAGCATATTCCAGGCACCAGGCCAAGCACTAGGCAATCAGAAATGGAGAAGACACATCCACTACTAACAGTGAGCCCAGAGGCCAGGAGGGCTGCAGGTGCAGAAGTCAGTCCACGGAAGGTTGGGGCCAGCAGCCTCCTTTCCCCTCTCTGAGCTTCCTTAGCAATGCTAGGTCTTAACACACAGTCCACAACAGTCCTGGGTTGTCCTGGGGACAACACCACATCTTTGTACCTGATGTACCTGTTCTTCTGTACAGAGGCGCCGTGTCCCTTTTGTCAAATTGCGGCCGAGGAGCAGAGCATCGGCATCACCCGGCAGCTGGTTAGAATGCAGCTGCTCAGGCCCCGCCCAGACCCATGAGTCAAATCTGCATTTTCACCAAATCCAGCAGGTGATTCCTGCACGTGTACGTCTGCTACCTGCTTCCCTGGTCTTCATCCCCTGCAATATGCAGAAATGTTTCCATGGAGAATTCCAGAAGAGTTGACAGCCTGGCCACAGGGCTGTTCTTGCGAGATTGGAATTTATTCCTAAGCCACACGGGGAAGCCTCTTCTCAGGCTTATGGGAGGCAGCCTGGAAGCCACTGGTGAAATGTGAGCTGGGAGTGTGAGCCTCTGTGCCTCCGCTGACTTCTGGAGGCATCTCGGGGAGATACGTCACTCCTCCAAGATTGCTTTCTCCTCTGTAAAACAGGGATAATAAAAAAAAATCTTTCTTTCTGGGTTGTTGGGAACACAAGCAGATCCACAGCGTGTGGAGGGCCTGCCCTGAGCCAGGTGTGGCTGCACCCTCATGACAGGCAGAAGGCTGCGCTGGAGGAAGCTGGAGCTTTGGGGCTGGGCCCCTTATCACCAACGCAGGGACAGTGCTTGCTGCACAGACTGTCCCTAGGACTAAGTGAAATTCTGTGAGCAAAACACCCTGAACCGTAGCGTTATTTTTATAACAATCGGCTTGTGTAACTGCCCTGTGTGCAGTGCCAGCCCTTGACTCATACCCAGAGACAGGTGGGGGCAGGTGGAGGAAGGGACCACTGTTGGCTGAAGCAGTGTCTTCTAGATTGTTCAAAGAGGCACCATTCACCTTAGCGTACTCAGGCCTAGATTTCTGAGAGTCCGTAAGAAGGTGCAGAAGTTAATGTGCCATGTTGCTAAGTAGATTTCTTTTTAAAAGGTGTTCTCTTCTAAGGTAGCGACAGATGTGAGGGTTGCTATGGCAACAGGTGTCTGTTTGGAGAGCACCGCACAATAGGTGAGATGGCTCACCAACAATTTATGGTCACGGAAGGTGAGCTTCCTCCCAGGAAATTTTAGTGACGGATCACCTTGCTCTGGGTTTACATTTTCCGAAGCTGGTTTTATTTTGTGCCTTGGGAGACTGGGCAGGATGGGGAAGCCTTTGTGTGGATTCAGAGCAGACTCCGTGCGCAGCAGATGGTCAAAGGGTCAGAGTCTTTTCAAGAATTGAAGGAGATTAAAAAAGAGCCTTGAAAAATTCGATGGTCTAAGATCCTCCGAGAACATTTCACCAGCCTGCAAATTTCTTTGTAGCAAACAGCACTGCAATTTTGCAGAGTTAGGAGTAGAATCTGTAGTTGGCCACAACTTTATTCTTTCCATAGAACAAGTCTTCAATGAGTGCCTCCTGGGTACATTGAAGGTCATGTGCTGGGGAGGGGACCAAGGTGGCATGGCAGGATATGAAGATGAATAAGACCTGGGCTCTGCCCTTCAGAAGTCAAGGTGGGAGAGACAGATGGACATAGGCCGATTGTGGAGAGGCTTAAGCTGCTATGAACGTATAGCTGGGGTGTAGTGGATGAATTTGGAAAACTTGGCTGGGGATCATGGAGCATCCTCAGTGTGGGGTTGAGGAGTCTGAACTCTCTCCCTCTGGAGACTTTTCTTCTGGGAATGAGATGTGGTCAGCCAGGCCCATCGTGGTTAGCAGGTGAGGGCAGCATGGGAGGGAGAGGACAGGCAGGGGGCTGGAGGACTCTGTCAGGGCAAAAGGTGACGGATGGGCACCAGTCCTCAGTCCTGCATGCCAAGACTGTCCAGGTCCCAGCTAACAGCCTGGGCTCTGCTGGTTCCCCAAAGTCCTGGGAGTTTGCTGTCTCTTCTAGGCCTGGGTCAGGGTGGAGAGGTGGTTCTCTGCAATCCCCCCAGAGGGCTTCCAATCTTAGCCAGAGGGGAAGGCCATTGGTGAAGTGCCTGGGTCCCGAGTTCTGGGCCAGAGCCCTCTTGTGCATCTGCCGGGCACCTTTCTCATCCCAGACATTCTTCTCCTGGTGGGTTCCTGGACCCCAGTCAGCTCTGGCCAGGATCAGATTCCCAGGCCTTGCTCTCTAACCAGGCTGGCCCATCCTCGCCTGGAGCCACTGCCCAGAGACCCAGCATGGCCCGTGGATGAACCCCAGGGATGTAAGCCTTATTGGACTGAGATAGGAGAGCCAGGAGTAGGAACAGAGGAGGATGTGTCCAGAGCCTGCTGGAAAGAGCCGTCATCCACAGGAGCCCCCTGGAAGCTCTGCTGCAGCACCTGGCAACCTCTGGTGCAACAGCCACGTGACTAGACACAAGCTGAACCCCAGAACAGGGCAGGGAGCCAGATGGGCACCTGAGCTGTGGATCCTCAGCCCTGTCTAAGGAGGACACAGATGAGACCGCACGGGAGGCCGGGCCAGAGGGGCTCTTCTCGCCGTGGATTCTGCACCCTCCTCTGCTTCCTGCCCATCTGCACTTGGCTGCACCAGTGGACAGCGAGCCCTGGAGAGCCACGGAGCACCCATCTGTTCTGGGCAGGGCATGGTCTCAGCTTGCTCCCCGCCTTCCCCAGCCATAAAGTAGAGATAAATCGTACCTGCTTGGGCTGCCTCAGTTCACCCAGGGGGTGATTTAATGCAAAAGATTTGAAAGCTCTAACTAGGATTCCACTCCATGGGATTTGAAGGATGAAACAAAAACATTTATTTTGTTCCAGAACATAAAACTGATACATGTTTTCAGCATACAATTTGGAAAATACACACAAAAAAGAGAAGATAGAACAACCCATTATGCCAGTGCTCAGATGCAAACGCTGTTCATATTTTGTAATATTAACTGCCATTCTTTTCTCTGTGTGTAGACACACATTTCTACCTTTTATTTCCTTTGGTCCAAATAGGATCATAGTTCATGAACAGCTTTGAAAACATTTCTTTTCCATTTAACAACACCTTAGAAACATGTTTTCTTATCAAACCTTCGGATGTAACATCATTTATGATTGCCTGTAATTTCATCCTATGTATGGGTCCCACATTTTGTTCACTGGGTGTCTTCAATGCTCCTTTAGGTTGCTTCCAAATTGTCTCTACTGTGAGCAGTAGTGCAATGACTGGTTTTGCTGTGTACCTCTGCCTTTTGAACTGTACAGTTGTAATAGGAGATATCTTAGTGTAGGCAGAGTCTTCATTCTAGGGAAATGCATGCCCAGGTCTCCCTGTCGCCTCAGGCCCGGCCCACCCATGCTTCATGCTGAGCACGTGCTGGTCTTTGTCCTGGCATTTTCCGCGCTCTGTGTCTTTGCTTTGATTTTTCTGTGTCTCTTCTGTCTTAAATGTGAAAAAAGGTGCCCCTGCTTCTGAGAACAGAGAGAACCAAGTGACAGGCCCCGAATTTCCTGGTGCACCAGTGAATGGCCACTTCGCTTGCTGTCCGTGAGCTGATCGTGAAGCTGGATGGTTTTTAACCTGGGCCAAGCCATGGGTTGTCCCCGCCTTTGTCCTGTGATGCTTTCTTCTCCTGCGCCAGCACTGAGCTCGTCTTCCAGGGCTTGCCTCCCACTGTGGTTCTATCTATTCCCCAGCGCAGGTGTCCTCCTAGCCACTGATTTGCTGGTCACAGATGCAAAGACCCACCCCTGGAGGGTGGAGGCCCTCCCTGAAGATGGCCCCACCCCGGCAATGCCATTTCCTGCCCAGCATTCAGGACTCCATGAAGCAGAATTGTAGGGTGCATGCTGGTGCCTTTGAGGGGCAGCCTTGAGTCTTCCCCTGAGAGTGTCCCCACCAGGCAGAGGGAAGGAACAGGAACCACTGTTCACTTGATATCTGTTAGGACCTAGGTCCTGGCCTGGGCACTCACCTGCCCTCAGATTCGGGCTGCCTTGTCACACTGCGGTCAGAGATGTGTCAGGTGGACCATAGGATGATGTGTCAGCAATTTCTAACCCACAGATCTAGACCCAGCAGCCCCCTCCAACAGGTTTGGGAGGCAAGTCACCCAGCACACAACTCAGCTCAGACAGACTTGGTTTGGATGACAATGGTGGGAACCATCACACAGCCAGCTGCATGAGGCCAGCAGGCAAACTTCTCTAGTCCACGGGCCGGACTGGCTATGCAGGTTCAGCAAAATCCCAAATCCCGCTCTCTGGAGCAGACTCCCATTAACCCTGTGCACAGTACTGATATATATGGCAGATGTCAGCTTATTATTACTGTTAGTATTCTACCATTTTATTGAGGCCTGACTGACATATGAAGGCTGTCCATATTTAATGTATACAACTTGATGAGTTTGGAGCTAAGCATACCTCTGTCAAACCATAACCACAATCTACACTGTAAACATTTCCACTGTTTCCAAGAGTGTTCTCCTCCCTTCTTTGCTTATTGTATCATGTTAAATATTTTTTTGTGACAAGGCTGGGCAAGGTATGGCTCACGCCTGTAATCCCAGCACTTTGGGAGGCCGAGGTGCGTGGATCACGAGGTCAGGAGATCGAGACCATCCTGGCTAACACGGTGAAACCCCATCTCTACTAAAAGTATAAAAAATTAACCAGGCGTGGTGGTGGGCACCTGTAGTCCCAGCTACTCAGGAGGTTGAGGCAGGAGAATGGCATGAACCCAGGAGGCGGAGCTTGCAATGAGCCGAGATCGTGCCACTGCGCTCCAGCCTGGGCAACAGTGCAAGACTCCATCTCAAAAAAAAAAATAAATTTTGTGACAAGAACACTTAACATAGATCTATATTTTTAGTGAACATTTAAATAGACAGTACTGAACGATGTTGATAATGCAATACTGAACAATATGAGATACTGAACGATATTGATAATGACAGGCACTAGACTGTACAGTAGACCTCTAGGTCTTATCCGCCACACATAACTGAAACTTGGTGCCCTTTGACCAACCCCTCCCTGTTTCCCTGTCCCCCGGTCCCTGGCAACCACCATGCTACTTTCTGCTTCTATGAGTTGGACTATTTCATTCATAGATTTTTTCCGCTTACTGAGTTATCATTGACAAATATTGTATAAATTTCAGGTGCACAACATGATGTTTGATACATGTATACATTGTGCAAGGGTTACCACAATCTAATTTACTTATCCATCACCTTATATAGTTAACTTGTGTGTGTATGTGGAGACAACTTAGGGTCTACTTACTATCTTAGCAAATCTCACGTATACAATACATTAACTCTAATCACCATGCTGTACATCAGCTCTCTAGAACTTATTCATTCTGCATAACTGAAACTTTGCATGCTTTGGCCAACATCTCCCCATTTCCCTCTCCTTCCAGCCCCTGGTAACCACCATCCCACTCTCTGCTTCATTTCTGGCTTATTGCACTTAGCATAATATCCTTCAGGTTCATCCATGTTGTCCCAAATGATAGGATTTCCTTCCTTTGTAAGGATGAATAACATTCCCTGCTGTGCATATGTGTGTCTATCAACTCTTCCTTATCCACTCATCCATCTGTGGACACTGAGGTTGTTTCCATGTCTCTGCCATCGTGAATAATGCTATAGTGAACATGGGAGTACACATATCTCTTCAAGACCCTGATTTCAAATCCTTTGAATGTATATCCACAAGTGGGATAAGTGGATCCTGTGGTATTTCTATTTTTAACTTTTTGAGGAACCGCCATACTGTTTTCCACAGAGGCTACACCAATTTGCCTTCCTGCCTACAGTAACAAGGGCTCTTTCTTTTCCATATCCTTGCCAATACAACCTTTTTTTTTTTTTTGGTAATTGCCATCTTAACAGGTGTGAGGTGATATCTCACTGTAGCTTTGCATTTCCTTGATTATTGGTGATGGTGGGCACTCTCATATACCTGTTGGTCATTTGTATATCGTCTTTGGAGAAATGTCTACTCAGATAACTTGCCTATTTTTAAATTGGGTTATTTTTGCAATCTACTCATCTGACAAAGGGCTAATATCCAGAATCTACAATGAACTCAAACAAATTTACAAGAAAAAAACAAACAACCCTATCAAAAAATGGGCGAAGGATATGAACAGACACTTCTCAAAAGAAGACATTTATGCAGCCAAAAGACACATGAAAAAATGCTCATCATCACTGGCCATCAGAGAAATGCAAATCAAAACCACAATGAGATACCATCTCACACCAGTTAGAATGGTGATCATTAAAAGTCAGGAAACAACAGGTGCTGGAGAGGATGTGGAGAAATAGGAACACTTTTACACTGTTGGTGGGACTGTAAACTAGTTCAACCATTGTGGAAGTCAGTGTGGCAATTCCTCAGGGATCTAGAACTAGAAATACCATTTGACCCAGCAATCCCATTACTGGGTATATACCCAAAGGATTATAAATCATGCTGCTATAAAGACACATGCACACGTATGTTTATTGCGGCACTATTCACAATAGCAAAGACTTGGAACCAACCCAAATGTCCAACAATGATAGACTGGATTAAGAAAATGTGGCACATATACGCCATGGAACACTATGCAGCCATAAAAAATGATGAGTTCGTGTCCTTTGTAGGGACATGGATGAAGCTGGAAACCATCATTCTCAGCAAACTATCGCAAGGTCAAAAAACCAAACACTGCATGTTCTCACTCATAGGTGGGAATTGAACAATGAGAACACTTGGACACAGGAAGGGGAACATCACACACTGGGGCCTGTTGTGGGGTGGGAGTAGTGGGGAGGGATAGCATTAGGAGATATACCTGATGTTAAATGACGAGTTACTGGGTGCAGCACAGCAACATGGCACATGTATACATATGTAAAAAACCTGCACGTTGTGCACATGTACCCTAAAACTTAAAGTATAATAAACTGGGTTATTTATTTTGCTATTGAGCTGTAGGCGTTCCTTATATATTTTAGATATTAACCCCCATTATCAAATATATGGTTTGCAAATATTTTCTCCCGTTTTTTAGGTTGCTTTTTCATCTTGGTTATGGCTTCCTTTGTGGTGCAGAAGCCTTTCAGTTTGACACAATCCCACTTGTCTAATTTTAAGTCTTGCTCTATTTTTGTTGGTCTGTAGTGTTGTTTAAGTCTGTTGTTTCCTCACTGATTTTCTGTCTGAATGATCCATCTATTATTGATAGTATTGAATTATGCTATTATTGCATTATTTTCTGTTTCTGTCTTAAGACCAGCCTGGCCAACATGGTGAAACCCCGTCTCTACTGAAAATACAAAAATTAGCTGGGTGTGGTGGCAGGCACCTTTAATCCCAGCTACTTGGGAGGCTGAGGCAGGAGAATCACTTGAACCTGGGAGGTGGAGGTTGCAGTGAGCCAAGATCTCACCATTGCACTCCAGCCTGGGGGCAATAGTGAGACTTCATCTCGAAAAAAAAAATTTGTACATGTTTACTTTATAACTTTAGCTGCTATGATGTTGGGTGCATATACATTTATAATTGCTATATCTTCTTGTTGAATTGACCCTTTTATCATTATGTAATGACCTTCTCTGTCCCTTATGACAGTTTTTGACTTAATGTCCATTTTCTGTGATATAATTATAGCTACCCTGCTTTCTTTTGCTTACCATTTACATGGAATATCTTTTTTCCATCCCTTCACTTTCAGCTTCTGTATGTCCTTAAATCTAAAATGAATCTCCTATAGATAGTATATAGTTGGATCTTGTTTTTTATATATATATCCAGGCTATATCTTCTGGTTAGTGAATTTAATCCATTTATATTAAAGTAATTATTTATAGCTAAGTACTTACTATGACCATTTTAAAAATTGTTTTCTGTTTTGTAGTACTTTTGATTCTTTCTTCCTCTCTTGTATATCTTGGTGATTTGATGATTTTTTTGGTCATGATATACTCAATGATTATATTATCTTTATGGTATCTACCACAGGTTTTTTTCTTGTGGTTATCATGAGGTTTGCATAACATTTTTTATAGTTATAATAGTCTGTTTTAAGCTGATAACAACTTCAATTACATACAAACGCTGTACACTTTTACTGCTCCCCTCCTTCACTTTATGCTATTGATGTCAAAATTTAATTTATATTGTGCATTCATTAATAAATGTTTATGGTTATAGCTATTCTTTAGACTTTTGTCTGTTAACTTTTAGACTTGGATTAAAAATGATTAAGCAGGCCAGGCATGGTGGCTCATGCCTGTAATCCCAGCACTTTGGGAGGCCGAGGCAGGCAGATCATGAGGTCAGGAGTTAGAGACCAGCCTGGCCAATATGATGAAACCCTGTCTCTACTAAAAATACAAAAATGAGCTGGGTGAGGTGGCACACCCCTGTAGTCCCAGCTACTTGGGAGGCTGAGGCAGAAGAATTGCTTGAATCCCGGAGGGAGAGGTTGGAGTGAGCGGAGATTGTGCCACTGCACTCTAGCCTGAGTGACAGAGTGAGACTCCATCTCAGAAACAAACAAACAAACAAACAAACAAACAAAGATTAAGCACCACAATTACAGTATTGTATTATTCTGTATTTATTTACCTTTACCAGTGAGATTTATACTTCCATAAGCTTTTGTGTTGCTATTTAGTGTCCTTTCATTTCAATTTGAAGAACTGTCTGTAGGATTTACTGTAAGGCAGGTCTAGTGGTGACAAACTCTCTCTCAGTTTTGTTTGGGAAAGAAAGCGTTTATCTTGCCTTCATTTTTAAAGGACAGTTTTTTTGTTTGTTTGTTTTTGTTTTACTTTCAGCACTTTGAAAATGTCATCCCACTTTCTCTCCTAGCCCACAGTTTCTGCTGAAAGTCTGCTGACAGTCTTACAGAGGTTGACCTGTATGTGAAGAGTCGGTTTTCTCTTACTGTTTTCAAAATTCTCTTTATCTTTGACTTTTGACAATTTACATACAGATAGTCCCTGACTTATAATGGTTTTACTTATAATGTTTTAACTTTAGATGGTGCAAAAGCAATATGCTATGCATTTAGTGGAAACAATACTTCAAATTTTGAAATTTGATTTTTTCCTGGGCTAGTGATATGTGGTGGGATACACACTCCTGATGCTGGGCAGTGGCAACAAGCTGCAGCTCCCAGCTAGGCACTCAGTCATGAGAGCAAACAGCCAATACCCTGCAGTTTTGACTTATCATATTTTCAACTTACCACGGGGTTCCTGGGACATAAGCCCATCATAAGTTGAGGAGCATCTGTATAATGTGTCTCAGTACAGACCTCTTTAGGGTCAACATATTTGGCACCCTTTAGGCTTTATAAATATGTATGCGAGAATTTCCTGCTTGAGGGTGTCCAGTAAGTCCCACAGGCTGGCTTTCTTCACTCTTTTGAATTCTTCTGTTTGTTTTCTCCTCTGATTGTTAACTTAAAATGACCTGTCTTTGAGTTTGCTGATTCTTTCTTTTACTTAGTCTAGTCTGCCCTTGATGCTCTTCCAATCCTGCAGAGTTGAGCTGGCTGCTGAGATCCACTCCAGGTGCTGAGATCTGTGTTTTGCCTGCAGGGGAGTATGGGGTGTCATCTGTAGGGGCTTGTGAGGTAGTGACTGCAGAGGTGCATGTGGGCTGACTTCTGGGGTCTGTGGGTAGGCCAGTTGGCTGGTGTGGTCTACAGATAGGCTGGCTGGTGTGTGGAGGGGTCCACAGCTGGGACAGCTGGCAGGCCAGCTTGTGGGGTCTTTGGGCTGGTTGTTGGCATATGCATGCCAGTTGCTGTGAGCACCAGCCCCTTTTCTTTATTCTTAGTTGACCCCAGGCAATCGAGCCATGCCAATTTCCTCAATGTTCTGGGCGAGGTGCTAGAGAGGAGAAATGGGCCTCCTGGGATGCGTCCTGAAAGGCTGGGGAAGCTGGATGCTCACTTTGCTCTCTCTTTCCCTCATGGGAAAAATTGTAGGCCAAGAGCATCTTTCAGTGCTTAGCTGTGCCAGCTTGGGGAAGGGGTGTTGTGGGTGAAGTGAAACTACTCTTCTTACCCTTTCCATTGGGACTGTTCTTGTATTTTGTGCTTCACCAGGGTGCTGGGACCTTTCAACTGGATTCTGGAACTCTCCTAAAAATATTTTTACCCGTGGATGCTTGTTAAATCCATGTGTCTGTGAGGAGACAAGGGCCAGGACCTCTTATTCTGGTATCTTGCTGTTGTCACTCTTCTTTATAAGGAGAAATCCATCTGTCAGAGGGTTTGGAGAGCTGAATCCTCTGGTTTCCCTATTCTGTTTGGGGAAGTGTACCTGGCAGACCTCTTCGGCTGCCTAGTGAGTGTGGAATCAGAGCCAGAGAGCAGGTGATTTGGTTTGAATGCTTACTAACTTCAGGCACTGGTGCACTTATCTCCTATCTCCATAGTGAGGTGAGCCTGCCACTGAGACTGGAGAATTACAATTCATCCTCAGACAGATCTGATTTTCTTCTAGATTCCTATGGGTTTCCATGGGTGTCCTTTTCCCATTCTAAACAAAAGAGTTTCTACTTATTTATGCTAATTTCAGAGGGGCTGCCTTTACTTTCTTCATATTTCACATTTATCTGTAGACAGTCTGGTCCTAGGTAAATGGTGTTTCCTGTACAATTGTTCCAGCTTCTCAGCACCCCGTGAAGGACTCTTTGGGGTTTCATTGAATTCATGTCTACTTATTGGTAGCTTTTCCTTTTCTGGGGATTGGTTTTTGGTTTCCCCGCCCACCCCCCTTTTTTTTCCCCTAGCATCTCATATGCTGCTCAGTCTGTAGGAAGGCACTACAAAAGGCCTTAGCTGGAGATTTTGCTGTTCTGCTCTAGAAAGGGGCTGTGACACCAGCATGAGTGATTTTAGGGTGCAAATTCGCAGGTCCTGGAACTGATGTACTTTTAGGCTCATTTTTTTTAACATGAAAATATGAAATTTTAAATACAAAATTAGGTATAAAATGAATATCTATTTAGAAAGGGCCTAGGTCAGTGAGGGGCCCGAAGCTTAGCTTCCTGAAGTACAGAGAAACTTGGCTGCTGGCAAGGTGGGGTGGGTTTGGGCTCCGGAGGACCCAGGATTATGGATCATGGACTCTCACAAAGAAGACTTAAAAGGTTCTTATGCCTAAACTTAAAAGTCTCTAATTGATAACACTTACACAGATAATTCATGCACATGCTCTCATACATATAAATGAAGAAACAATGCAGAAGAGCATAGAGCGAAAGGGGAAATGCTCTTCTAATCATGATCGCCCGACCTGCTTTCTCCCATAAATAATCCCTATGAACAATTCAGGGTGTCTCTCCCAGGCATTTTTCTTAACCTCTAAATATGTATGTGTACATTTGCCTCATTATTTTAAAATGATGCACAATAATCTATAATATGTCTGCTCGAAGTTTATTTGGACAAACACTTACTGATAAGTATTCAGGTTTATTTCAGTCGGTTGCTTTTACATGGCGGCAGTTACCATCGTTTTACCTACATTTTTCTGCACATATGGGCATATGGGGATATTTCCATGACATAGACAACTGGAAATTTCTCACTAGGTAAAAAAGTGTGAAGATTAAAATTTTGATAGATTTAATGTTGTCCTTTGAAAAGACTACCATAATTTACACTCCTATCAATCATATAATAGTACATCTTTTATATGTTCCTATCGGTATAACTTTTCAGCAATATAATGGGTAAAATATATTTTTGGGTTTTTTGAATTTTTTTTGATATGGATGTGCTTCATTGCTAATAAAGTTTGACATCTTTTTTTATATGATTACTGTTTTATTTATATATCTTCTCTGTGAATTATCTGCTGATATTCATTGCTTTATTTTCTTTTGAATTGTTGGTCCTTTAGAATGTGTCGGTGCTCTTCCATACTGTAGATGTTATCCATGCTGTGTATCCTTTCTGCCTTTCTGCAAGTTAGCTTTAAACTTTGTTTATGGTGCCTTTGGTCATAACATTTTTATATTTATGTGACCAAACTTGTCAATCTTTTTCTTATTTCATCTGGGTTTTTTTTTTTTTTTGCTGGTGAAGGGAGAGTAACACTTATGAAGCACTTTTCCATCCCTAGATTTAAAAAATGCTTCTTATATATTTATTTCAATAATTTTATAATAAAATTTCATGAATCCATTTAAAATTTATTTTTAAATATTTTAAAATTATAATTTAAAATATTTACAATAATATTTTAAAATTATTTAAAATATTTTATACTTTATACTGTTTATATATTGTATAATATTTATTATAATTTAAATTATTTTAAAAATAATTTCTAAGTCTTTCTATCACTTTTTGAAAGGTTGGTATTTTTTCAGTGATTAGAAACATTTACTGTTCTGGTTATCTATTGCTGCAGAACATATACCGCTAGACTTAGTGGCACAGAACAATCACAACTTGATTCTGCTCGTGAACTCTGAAGTCTGGGAATTTAGGCAGAATGGGGATTATCTGGCTCTGCTCTACCATGTCTGGGGCCTCAGCTAGGAAGACTTGAGTGGCTGGGGTGGTGTGAACAGTGGGGGACTGGGATCATCTAAGGGTTTTTCACTGACGTGTTTGGGTACCTGGGCTGGGATGACTCAAAAGTTGGGCTCAGCTGGGAACAGTCCTTGGAGTGCCTAACTTGGCATCTATATGGCTTGGGCTTCCTCACAGTATGGAGGCCTCAGGGTGGTCTGAATTGTTCATGAAAGCTTAGGACACCAAGAGCTAGTGTTGCAACAGAACAGGGAAGAACCTGCATGGCCTTTTGTGACCTCACCATGGAAGTCAGACATGTCACTTCCATTGGTGGACGGTCACATGTCCACCCAGATTCAAACAGAGGGGACATAAACCTCACTTCTCAATGGGAGAAATGTCAAATAATTTGTGGATATGTTTTAAAGCTGCTTCAGCCTCCCTTATCACATATTAAATTTCCATTTATAATGGATCTGTTTCTAGACTCTAACATGTCCCAGTGGTCTATTTGTTTAACCCCGCTCCAACATCACCTGCCATCCTACAGACTTTTCTTCTCGGTTATGACAATATTTTAAAATTTCTAAAATAAAACTTTGGTTAGAAAGTAATATTACCTGTAAGCAATGATTTTTTTTGTGTGTCCATTGGGGGTTCATGGAGTTTTTAGGGTGGGTACACATGATATTATGCGCTGACATCTTGTAATTATATCTCTACTTCTTAGAGGAGAATTTCAGCACCTGTTGAGTTCATCTACCTCACCCCTGACCATTTTATAGGGCAAAGAAGCCCATGCAAAGACATTAAGTGGTTTGGCCATGGTCCCTAGCATGTTGGAGGCAGGGCTGGCCCCGGAACCCAGGTCTCCTGACTGCAGCATGGTGCCCTGCCTATCAGGCTGGCTGGATTCTTCACACCCCAGCCTTCGTTGGTTACATTGTGCTCACTATTGATGGTTGCCTGTGGCCGTTGACAAGGGTTTTGGTTACCTGTATGTATGATGCTGACAGTAAACTGTGGAGCAAACGCGCCTCCTGCACGGTGAGACAGCCCCCAGGTAGAAACGGCGTCTTGGCTGGTGCCCCACACTGCACGGTTACTTCAACCTTCATGCACTGAGCACTGCACCAACTGCCAGAAGAATGTATTGGCCATTTTCATCATTTCTACACTGGATGCTGGGTTTGGGATTTAGAGATCAGCTGTGGAGTAGGCTGACCTCTTACCAATGCCCTGGGAAAATGCGGTTCAAATTAATCGTCATTCCCTGGGCTGTTGGGAGCTGCTTGCAGGGAATATCTCCCTGGAGGTCTCTTTTTTGCTTTGCCCTGAACTTTAAGACCCTCAGAACTTTCTGTAAGAGGCTGGCCTTTTAGAGCTGAGAGGGACTTCTGTAACCTAAACTAGGTTAACCAGACTTGGATATTTGGCAGACATTTTCTTGAAAATAAATGAAGTAAGCCTGTGGCTTCAGGAAAAATAACTGATAGTATCTGTTGCCATACAATTAGACCTTTCGTGTGAAAATTAAAATTTTAGAAAACTTGTATCCATTGCTGTGAGCTTGATAGCTTCCTAACACCTCCGGACTTTTCTGATGGAATTCATGATCATATTAATGCACTGGCTGTGTAATGAAATGTGTTGACGTTTGATAGATCACACGTCAGTGAATCAATATTTGCCAAATGACCAATACATTTATTGCAAAATCATGAGTGGGTAAACAAATGATCTATTCAAAGTGCAGGATAGCTAATAGATTTTAATGTAGTCATATAAAAAAAATAGGTGAGATGGGTTCTCATTCAACAGTGCAGCTAACCTATGAGAAACTATCATGATTTGAATTTTGGTATAGTATGGAAGAGGAATAGCCACAATTGTCTGAAAAGTCTATTACAGACATGTCCCTCTTTTCTAGCTACATATTTGTTTCGGGCTGAATTTTCTTCACATGCCTCAGCTAAAGTGATCTAATGGCCCAGGCTGAGGGCAGAAGCAGATCTGACAACCTGGCTGTTTTCTAAGTCAGACACCCAGGAGCTTTGAACAGGCATAAATTATTGCCATTCTTCTCACTGATATTTTTGTTTTGAAAAGTATAGTGGCTGGGGCACGGTGGCTCACGCTTGTAATCCCAGCACTTTGGGAGGCCGAGGCAGATGGATTACTTGAGGTCAGTAGTTCGAGACCAGCCTGGCCAACATGATGAAACCCTGTCTTTACTAAAAACACAAAAATTAGCTGGGCATGGTTGTGGGCGCCTGTAACCCCAGCTACTGGAGAGGCTGAGGCAGGAGAATCGCTTGAAACCGTGAGGCAGAGGTTGCAGTGAGCTGACATTGGGCCACTGCCACTCCAGCCTGGGTGACAGAGCAAGACTCTGTCTCAAAAAAAAAAAAAAAAAAAAAAAAAGAAAGAAAGAAAATGTAGTTATTTTTCTTAAAATATGAAATTTATGTTTACATGTCATGAATTATTGTTATTTTTGATACAAGTTGATACATATTTTAAAATTTTCTCAGTTTTAATTTGTAAAACAGCAAATGCCATCAAATCTAAACTCACATGAACAAAAGCTTTTGAGGATGCTGAATAATTTTTAAGAGGGCAAAGTGGTCCTGAGGCCAAAAAATCTGAGAGAGGCTGCTTTTCAGAAAAACCTACCTTAGTTTAAACAGTTAAGAGACCTCTGCACAGGCACCTGGTTGGTGAGGCCTATGCCAGGTGCAAGGGCGGCCCCCCGGCTGTTACCTGTGAGCTTTCACCAGGTCTGACTTCTGCCTTTTAGGCAAATGACCTGGATCCTGTGGGGCATGACTCGGAGACCACTGGGCATGTCTCCTCTTCGGCGTGCTATTTAAAAGCAAATGAAATGGTACCAGCGTGTATTTCTGAACGAGTGTGAAAAGAGAACGTCAGAATAGAAAGTTCAACGGTAACTGTGCAATGAGTAATGTGGGTGTTCTCTAATGGGGACCAGGAAAAGGGAAACTTGTCGGGAAGACGGGGTGTATGCTGATGTCAGGAGGTCTTGTGTGAGGCTGCTGAGGCCCTCCCAGATCTGCTTCACATCCGCTTCTCACATCTGCATCTGAGGCCCCGCTGTCTCACCCCCGAGTGTGGAAAAGGGGGACTCGGCTGCACCCTCCCTGTGCTCGCCCCCATTGTTCTCTACACCCTCTGTGCGTGTGCTGCTGAGTTTATAGTCCGGGATTGTGGGTGGAAAGACAGCTTTGTATTTCTGAATGTTAAGAAGATAGAGTAAAGCCACTTCAGTGTATTCTTTTTTTTTTCCCGCAAAGGTATATCCATGGACAATTTTCACCTTTGTCTTTCCTGGGATTATGTGTATATGCCCTCTGTCCCCACCCTGTTCTGGATTCAGAGATGAATTGGACTTGTCAAGAAAGTGCTCAAAGTCTCGTTGGGAACTAGATAGAAAGATCGAAAACTACACAGGGGTCTGAGGGGATGTGATGAGTCATCTTCCAGACAGTGACTGCAGTGGGCGTCTAGAGAGGGCTGTGCCCTGACGGTGGTGTGGTGGGGTAGTGAGAACGGATCCGGGGAGAAGGAGATTTGGGGGAGGGAGAAAGTAGTCACATGGGGCTGCATAGAAGCAGGTGTTCAGAGGGAAGGGAATTGAGAACTGCTCCCCAGGAGAGCTGGAAGGCTAAGTCCAGGTGACCCATACGGAGTCACCAGGTAGTGAAGACAAGAGCAGGGTGCAGGCATGGGGAGGCAAACCCAGATGATTTTCTGAGCAGTTGGCTTGTGGTCATGAGTGTTTTGATTTCACTGATCCCGCTGAACACACACTGCCTCTTGCCAAGTCCAGCCTTGAAGAGTTGGAGTCATCTGGAAAAATTCATAATTAAGGGAGGGCATGAACTTGACCTTGAAGGGCCACCAGGATTTGGGTAAGAAGAATGGGAAAAGCATTTGAGGGTTAGGAAAGGGGTAGATGAAGGCTTAGAAGTGGGAAGGTGCCAGGCATGTGGACCGGGGGACTGGAGCCAGGGGGTGGTGTGGGGAGTGGGCCGGGCTGTGAAGCTGAAGGCCCTGCAGGCCAGACTCAAGCATGGTCCTTGCCTGTTGGCTGTGGGAGCCACGGATGGTCTTTGAACAGCAATTAGGACTGTATGACAGGGCCCTTATCATGACACCTGGGAGTGACTGAAGGAGCAGTGGAAACGCCAGGACCATTAGGGTTTCTCTTCATTGAGGGCAGTCAAAGAGAAAAGGAGAGATGAAAAAAATCACTGCTTTAGAGGAATTGGGGGCTGACTGGAATCGTATGGCAAGGGAGCGGAGGAGTGAGGGATGGTGCCAAGTTTTCGGCCTGACACCAGCGAAATACAAATACGCTTGTGTTTCTTTACATAGCCGAGCGCGCAGATGATCTTTAAGACGTGCTCGTCTGATTTGGCACTTGGATTCTGGGAGGAACAGGAGGAAGAAATCTCTCAGACTGGGAATCAAGTTTTAGCTCCCCTTGGGGCTATTATTATTACCTAAGGAACACAGTCAGGCTCCTGGGTGAAGAATCAAACTAAGGACAGTGGTGTCTGTGACCTGGGCTCCTCCATGGGCCCGTGTGGCCGGCAGCCTCTAGGACTGCCTGGTGACCCCCACTGCTGTTGTCACAGCCTCTCATCGTGCCCATCCCTGGAGCGTGGGCTGGATCTCAGGACTTGCTTCTCGTGGATAGACCACAGACTACAGCAAAGGTGACAATATGCCGCTTCCGTGATGAGGCCACATGTCTTGCTCACTGTCACTCATGCCTTTGCTTGGTCACTCACCCTGAAGGAAGTCACTGGCCTCGGGACAGGCCCCCATGTAAGGAATCGAGGTCTCCAGCCAACAGCTATGTGAGTGAGCTTGGAACCAAATCCTACCCCAAGCAGGCCCCGAGATGACCACAGGTTGTCAGCTTGATTGCAGCTTGTGAGATGCCCGGAGCCAGGGGGACCAGCTGGCCACTCCCAGGTCCCCGGCCCACAGGGACTATGACATAATCTACTTGTGTTGCGTTAGGCTGCTGAACTTGGGGAAATTCATTGCACAGCTATAGATAGCCGACACATCCAAACTCTCCTGGTGGTGTTGAAGAGCACTGGCCCCGAAGCCAGATGCCTGTGTGCAAATCCTGGCTCTGCCATTTACAAGCTGCACAACCTTAAGTAAATTAGTTGGTTCTATGTGCCTCAGTCCCTTCACCTGTAAAATGGGAATAAGAATAACGCCTGTGTCATGAGGTGACTGTGAGGATTAAATAAGGTAGCCCCTGCACATCGCTTGGCATCGTGTTAGCACTCAGTCAGTATCAGCTCCCATCCCCACGATTACTATTGTCTACCCTTGAAGGCCAGCCAAGGGCCCATCCCACCTATAGCTTCTTCTTACTGCCCCAGCACCTGCTGGCCTCTCCTTGGCACTGTACACTCTGGTTCTCCATTAAAAACTCTTGAATTTGTTCTCTGAGGGTCTCAGATGTGTCACCTCTTCTCTTCCCAACTGTGTTAGTCCATTTTGCATTGCTGTAAGGGAAGACCTGATGCTGGGTAATTTACAAAGAAAAGAGGTGTATTTGGCTTACCGTTCTGCTGGCTGTACAAGCATGGGAGCTGGCATATCTGCTTTAGGCAAGAACATCAGGAAGCTGCCACTCATGGCAGAAGGTGAAGGGGAGCAGGTGCGTCACATGGTGAGACAGGGAACAAGAGAGCGGGGAAGGCCCTAGCTAGACTTTAACCAGCAGATCTTGCGGTAACTCATTACCACCGGAAGGGTACCAAGCCATTCATGAGGGCCCCCATGACACAAACACCCCCCTCCAGGCCCCACCTCCAGCACTGGGGATCACATTTCAACATGAGATTTGGAAGGGACACACATCCAAACCATATCACCAGCTCTGAAGGGTCTCCAGGAAGGCTCGGCAGAGTGTTTGACGCAGAATGAGAGGGTGGAGTTAAAGTGGGCAGATGATGAGAGAGACATCATTAGCTGTGAGCCCACGGAGGCCAGGGCCAGGTGGAGATACTGCTTGCTGCTTGTGAGGGCCTAGACTGTCCAGGCACAGAAGAAGTGCAGAGCCGTCTTGTTAATCTGGATAGAGTGAACAGAAATGACATACTCAGAGGCCTCGAGAAGATGCACAAAGCCATGAAGGGGACGTGAAGACAGGTTCTAGGGTGGCTCCCTTAATGCAAAGTGAGTGCTTGGTAAATGTTTGGTGCATGAATGTTTGTTGAATGGAGCCAAATGTTCATTCTTGCCAGTTTGGTGAAGGTCCCCTGAAGTGGTTGGAATTTGGATGATGGGAAAAGAGGCTGATCACTGTGAAAGGAAGAGGAAAGCTGAAAGTCACAGGAAAGGGTTTTGAAGCAGGAACCTGAGCTCGGTGCTGGCACCTCGGGCCACACACACCCTCCCTGCAGCTGTGCCTGCTCTGTGCTGATGGCCTGGCGCATGCTTCCGAGTTTGTATTTTCTATGGCAGCCAGCTCCCTGGGTGGGCCTATGTAGAAGGTTGGCAGCAGGTAGGGAGAGCTGAGATCCTGACCATCAGAGAGAGAAACCAGCAGCACCTGCCCCTGTCCATGTGGCCCAGGGAGAGTCTATTTGATCACCTGTGCCTGAACTGCTGAAATTCAGGTGAGATGAGGGAGGTGCTGGCTTTCGGTCCTGCCTGATTGAGCTCTGGGCAGATGCCATGCCATGATCTCACTCCAGGGGGCTGGGGACCACTGCTTACAGGCATGATGGCTTCCTGCACCCCCAGAGGCGAAATCCTTGTAGCACCCACAAAGGCAGGCAGAGCAGCTGTGTGGAAGCTTGCAGGTAGGAGCTGCCCATTCACACATTTAACACGCATTTTCTGAGTGTCCACTCTGTGCCGGGACCTTAAAGCACTGGGGTTGAGCAAACCCAGACACAGCTCCTGTCCCTGCGGCTGTTTGCACCTAGTGGGGCAGGGCTCCCTGGGGCAGTCCAGCCTCCTGGGGCTGTGGGAAGGCCTGAGTGCCTTTGAGGCTTGTCACAATGCCTGAGAGAGCCACTGGCATCGAGTGGGTGGGGGCTGGGGACCCTCCTGCCATTCACAGATAGCACCACACAGTGAAGAATTCCACCACTAGAAATGCCAGTCAGTTACACCTTCGGGGATGAAGAGTCTCCTGGGAGAGGCAAGCATTAGTTAATTAGCCACACAAATAAGTGAACAGTTACCAGCCCTGTGAATTGCTGTGAAGACAGGGCCCAGGGTGTTCAGAGGGGGAACAGCACAGCACCGTCTGGCGGGGAGGGGACATGGAGGAAGGAGGAGGGCTTCCTCGGGGAAGCCATGAGTAGCTGAACTCGGAACCACTGGGTTGAAGGGGTGGGGTGGAGGTGAGGATAAGATGAAGATTGTTCCAGGCAGAGACAATGACATCCCCTAAACCCTGGGAGGGAGGATGTGGCCCATATGAGGACTGCAGACAGCCAGGGGGATGGTGGGAGAGGAATCCGGAGAGAGAGGCCACGGCCAGGCACACAGGCCCTGAGAAGCTGCGCCGGGGTCCTGGTGTGCACCCCAGGAGTTTTCGGCACACGGGTGACCTGACCATATCTCAGATTTTTGGGAAGATCGCCCTGGAAGGATGTGGAAGACAGAGGGGAGGGCAAGTGTGGGGGCGGAGGGCCCAGCCCAAGGGCCACGGCCCTGGCACCCAGAGAGATGGCTCTTGCTTGGATGGGTGTTGGAGGAGGGCACCAGGATGAAGACAGAAGACAAAAAGGGAAGGCTGTGCAGGCCTTGACGGGGAGGTGCGACTTGGGGTGGGGCAGACCTGGGGGCAACAGAGAGAAAGGTGGGAAGATGAGTGGCGGACAGTGGTGTTATCACCACGGGCCTGGGAATGGGTGGTGAGCACAGTTTCGGGCACGGTGAACCTGGGGACCTCTGAGCCATCATGTATGTGAGGGGGCGGTGTGGAATAGACCTCTGGCCGTGCTGTCCAGGGGTCAGAGATGAGGTCAGGGCTGGAGGTACCACTGGGAGAGGCTGGTGCAGATAGCAGTAGAGGCCGCTGGAGTCGGGGGCCAGCCTAGAGAGGGGGTTCAGCAGGAGAAGACACAGCTCCCCCTATGACTTGAGGCACCTTAGTTTTAACAGCCAGGTAGAGGACTCTGGCCCAGTCAAAGAGACAGAGAACGGACAGAGGGAAGGCAGAAGGAATGGACCCATCACAGACACTGGGGACACGGTTGTTTCGAAAGTTGCTTGGGCAGCAGGGCTTAAGGCTGGTGGGACGTAGAGTACGAGGATGACAGAAATGTCTCTTGGATTTAGAAAATGGGGTTGTTGGTGACATTGGCAAGAGTCGCCTTGGAGAAGTGGGGCAGAGGCTGCTTGGCAGCGTGGGGTGAGTGGGTGGAGGAGAGGAAGTGGGGGAGGCCTGGAAACCCTTAGAAGACGCCTGTGAGGGAAGAGAGGTGAAGGAGTAGCTGGGGAGGCTGCGGGGTGGAGGGAAGACTTCGTCATTTAATTTCGGGAGGGAGAGGTTTCAGCATTCTCCTGACAGATGTGTTGTCCCTCCATTCCATCCCTTAAAAAGAAGAGCTTGTGACTGCAGGTCATTACTGCACAATAGACATCCTTGTGAAAGGACAGATGCTATTATCATCTTCGCTTTACATACGAGGCCCAAAGTGGTTATGCAACTTGCCCAAAGCCACACAGCTGCTAACTAGAGCCGGGATGAATCAGACACAGTTAACCTGAGCCTAACTCAAGGGTCCGGGTCTTAACTCTTTGACTCTTTTGCTCTGCTGCCTTTCAGTTGAGCCTGGGTCATTATCACGTGTCTGTGCCCCTGATGGACGCCAGCCTGTATGGGAAGGGTGGTCATGTTACCGCGTATCCACCAGCCCTGTGCTGGGTGTTGGAGCTCATGGCAGCCCATTTGTGGTCTCTTCCCAACTCCACAAGCGGGGATGAAACCGGCTTCAGCGGGAGTGATTATACCGCCGAAATTGGCAGCCGCTACAGATCAGAGCTATTTTTAATCCCCTCCCCAGGCCCCAGTGGAGCTGGTTGTTAGACAGTTACCAGCACACCACACGCTTGTCCATACAGAACACCAAGGTGGGCTCAGTGCAAACCCTCCACCTCTGACAAACCTTCTGCCTTGGGCGAGCCACTGAGGACCCGTGGCTCCCTTAGAGCTCCCTCACCCTGCCCTGCAGTTGGGAGAGTCTCCACCCCTCAAAGGCCACAGTGACCTGGCCTCCGATTTGCTGATCCCCGGCAGGGCGGGCGGCAGGAGGGCGGGAAGGTGGCCTGCCATGCCTGGGAGCCCTGGCTGCTGGGCTGGACGGAGTGAGACTCCCCACCTGCTGTCCCTGCCCCGGCTTCCCTCCTGTCACCCCCTTCCCTCCACATCAACGCAGCAGCAGCAAGAGGCGACGCTCCAGACCCCGACTTTCAGAGTGATCACCTCTACATGTCAAAGTGCAGCATGGTTTAAAGGAAGATGAAGGGACGTATTAAAAAGGGAAGAAGGGGCCAAGGGCTCTCTCGGGCCTCAGGGACAACCCAGGCAGGGCTGTGGGCTTCCTTCACAGAGCACCTCCGGGTGCTCGGCTTTGCCCTAGAGAAGGTGGGGCTTTCCGTCCATTTTACAGATAAGGAAACTGAGGCACAGAAAGAGGAAGTGACCTGCCCCAGAACACACATCGGTGAGGGGCGGACTCCAGAGGCTCCAGGACTCACTCTTGTGTTCCTGTAGGGCCCGGGGAGAGAGAGAGATTGACTCAGAACCAAAAGTTGTTTCCGCCCCCTGTTAGGGAGCCACATTTCCCGACTTCCAGGATGAAGAAAGGCTTTTCCTGGACTGACTGAGAGGCTGACAGGGTGGTGGACGGCTGGTGTTCTGGCATCTCGGTTTCCCAGCCGGCTCCCATGCGGCAACCGGGAGGGTTCTGTGGCTTCATTGTCATCTTCATCATCGTGGCAGGGCCTGCTTGGGCCCGTATCTGCCACCTGCCTGGTCTAGGCCAGGCACGACGTGGGTGCTGAGGCGTCTCCTCTCCACCTCCTGGGCTTGGCCGCTGTGGCTGGTGTCTGGGCCCCTTGTCCCAACCTCCAGCCTGCAGTGCCCACTCCCACGTGAAAGACTGGCTCGTACATTTCCCCATTCAGCTGATGGTGAGTGCTGCGCTATTTTAAGCCCACATGGAAGTACTTTTTTTTTTTTTTTATAAGGACCATCTGCTACCGGCCCCAGCCCAGATGATACAGTTAGAGCCTACCCACAGCATCCTCCCCGCCTTCAGACAGTTCCAGGAACAGGGGTGAGTCACGCCCAGCTGAACTCCCGTCTAGCTCACCCGAGAGCTGGACCGGGCGCCAGCAGAGGGGGCTGCGCACGCTCCGTGGAGCAGGTGCACTCTGCCACCTCCGAGAGATGGGAAGGGGACCCTCACCCTCTGTCCCAGCTGTGCCCTGCTCCCTGTGAGGGACCAAGGCCTGGGTCACAAGTTCAATAGCAGATGCTGCTTCTTGTCACAGCAGCTTGTCCCACAGCAGGCCACACAGAAGCCACCCTGTTCTGGCTGCCCCTGGAAGCACCTTGGGTCTGCCTTGGTGCAGAGAGGGTGGGTCCCCCTTGCTGGGCTGCTTGGGATGGTGTCCTGGGTGGACATGCAGCTTGGGCCACTGGGAAGATGCGATTAAACACTGACCACCCCATTTTCTTTCTGGGTGAAGCATCAGGGCCCAGGCAAGCCTCCTCCACTGTGCTCACTCCCCCTCTCTCCTCTGACCCCTTCTCTCCTCTTCCCATCTCAGCACCTAGCGGCACGCTGTGAGCAGAGGTCGTCGGGGCAGAGACCCCAGTCAGACTTTGAATCTGGGCTCTGCCCCTCATAGGTGGATAGGTGGTGGAACCCAGGGCCAGGCCTATTTAATCCTGAGCCTCCCTTTGCACATCCGTAAAATGGGGATAGTCTTAGCTGCCTCCTAGGGTATGTGAACAGGAGTGGGATGATGCATGGAAGGATCCAGCATGCCACCTGGCTGATACTTTCTCCTCACTAGGGATTCTGAAGGGCCCGCCCTTGGCATTGGCTGAAACGCGGTGGGAGTATTGAAAACGCTGGACCTGTAACTCCACAGAGAAGCGCCTCCCCACCTCAACACCAGCACTGTTCTCAATGTGTGGTGGCCTCTCCCTGCCTGAGAGCTGGTCATTTTGGCTTCAGGGAGCCGGGTGAGGCAATGCACGGCCAGCAGGTCATTTGACCTCAACAGCGCAGGCTCTGCCGGCTGCGATTCCATCACCCCTGGACTAGCAGAACCACTGCCTTTGCAGGAGTCTCAAAGGCCTGGGCTTTTGGGGGTGCTTCTCCGCCACTCCTGACTGCTTCTTTCCCTTCGGGGGCCGTGGCTGGTGCCTGCTGCGGGGTCATTGCGTGACGCGAGCACCGCAGCATCTCAGGTGCACGCGCCCTTCGATGGCCCTGAGGTGCCCGGGAGCAGGCGAGGGCCGAGTCTTAACAGCTCCACTTCCTGTCCCCGAGTCTATCTGCCACTGCTCTGTAGAGTCCTACAGTTTATCTGTGGTCAGTTTTCTTACCCATTTCCTGCCAGCTGCTACTGGTTTTTTAGTCAGCTCTGACAGCTACGGTAATTGGGAAAGGACGCAGGCTGCTGGGGCCGGGTGATTCACCAGCTCTGGCCAACAGGGACAAGGAGCACAGACGGAGGCACCCCGTCGGTCCCCCAGGGCCTGGTCCCCCAGGCTTCAATGAGTGAGACACAGAAAAGACCCAGGGGCACACTCATTGTGAACCGAAAGCTGATCTCTGTGCACGCGCGCGTGCATGTGACATAAGGGAATTTTTTTTTTTTGAATGTGCCAGAGCCAATATAAATGGTTTCATGTTTTGAGAAGTCAGAACATAACTCCAGGCTGAGTGAGGCCCCTCTCCCGGGGAGCCCCATGTTTTCTCTGAGGTGTAACTGCGGTGAGTTGTCTGTGCCTCAGATTAGGATACTGGAGTCACACTTAACATTTTATTTCATGGCATTTCCAAAAACGAAGGGAAAACCCCCATTGCAGCAAATGACTCCTCCAAATAGAAAACTTTGTGTCTGTTTTGTAAATGCTGTGGAAGGGAGTTTTGGAGCTGCCTCACTGTCAGTCATCGCCCAGCCAGGTGCCTTTGGTTGCTGAGTGTTGCACTCAGGGGTGGGCTGCTGGCTGCCGAGCAGTGCCCCTCAGAGGCGGGGGCAGGACCAGCCACACAGCCTCACCTGTCTGGGCCTCTGGAGCCAGCGCCTCCGAGTTTTACCTGACTCTCCGGGTGGCCCTGTTGCCTACTCTAGTGTGAGAAGCACCTCTCTAGACTTTACTGGAAGCTAATATTAATTTTATTGATAGCCGTGGGTTATGGAGCATGAAAATGATCCTCCAATGCAGAATGAAATGACCCACTTCACACAGATTTACTGCCTTCCTCCCAGGCACCAGGATCTGTGCTGGGCACAGCAAGGGACCACCTGGCCTCGGGAGCTAAGGGCTCTGTCTCCAGGGGTCCCAGTCTGGAGAAGGTGGGTAAAGCAAACAAGGAAGCCTCCTAATAAGAAGTTCCCTAATCAGACATGGACTTTGCTGCCAGGAGCACCCAGTGGGGCCAGCCTGGGGCCCAGGGAGGTAAGCAGAAGGGGCTCACTGTAGTAGTAGGTGAGACACAAACAGTTTCATCCATGGGTAGGAAATAGATGAGGGGGAGGGAGAGAGTTAGGAGATGGTCATGGAGATTGCGGGTGCTAAGAATGGCCTTGGTGGGTTTGGGGTCATCCCTGCTCTGACACTGTACAGCACAGTCAGCTTGAACCAGTCCCTGACCTCTCTAAGGATCAGTTTTCTCATCCATGCAATGGGTTTAATGATAGTTCCTTTTGTGATTGTTGTGATACTTCAATGAGAGAATAATGCAAAGTGCTTAGTGCAGCCCTCACTAAGCTCAGTAAGGAGGGTGACTGCATCTGAGGGCAGTGGGAGCCACTGAGGGGGTTTCAGCCGGTGAGTGACGGGAGCAGATTTTTTTTTCTTGAATAATTCCTGGAAATGCTTTGATCATTTAGGCCAGCAGAGGCTCTTGGTTGAGCATGAGACGCATGAACCATTAAGATTGCAGGATATAATCATGTGCAAATTTTAGACAATACCTGAAATCCTAAAATGCATTTCCTTTTTCCCATCGCCATAGTTTTGGATCCTAAAATCAACCAAAAGCAGAATCTGACCACTTTCCAAAGCAATGGTCCTTTAGATTGAGAACAAAATCGTGGAACAGCGCTTCATTTTTCCCGTCTCAAGAAGTCACAAGGCCCAGAATGCAAGAAAATCATGGCTTTTCGATGACCAGGCCTTGTTGGAATGGCTGAGAAGCTCCTCAGCCCCGACCAGGTGCAGTGACTGCATTCGGCTCTCACGGAGCAGGTCTGAGTGGAGCCAGGATTTGCTCTGTTCAAAGATAAAAACCACTGGAGAGGGAAGCAGCAGATCACAGGGAGCGATCTCAATCCTATAGGGGCCTGCTCCGGGGTGTTTTGCACGAGGCTCCATGTTAAATAAGCCTCCATTCGAGCGCAGCCTCAGGACGGCCATCCTTCATTCCTCTCAGTCACACACCTTCCACTTCAGGATGGCCATCCTTCATTCCTCCCAGTCATGCACCTTCCACTGCCTGGTTCTCTGAGCGCTTCCGTCTAGCGGGAGAGACGCCTTCGACCAATAATTGCACATAGGTCTGGATGATGCCCAGCCACAGTCACTCCTCTAAAAGCAAGGAACTTGCTTCTGCAGAGTCAAACGGAGCTCACGTGAGGTTCCTGGAGGCACTGAGGTTTCTTTCTAGTCTCCTGTTTTGCACAGACCTTTTTCTTACTGAGCAATTCACTATCTGCTGGCTTCGGAAGAGGTGGATTGGGTTTCAGGTGGGGGCACCAAGAAGCAGCCAGATGTCCAAATTTGGAGGCAACTCAGGCCACCCAAGTGCCTGCACAGGAAAATGTATGCAGCTGCCGTGCCACATCAAAGGCAGGTGGTCCAGGGTGATCCGGGTGCTATTCGTGGCACAGGCACCAAAGTACTGTCATCCGAAGCATCCTCTATCTCGGTTTCCTCATCTCTAAAATGGGGCTCCATCTAAGTTTTCTGGTTCTGCAAAAACTCCTGAGCAAACCACTTCACTAGCCAGGAACCTGGTATGCCTGCCATGCCTGGGGCAGGCAGGGCTTTCCAATTTCCTCCCCAAGGTTTTCTGAGAATTCATCTGACAGTGTCTGTAAATGTCCCTCCATTCTCTTTCATAGAGGAAATGCTCACATTAGAAGAAAGTCTCTTATGACCAGCACTCCCCACTTTCAAGGTAGAATTTTTCTTGGCTCCCACAGCCCTGGGCTGGCTTCTGCACAGCCTCCCAGGGTCTTTTCCTAACCCACAAGTTGGATTCTGCCACTGGTCTTGCCTAATTCCCACTAAGAGCCCCTACGGGAAGACACCAGGGCTCTTTCCATCACCTGCCTCCCCTTGCCCTTCTGAAGGGCATGTGGCAGCAGCACAGAGCAGCTTCAGGCTCCCCAGTGGGGCTGGGCTCTTCCCAAGTCTCAGAGCCTCCCTTTGCATGCCCTTTCCTCTGATTGGCTCTGCAAACTCCTCTTCATCCTTCAGAACCCAGCTCTGTGATCAGCCTCTCTGGGAGGCCTTCCTCAACCTCCTTGTTCCCCTGATGACGGATTCCCTTCATCCACAGGCTCAGAGTCAGGGTCATGGGGAACCCTGAGGCCTGTTCCTGGTCATCCTGTAGGCCAGCCAGAGTGCCTCTCTCACTTTTGGGGAGCAGAGGCACATCCTCCTTGGTCCCACTTCATGGCCAGACTCCTGTCCATTGACCTCCCCAGCAAAGAAGCCTGGAATTCCTGTTTCAGAAAACCCTGCATGAGGCAGGCTGACTGCAGGGAGGGCTGCCACAGAGCTTGGCGATGGTAGAGACACCATTTCAGGCTGAAAGTGGAGTGGAGCTGATGAGAAGGGTCTCTGGGAAGGAGGGCTCAGCACAGCCCAACTGAAGGCAATTGCGAGGGTCCCCGCTTGTGTGTACAGCAGCCAGGGTTGTTCCACGGTGGGTAGGAGGGTATGGGGAGGGGACAGTGGTCCTGGAGGCCCCAGGGAAGGGTGGGAAGCCAGCTGTCTCAAGGATCCTCCTGCCCTTGCTGCCACCTTCAGGAGGGAGCAGTGGCCGTGAGAAAGGAAATAGAGACAGGGAGGGAGAGCCTGGCAGCCTGTCCTATTCCTGCCCCAGGCGACTGGCTTGTGACATGCAGATAGCTCCCTGGGTCTGGTTTTTCCTGTTACTGAAATTGCTGCTGCATGAAATTCTCTGGGCTAGGTCAGAAGTGGCAGCTGGGGAGTGTGCCCATGTGTGTAAAATGTCTCAGCTTAAAGAAACAGGAAATTCAGGACCAACTCGAACTCTGCGGCCCACGCCTTGTTTCCTAGAAAGGAAGGGGTCCATAACACGGGAGGCTGGGGCCCCGGGGTGAGGACAGGGATGACACAGGAGGCTGGGGTCCCCCAGTGGGGCCAGGGATGATATGGGGGGCTGGGGCCCTGCAGCGAGGACGGGGATGACACGGGAGGCTGGGGTGTCCCACTGGGGTTGGGGATGAGACAGGAGGCTGGATCCCTAGTGGGGTTGGGGATGACACAGGAGGCTGGGATCCCCCAGTGTGGTTGGGGATGACATGGGAGGCTGGGACCCCCCAAGTGGGGTCGGGGCTTTGGCCCAGAGAGGAATGGGCTTCTGGCCTCTGTCCTTGCCTGGGTCCAGGGCAGTCTCCTGACCCACTGGGTCTCTTTTCCTCTCTGCTCTAATAGAATGCCGCCAAGAGCTCGTGCCTGCTGGCCTGGGAGGGTCTGGTTAGAGGAGGATGAAGCTCTGCTTGGAGAAGCTCTGGATGCTGGGTGCTGCCTGGTCTGGACTTTGTCCTGAGCAATCTTGGGGAAATGGTCCGAGTGAAGTGCAGGGCAACTCCTGGAGGGAAGACAGGTGACAGCGAGATAAGAAGGGGCAGCGGTAGCCTCGGGGTCTGGATCTGGGAGGTTCCTGGGACTGGGCAGTGGGGCAGCCATTTTCTTCATAGTCAAGTAAACCGAAGCCTTGAGAAGCCGAGTGCATGGCCCACGGTCCCAGGCTCTTTGCTGCTTGACACCTGCACCAGAATATAGGTCCCTGCACGTGGCCACCTTTCCAGTAGGTGGTTCGAGATGTCCCCACTCTGAATTCCAGGGCTGGGCACTTGGCCAGCTCCCACATCCTCCTCTCCCTTAGGGAGAAGTGCAGCGGTCTTGGGGCCACTCCACACTGGGGCGTCTGGGCTGGAAGTCACCCCAGGAAGCACCTGTGGGCCTGGCTAATCAGGGCCCGATGAAGGACACAGACTTCTAACCCCCAAGGCCCTCAGAATAACTGGGTCTGGCTTCCTGGGTCCAGCTGAACAGCTCTTGAGCTGGGGCTGTTTGGGAGATCTCTGTTTCTGTCTGCGTCTCCTAGTCTGTTCAAAGGAGCAGTGGTTTGGGTGTCCCACCAAGAAGCCGCTTTCCCACACGGGAAAGGAAGAGGTCTGGGGCAAGCAGATGGGCCTGGGTCGCTCCACTTGGCATAGGCCCATCCCTGGAGCTCTTGGGCCCAGAGAGACCTGCCTCCACCCCATCTCAGCCAGGATGTCCTGCAGAGCTCAGACCCCCGGGAGGCCCCCGTGACCTTTGACGGGAGGGAGCACCCAGGCAGATCGTGGGGAGCCCGGAACAGCTCACATGGCACAAACTCCCCCTGCACTGATTCCCCTCAGCTTGTTCCACTTTCAAAAATAGCTAATGAGGAAATTAATTTTGTCACCCAGATGTATTCAGTAAAAACATGTCAGGGAAAGACAATTAACCTCTGTGCTGATAAATCCTTCCCAAATTAATGAAGTTAACATTTGTAGATATTGAGAGATTCATTTGGGGAAAGAGGCCCTAAATTACAGCTTCCTCCAGGCTAAGAAGGGGAGGTTGAGGGTAGAAAGAAAGGAGAGAGATAGAAAGACATGGAGCAGGAGAGCAAAGACAGAAATGCACACACCTACAGGGAGCATAGTGAGGCCAGGACAGGGAGAGAGGAGAGAGGGTGGGGGCTGGCAGAGAGACACAGAGAGAAGGAGACTGAGGGAGAAGGAGCTGGGCTCAGTGGGAGCCTGGCTGGGGCCCTCCCGAGCATTTTCCATTGGTCCAGGCATTCACTTGCAGTTGACTTGCAGAAGACTCAACAACTTCAACCAGAGAAAGAAAAGAGCTGAGGTATTTTTAAGATGTAAAATTTTCGGTCCCCCCTTGGCCTGATGTCTCTCTGCCTAAGGTCTCTGGATTCCTTTCTCCCTGGGAGCCCAGGCCCTGGGAGCTGACTTGCCAGCAGAAGGGGCTGGCTGGCTGGATTGGATCTTTCTGAAAATGTTCAGCCTGGGGTCCTGTGTTTCCCTGAGAGCAGCTGAGTCCTGGCATCAGCAAGTTTAGCCTGCCACCCATGCAGGAGCCCCCTTCACTTTCTCCCCTTTCACCAAGAGCAGTCACGCCCCTGAGGCAGTATCTTACAAGAGGTGAGTCTCTGCCTGAGTTGGACCCTTTGATCCTAGGTTAAGACTGGCTTGAAAAGACAGGAAAGCTTAGGCCACGTGGACAGACAGGTCAGGGGGTGTTGGCAAGCTGACAGTGATGTGGCAGGGCCCAGGGTGGGAGGAAGGGACAGCCCAGCCCAGACTCGTGCTCTCCCAACCCTCTGCAGCCTCAGCCCCATCTGAGGAGCCCCAGCTTAGAAAGCAAGTCCTACTCTGCTCCTGGAACGGAGATGAAAAAGACAGCTTCCCAGGAGACCTCCAGTTTTGGCGATGTCAGGTTGAATGGCTGAGGGGCCTTGTGACCTCCTGAGTTCCCATCACGTCCAAGACCGGCAGGAGTCGCCTGCAGAACTTCACTGCCGTACTTCTCTCCAGAGGGTGTGATGTAGCCATCAGACCCTAGCCAAAGGGGCTGCTTTGCTCTTGTCTGTTTAAAAATTATGCTTTTAATAATCTCTCCCAAGAGTGTGACAGGCAAACAGGCCTGGAAGCAGTGATGATTTCAAATCCTGCCAAATGACCGATTCTGGGAAGTAGGGGTCAGGATGTGTGGGGGCTGGTGTTGCTGTGTGGAGCCTACCAGGAGGCCAAGAGGCCAAGAGGAGATGGGAGAAGGACCCTGAGACACATGGGCTGTGCTTCTTTCAGGAAAACCCAGGGTTGATGACAATGATCAGCAAACACGAGGGGAGGGAGGGGAAGCCTGGTGCCCAGGGCCCCAAGACATAGCTGGAGTCTGGCCTGGGCCCCATTTGGGAAAACTCAGAGGGTTGGAGGAGGTGTCTGGGGAAGAGTCAAGGGTGGGAGATGACTGAAGTCGGGGAGGCCCTGCCTGGAAAGGAGAAAGCTGCCTGCTTTGTTTCTACACTTGAAAAAATGCCAGCCAAGTTAGCCTCACAAACACTGTGGGCACAGACGGAAGAAAACAAGATATTAGGTATCTGGAGCTGGATTTTTCCGATGACCGGGTGCTTACTAATCTAATCTTCCCAGGCAGAGTGACGAGCTTGCAGATTGCAGAGAGTGATAGATGTTACCTATCTTGAGTTCAGTTGGGCCGTTGCTCTTCGCTGCGTGACAAACCTCCCCCACCCCCAAACCAGGAGCTAAAGGGAACATTAGTCCTGTTCTCTGGATGACAAGGCGGAGGACCTGGGCCTCCACGGGCCATCACATATAGCAGGGGCTCAGAGTGATGTCTTGGGGGCCCAGGCCTGTGTGATGGTGTCATGATCTCCAGGAATGGAGAACAGATGATGTGTGATGTTTTGCAGAGGACATCCAATGTGGGTGGGAAGGGGTCTGCCCAGGGAGGAAGGATCTGGACTCACGGGGCTGAGGTGAGGGGGGTCAAGTGCCCTGCAGGGCCAGAGGCACTGGCCGGAGGGGCTTGCCCAGGTCCTGGCTGGTTTGGGCCTGTTCGTCTCATACCTTCCCCAGGCCTGGCACTGGGCTAGGATGTGGATCTTATTCTGTCTCTCCGAGGCAGCAGTGGGGCGGGTACTGCTGGGTGAGCCCAAGCCCGGGGCTGCCGCCGACTTCAACACTGAGCTCTCAGCCTCCCACGTGCCTCCCGCCCCCTGGGCCGCTTCCCCCAGAGATGAGTAAAGGACTGAAAAATTAGAACCAGGAGGGAAGTTTGGGGGAAGGTGAGGCTGCAGGCTGGTGGTGAAGTCTGCAAGCACAGGAGGATTACGGCTTTTTACACGAAGGGTGTTGGGTGGGTGGTTCTCTCTCCTCTGCTCTGGACAGAACACAGGAAGCTGGCTTGGATGGCAGCACCGAGCCTTCGAGCTGGGGTAGGGAAGAGATCTTGCCAGCAAGGGGCAGATATGCAAATGAGTTACTAGTAAACCTCCGTGTGTGGAAGTCTCAGAGATGGGCTGGTGATGCCTGGTAGCCGTGACCACCTGCAGCAGAGTTCCAGGATTTCTGCAGGGACCACTGTGGGAGCCCCCCGGGCTGCGTGAGAATCCCCACCAGTCACTGAGTCAGTCCAAACCTTGGTGTCCCTATCTGTGTATTGACACAAACGTTTCTGCTCATGAGACTGCTGTGAGGATTGGAGAGATACTGTGTGTTTTCAGATCGAAAGTACCACACACGTGCGACCCTCAATGCACACACGTGCACACGCATGGACCCTGGCAGATGCGCTGGGTCCAGATGAATCATGGAATGTGCTGGGGTGTGCTCTGCTCCCCTCCTCAGCCCCCTTCCTCTCCCTGGACTTTCTCGAGTCAGAGCAGAGATCCTCTGGGGCTGAGTTCAGTTGCATGGAGCCAGGGGAGCCACAAGGGCCTGGCGCTCTACGCCTCCCTCCTGGGCTTTCTCCCCCAGGCCTGGGAGCGGAGGAGACATGGAAGCAGCTGGGTGGATCCAGCCAGAGGTGAGAGTATAACCAGCAAAGCAGCATTTGCAGGCTGAGATCTCCTCCCCCTGCTGCAACTTACTGGGAGCGGGGCCTGTTGCACAACCAGGCCTGCCTGGACGTTCACCAGGAGCTTACCCAGAGGGTGGCTGGGGGCCCAGGACCTTTCTGGCTGCAGTGGCTCCAGGCCTGGGCCACCCCTCACCCGCTCAGCCTGGACCTAGGCCCTGCTGGCTTGGCCCCATCTCGGGACTGGCCTGGGCTGGGGTGGGGCTGTCCTCTGGCTCCTGTCTTTGCTGACCCTGCAGGCCAGCCCTTGCAGCTGTAAGGGGTTAATTAACAGTCACGCCGGGCAGAAGGGTGGTAACCAAAGGGGAAAAAGTGGGGAAGTGACAAAAGTTGAAGAAATCTCACAGGGCCCTCACAGCTGGGGGCTCTAGTTCCTGATTCTCTTGCTGAGACGGTGCCTGACGGCAGCCCTTGGCCTCTGCCTCCCCTTCCACCCCCGCCAGTGAGGGTGCAGGTTCCCCTCCCGACACATCCCCCCAAGCACCCCTGACTCAGCTCCTTCCACAGCCTGCAGATCCCGCAGCGGGTGGCTGTGGGGCTGGGAGTCTGGTCAGGGGTCAATTGCATTTCCTCGCTGGTCTGCCCTGGATGCTTCCTACTCAGAGGCCGAACATCTGAGTCTCAGGGAGGTCAAGTGACCAGCGGTGTGCCTGAGCTCATGGCCAGTGGTGTGGCTGGGATCCAACCCCCGCCTGCAGTGGGGCTATGCCGCCGAGTTCCTTACTCCTGAACTCTGCAGAGGGGTCTGGGGAATGGGCGAGAGGGTCCACAGCCAGGAAGGCTGTCATGCACGCAGTGGAGCTTTAGTGCGCCCTGTCCTGTCCGGGGTGGGAACCGGTGAAGGACTTAACCTGACAAGGGACAGAAGTGCCTCCCCACGAGAACTCGTCCCTTTGAGCAGCCACTCATGGACCCAACAGGATAGGAAGCACCTGCAGCCCTCTCTGCAGGGAAGAAGCCCTGACTCTGGGGAAGAAGGCCTCCCTTGGGTCTTCTCTTGGGTCCTCTTGCTGAGATTTGGACCCAGGGCTCATGCCCATTAGCCTGGGAGTGTCTCTCCTGGTCCTCCTGCGTGTCCTGTCCTGACAGAGCGGACATGCATTTCTCCAGTGTGACCACATCGGGGCTGAGTTTAAAAAGCCAAGTCCCATTTCTAGCTGGTAGTGTTGAGAAGGAAGCCACATGGGGTGGTGAGGAGGTGGGTGGAAGAGGGGGGCCTGGCTCCTGTGGGAGGACTGCTGTCCCACTGTCCACCTCCCCTCCAGGTCAGCCCTGGGTCTCCCTCCTCATCCTCCTGAGCATTCTCTCCATGAATAAGGGAGGTGATTCCAAGAGGCCCGTAGCGGGTCCTGGGGCAGAGGCTTCGAGTTTAATTTTATCGTGAATACATTTGGTATCGTAATGAGAAAGCACAGTAATAATGATGATGGTAACAAAGTCATTCATTCAACATCGACTGCATGCCACAGCACACCCTAAGCTTGGACGCTCTGATATAATCCTTCCCACAAATTTAACATCCCTAGTACTGATGAAGACGTTGGGATACAGAGAAACGTGCTGAGTTTCCACGGCTGGAGAAAGGCAGAGCTGGATTTAAACCTGGGGCCTGGAGCCCCATGCTCGCCCTTTCTCTATGTGGCTCCTTAAACCTGTAGGTGATCGGCTCCATCCTTCAAGACCACACTTGGGGTTTGTCAAGGGTAAAGTAGGTTTATCATCTTAAAGCTCTGCTTTGTGCTAAGGCTAGAAAAAAACCCGATTGCTCACCTCAGAGCTTACAGGTGAAGAAATCACCATTTGCCTATTCACGCGGGGCCAGGGAGATGGTGGAGACACCCACAGTTGAGGGGCTGTGAAAAGAGAGGCTAACTCTAGCTCAGTAAGTTTTTAGCCAAGTGACCTTGGGCAAAGTCCCTAATCTCCCAGAGCTCCAGTTTCTTCACCTGTAAAATAGGTGTGATAATAGCTTCTGGCAGGATTTATGAGTTTACATGGCTGCCACAGCATGGTACCCTGAACTGAGTGACGTCAACGACAGAAACGTATTGTTCTGCAGACCCAGAGTCCAAGATCAAGGTGCAGGCAGGGTCGGTTCCTTTTGGTCCTGGGAGGGAGACTGTTCCAGGTCTGCCCCAGCTCCTGGTGTTTTGCTGGCTGTCTCTTCCTGATTTCTGCCCATGTGGCTGTGCTCCTGGGGGATAAGACAGAGTGTCACAAAGTGGCCTGTGCTAGGCCAAGATGTTGGCTCCGTTGAGACAGAACCATGTCCTGTGTGCTCAAGCACAATCTATATTCCAGACCTCTGGGGAAAGGTGGGGAAAGAGATGGGTGAATGCTCTGGTTTCTCTCTTTAGTTGACGCTAGGGTAAGGGCCATACCCTCTGTTTGGGCCAGATTGGGCTGCTGGGCTGGGAGTCAGCTCTAAGAGCCACAGTGTGGGCCTTTCCCAGATCCCTCGTGGAATGGGGTGAGCAAGCTGCTAAGCTGCTGAGCACAGTGCTGCCAGCTCTGCGCTCCACCAAGCTCATTTTTATCCATTTCATTTTTACTTGGCAAATAATAATTGTCTGTATTTATGGGGTGCAATGTGATGTTTTGATACATGTTTACATTGTGAAATGATTAAATCAAGCTAATTAACAAATCCATCACTTCACAAATTTATTTTTTATACAGAATGGGGACTATAATAAATAAAAGATGCATTGCATATTTCGCAATTGCTAAAGCATAGTAGATTTTAAATGCCAGCTTCACTCTCTGTAGTCCGGTATAGACGTGGCCCCCCCCCATGCCCTTTCAGTAACAAAAACATACACACACATGCATGGATATGGAGCTCTTTAGACACATGACCGGATACTTGAAGGGCTGCTACTCTTTGGGACAATGTTGGCTGTTTACTGAGCTGTGAGTGAAGATGCTTACAAGATGATCAATGTGCTGAAGAAATTCCACTTTGCACTGGGGTGTAGCAGGCCAGCCCAGCCAAGTGCAAAGAGCTGATATCGTATTGGGAGCATGCTATGGTAATTGTGTGTGTGGTGGTAGGGGGCCTACTAAAGTTAGATGGGTAGAGCCATGGTGATACTTCATTTACCACCTCTGTAATCTAAGAACAGAAGCTATCACATGTCTATGACATGTCAGACACTGCTAGCATGTTCTTACAAGGGAGGTTATTATTCTCATTTCCAGAGAAGCATCCAGTCCTCAGGACTAAGTACTCTTAATGTCTGTTGGTTTATCTGTTCTTTGAATAGATCTTTTGTCCATGCATGATTTTACATTGTCATGTTAACTACCGGTTTACTGAGTTATGAAGATCTTCCAAATGTTGACACATTTCATTGTTCAATATCCAGAAGCCGCCATAATTAATATCAGCATCAATCTCTGTGGAAAAGTCTTGGAGTGCTCTCAGTCAAGTACAAGCTTCCCAAAATTCTAATTTTCACTTGAAATCTTAGATATTGTTGTTGACAATAAACGCTGTCAGTTGTTTGCCTTGAATGAACAGGCCTACTTTGTTTATTTTCAAGAGGATGTCTGCCAAATACCTAAGTCTGAAGAAATATAGTTTGTCAGTTGTCAAATAAAAATGATGATGCATGAAAAAAGTGGCTAGTTTAGCTTGTAACTCACATAAGTGCTTTTCCTGTAGTCAACTTCTCACTTCAGAGCATAGTAGAAGGGTGTGTGTGTCCTTCCCATCTCCTCACACAGAATATTAAAAATATGTCATCAAGTATAGAGACATAATGAAATTAATGCTTTTTCCTGCTTCATCAAGTGCATTCTTCAGTGAAACTGATGTGTGTGGCAGGGGAGATTGCAGTGACTGTTAATATGGTTTGGTGCCACTGCCCGTTTCCTTGATTTGTGCAGTTTCCTGCACTGTTGCTTTTGTACCATGTGTGCAAATGTCGACACAGGGGAAAAGCAATATGCTCCCATTGCTCTCTCTCTCTCTTTTTCTCTCTCTCTCCTTTCCTCTATCTGTCTGTCTGTGCCTCTGTCTTTTTATTTTTAGCCCATTCTTTCTCATTCTTTCAGCCTACACCTCTCTCTGTCTCTCCATTCCTTTGTGTCTCTCACTTTCTTGAACTGTCTCCCTCTGTGTTTCTCTTTTCCTGATCGTTGCCCCGCGTCTCCTCTACCTCCTCCTCCTGCCCTCTCTCCCGGTGCCTGGATGTGTGTGGGACCCTGTGTGGGTGTGCAGATGGCACGCACCATGGCGGGTTGGGGGGGGGGGGGCACTGGTATAAAAGATCTCCCCTACAAATGCAGAGCAGTACACAGCCCTCCGTCCAGAGAAATCCTTTTCCTTTAGAAACTCACCAGCCCAGGACCCCCTAGCATTCAGGAGCCACCTGGCGGGTGCTGTGAGTGCCAAGGGCCCTTCCTTGCCTACTCCCAGCCATACTATTCTGCTGTGTGTCTTTGAGCCATGGAAGAGGGAGAAATACCATCTCGCTCCTTCTCATTTTGAAGCAGCTTGGGTTTGGTGTTTGTGTTGAACAAATTAGTCTAAAGAGATTCTAATGTTTTTTATCTCAGATGTGCTTGTTGTGTAAATATTTTCATCCAAATCATCAGAATTGTTACAGTTTGGTTTGGATGCAGTGGCTCATGCCTGTAATTCCAGCACTTTGGGAGGCCGAGGCAGGCAGATCACCTGAGGTCAGGAGTTTGAGACCAGCCTGGCCAACATGGTGAAACCCTGTCTCTACTAAAAATACAAAAATTAGCCAAGCGTGATGGTGGGCGCCTGTAATCCTAGCTACTCAGGAGGCTGAGGCAGGAGACTCGGTTGAGCCTGGGAGGCAGAGGTTGCAGTGAGCTGAAATTGTGCCATTGCACTTCAGCCTGGGCGACCAGGGTGAAACTCTATCTCAAAAAAAAGAAAAAAAAAAGAATTATTACAGTTTGTCTCAGAGATGTTTTGCAGGACAACCCGTGTAGATGGACACCTGCACCCTCCTGGCACCCTCTGAAAGAGCCCTGCCCCTCCCTCTGCCCTGTCCAATCTTCCTTCCCTTTTCCCACTTGCCCAACCCCAGTTGATGTCTGTTAAGATGCAGCCCTGGCTATTTTTGGAGGAAAGGCAAAGAACATTTATCAAACTCTTTACATGTGCCAGACATGGTCCCAGAGCTTTAGATACATTTTTTCATTGAGAGGTTATAGCACCCCTCCACACCAAGAGGTGTGGTATTATTTTATCTTTCCCATTTTACAGATGAGCAAACTGAGACTTGAGGAGTGGATAGTGACTTGTTGACCAGTGGCCTGGCTGCATGATCCAGGCACAGTTGGATCTAGGCCTGGCTGCATGACCGCAGGCACAGCTGTTGGAGGTTGAAGCAGCTGGCAGCAGACAGGCCAGAGGGTATTTGTGTGTGTGTGCGCAGGTGCACACATATGTGGATGTGCACTCCTGTGTATACACGCATGGGGCAGGGCTGGGGTTGGAGGTGCTGCAGGAACAGGTGTTGGGGCTGAGTGTGGAGCTCTCGGGAGGTGGCACTGAGGAGTCGGGCAGTTGTCCTGCACGTGGCAATTTTCTGTAGGAAAGTGTGTGGTCAGGAATGTATTCTGGAAGCCTTTCCTGGAGAGGAGTTTGGAGGATGGCTTTTGGGATGGAGGAGTAGAGGGGTGGACCAGAGGAAGGATCCCAGGTAGGAGGCCATTGCAAAAAGCAGGAGAAAGCTGATGACGACTGGTGGTGGCAGGTGGTCTTCCTGGGGCCCGTATACCTGAGCTGAAGGGGGCAGGCTCTCCAGGGCCAGGCAATGGACTGGTTGTGGGGGCTGAGGGTGAGGGGGAGGTGGCATGGTACCCAGGCTTCTGGTGAGGATGCTGTGTGTGCATTGAGACGCCTCCCCAGGAAAGAAGGCACAGAATGGGGGAGAAGGGGTGGGTCTAGGGGCAAATGGGCTTTGAATCCAGGCCTTTAAGATACCAAAGCCCCAATTCTCTTTTCTGCTGTCCCAAAGCTAGTGGACTGGAAGTGAACACCCCCTCCCTGGGGGTATTCAAGCCTAGTCAGATGGCCTGAAGTTGATCACAGGTCCCTAGAACCCAGGATGTGGGTGGGAAATGGAAGACCGCCTGTGTGCGGGCTCACATCTGCCTGCACTCTTGGAGTCTGTTTGTCCTGTGGAAGTCACTTTGGAGCCAGGGAGCTGCTTTTTAGCTCCTTGTCACCACCGCCTGATGCATCTCATTAGTCCTGCCCTCCAGCTGACAAGCATCAGCCCCTCTGACTACAAGATGGCTTCACCTAAGTGCTTCCCTCTGGCAAAGCTAAATATTAATTATCTCTCTTTATTTCAAGATTATTTATGGGTGCTAATGTCACCCATCATGGAGTGGGAAGTTGGTGCCAGGAGACATGAAGCAGTGCTAAGTCAGAGGGAGCTGCAGAATGTCCCTGACATTGGAGAGGTGGCTGCTGCCTGGGTAGCCCGGCCTGCTTGTTATTGGGGGTGCCTCTGAGTGATGGCCCAGGTGGCTGTCATCCCAGGTGAAACTGCAGGATCGGAGGGAACAGAAATAGTTTGCTCAACCTGGGTGCTCAAGTGAGAGCCAGTCCCGTGGAACCAGAGCTGATCATTTGTGCAAGGCTCAGCTGAGAATGTGTCTGTACGTTTCAGGTTTTGGCAGGTGAATACACATCGAGTGGACCGAGGATGTGCCGGAAACATGCTGGCCCTGGAGCGAGAAGGGCTCAGAAGACAGGGCCCTGTGTGTGGGTGGGTGGAGGTTTAAAACTGGACACAAGTCTGTATCATAGAACTGCCCCTGTGGGTGTGTTGTATTTGTGCGTGTTTGTGTGTACCTGTGTGTGTGTGTGTGTGTGTGTGTGTGTGTGTATGAGCATGGGTGTGGGGGACATTTTGCCCATTAGAGGGGATCCCTGGACTGATGGAAAGTAAGAGGAATAATGTCCTTTGATGAAAGGTCCGTCTCCTTGTGTGACCCATGTCCTTGGTGCACAGATGCTCACCGAATCTCCACTCTTGGATGGAGATGCGTGCTGGGGAGGCTTCTGCTTGCTGCTGTGTGGACTCTGGTAGATGCTGTCCCTCCAAAGGGCAATCTCTGATGGAAGGTGGAGGAGCAGGAGAAGGTCAGTGTGAAGCCTGGAGCTTCCAAAAGGGTAGGCAGAGAGGATAGCCTGTCATGCTGATTACTTCCAAGTAATGTAGCAGATCTGTAATTATAATATGAGGTCATCTTAATTTGAATGATGTAAAATAATGTCTAATTAGACACCATCTCATCTTTTAGAGACTTGCCATAGTTCAAATGGAAAACCTTTCAACTTCTTGGTGGTGAGCTTTGAAAATCTCATCCTCTCTCAAGTCTCTCTCTCCCCTTGCCAGCCCTGTAGTCACTGGCCTCCAGCGGCTTGCAGCCTGTGTACTGGCACTCCTTGGCTCGTCTGCCAGGCAGAGGGAGAGGCAGGGCTGGAGGTGGCCTCTGGAGGAGCCAGCAGGGATTTGGAGGCGGCCAGACTCCCCCCTTCTCTCAGGGAAACTCCTTTTCCTGGGAAAAAGTGTTATAGAGGATGGAAGACTCACATTAGGAACCAAGACACCTGGGCTTCAACCCGGGACAGCCTCCAAACCACAGACCCTCCTGTGAACACCCCGCCTCTCTGACCCTCGGACTCTTCATCTGTGACTTGGAACACAGGTGGTGCTAGTCTGCGAGAGGAGGTGAAGGAGGAAGGCTGGAATGGAGCAATGTTTCTTAACATTTTTGGAAGCCTCATTGCTCTTCAAGTTGGGCTGAAGGGTTTCGCTGCCAAAATCAAGTCATGACATTTCCCCCTGGCTTGTAGGAACAAGGACATCAAAAGCTACCAATGGCAAATGTCTCCATGTTCTCCACTTGCCATCTCGGGGGCCTGCAGCACACTCGGACCTTGCCAGGCTTCTCTGAGCACCCTGGGAGTCAGTCCACCCTGCTTGCCCCTTGTCACCTCCTGCCCAGATTGTACCGTTGGACTTTTCCACAAGTGGCCTCTGGCTGAGAGGATCTCAGCATCTCTGCTGGCCCTGCTCTTTCAGTCTGGCCTCTCCCCAAGTGTGACTGAGCCCCTCCCTGCGTCCCCAGGCAGCCATCTTCAACAGCTTTACTGAGGAGGATTACATCCCCTCCTGGAGCCTGCCTGCTGTGCCAACCTTTTAGAGGGTGCTGGTGGGGGTGTTTCCTCACTGCCTTGGGGGTGGGGAGCAGGGCCTGCTCTTCTGTTCCCTCCCCACCTTGTCTTCACTCCTGTCCCCTGTCTTGCCTTTTACATGTGAAGCAGAGCACCTAAAACCTCACACTGAGAAATCTGCATTTAGGGCAGTTCACCTTTTAGTGCTTCCCCCATATAACGGGAAATACTCAAATACTCCGGCCCACATCTGCATGAATTAAAAGGCTCATCTAAGAGAAAGTCTTTCCAGAGGACAGAGTTCTCTCTCAGAATGCAAAAAGTGGGTACATTTACCAAAAACAGGCTAATTGGTGATGCAAGTTGGCTAGGTCTCCCTCTGGAATAGAACGTTCTCCATTTTAAGTTTCTCTTTCATAAGTGTGTCAATTAAAAATTTAAAATCGTGTTAAAACACACGTAACATAAAAATGACCATCTTAACCATTTGTAAGTGTGCTGTTCAGAGGCATTAAGTTTCTCTTCTATAATTTTTAATACCTTGGGACTTGTTACCACCTGACGGACTGCTTTATTCTATGAGATCCTATTTTAAGTTGAATGTCTGTGCTTCTGGGTGTCCCACAGAGAGCACTGCTGCTCCTGGTGTGGGCGGTGGTGGTGGTGGTGGGGGGGTCATCTTGGAGACACTTCTGGAGCCCTTTGCAGCTGCCTCTTTGGGTTCTTCCCTGGTTTGATGTCGGCACAACATCCTCCACTTATTAGCCCTGTGACTTCAGACAAGTGTGTCAGTTTCCTTATCTGTAATATACAAACATTGAGCCTCTCCTGGGGGAGAGGAGACAAGGACCAGATAGATAATTATGTCCCGAGAGTAGCCAGCGTGCCCTGGCCCCAGGAAATGGCTTCTTGCTGTGACTGCCTGGGGTGGTCACAGCAGCTGCCTTAGCCAAGCAGGAAGTGGAGCGCAGGCCAGATCCTGTTAGAGCAGGTTGAAAACATGGAAGTGAGTCCAGCAAGGGAAACTGTGAAAACTAGCCAGGCCTGAAGCTGATCGCTGACCTCCTCCGTGGTAAAATCGATACGGACTATCCACTTCCCCTTTGTGCCTTGGCTTCGTAGGAAAGTCCCTGCAGGTGTGAGCTGAGAAGCACAAAGAAGGCTGGGAGATAGCAGCCCTGGAAAAATAATTCCACCTGTAAACACCTGTGTTAACAAGTGCTGTATTTGTGCAGCTATTTTCTTTTTCAAATACTGTTGACACACACCTATTCTCTTACCCTGCTCAGGTGTGTGTTGCATGGCATCTGGAGACCTGCTGGCCAGGGGCCAGCCTGCCTGTCTGAAATGCTTCCCTTCTCTGCCCAGCAACGTGGGGCGTGGGAGGCCACGGCTCTCTGCGGCTTGGCTGTAGCTTTAGCGCTGTTGGGCTGACGGCCTGGAGTTCAGCCAAGTCCCAATGAGCATGAGGTCTGAGACCTCAGTGAGACAGGAAGGACCAGCCTGGGGCCCCTTAGGGGACAGTGACCCCAGCTGGATGAAAGAGGACACCTGCTCTTTTCCTGGCTGGTTAGGGTCACTTTGCATTTTAACACCCAAGGGAAATTTGAACCCTTCCACCACCTGATCCCGCCAGCAGCGGCTGACCCAGGACAGGGGAGTGAGAGATGTCCAGGTTCCAACAAGGAGCCCTTCAGAGGTAATGCGGGGAGGGGCGGCAGTCCGTTCCATGCAGCTCTCCTGCAGCCTGAAGAGTTCCAGCATCCTTTCCCAGCTCCATCTTACTCCATGGAAGCCCTGTGCAATTAACTCCTGTCCTACCCTGGCCACTGGTTTCAACCCTAATGCACGGTAGAATCACCAGGGGATCTTGTCAAGGTCCTGATGCTCAGGCCGCAGGCCTAGGGATGCTTGTTCACTTCATCCCAGGCAGGGCCTTTGAAAAGTTTTGAAAATCTCCCCAACCAGTCTCATGGGTGGTCAGTTGGGAACGACTCCCCTAGCAAGATAGTGGGACATCTCATCTCGGTGTATTTATAAACTAGCAACCTTTGGTTTCGAACGGCTGTGCATTTACAGAAGCATTGCAAAGATAACGCAGAGGATTCCTGGACACACCTCACTGGTTTCCCCATTGTGACAGCTTGCATCTCCCTAGCACGTTCCTCACCACTAAGGAACTAACATTGGTTGGTTCTTTCAGCTAAGCGCCACGGTTTATGTGGATTGCACTAGTTTTTCCCTAAGGCCTTTTTCTGTCCCAAGATTCCCCTCTAGGATCCCACATTGCATTTGGTTGTCACATCTTGGTGGCCTCCTCTGGTCTATGACAGTTTCTCAGACTTTCCTTGTTTTGGATGACCTTGACAGCTGTCGTGAGGATTGGCCAGGTATTTTTGTAGAATGCCCTTCAGTTTGGGCTATCTGATATTTTTCTTATGGTTAGACCGCGGTTACGGGTTCTCGGGAGAAGCCCACAGAGGTGAAGTGCCATTTTTATCGTATGCAATCAAGGGTGCGTGCCTATCAACAGGACTGATCGCAGCCAATGACCTTGAGCTTCTGGCTGAGCTGTGTTTGTTGGGTTTCTCCCAGCAAAGTTCTCTCCTCCCCCACTCCTTTCTCAGACCTGCCCTTGGGAAGCAAGTCACCAAACACAGCCCACACCTGAGGGCAGGGAAAGTCATGCTCCACCTCTTCGAGAGGTGGGTAACTACATAAATTATTTGGAATTCTTCTTTAAGGGTGGATTGTCTCTTCTTCCTGTTATTTGTTCAATCATTTATTTATATCGATGTTGGCTCATAGGTACTTATTGTATTCTCTGGGTTATAATCCAATAGTAGTTTGTTGCTCATACTCTTCCAACTTTGGCCATTGGGAGCTTTTTCGGGATCTGGGTGCCCCCCCTCCTTTTTTTTTTTTTTTTTGAGACAGAGTCTTACTCTTGTGGCCCAGGTTGGAGTATAATGGTGAGATCATAGCTCACTGCAGCCTCCTCGAATTCCCAGGCTCAAGTGGTCCTCCCACCTCAGCATCCCTAGTAGGTGGGACTATAGGCATGTGCTACCATGCTTGCCTGATTTTTTTGATTTTATGTAGAGGAGAAGTCTCACTATGTTGCCCAGGCTGGTCTTGAACTCCTGAGCTCAAGTGATTTTCCTGCCTCAGCCTCCCAAAGTGCTGGGATTCCACGGGGCGTGAGCCTCATGCTTGGCCCCATTGTCCCTTTGATGTGCTCCCATCCATTGTTTTGTGAGCACTTCCTTGCTTAAGGAGATGGCTGAACACCTGCAAGATTCTGTTTTAGACACTATTTTCGCATTTTCATTGCTTAATAATAACCCTCCCTTTGGTGAATGCATACACTCTCTTCCTCTCTTACCCACAGTTTTCATTCTTGTCCTAGGAGTGGTGTCATGGGGATGTAAGCCTCCTTAGTAAAGCTGGGGCAGATGGAGTCCTGGATGGAGGGTTGTCTGGCTGGTTTGTACCCAAGCTCTGCTCCTCACCAGCTGTGTGATCTGGAGCTAGTTCCTTGACCTCTATCAACCTCCAATTTCTGATCAATGAAAAGGGAGCGATGCTACATATCTCAAAGGAGAGTTGGGAGCATAGGAGGAGGTGCTCAATGAAGGTGGCTTTAGTGTTTGTGTCCCTGGCCCTGTCACAAAGCAACTGGGTGACTTTTTTGACCTCTTTGGACCTCAGTTTTCTTATCTGTAAAATCAGAGGACTGGACCAGGTGGTCTCAGAGGACGCTGCCTTCTGGATGTTCCCTAAGACCTGGGTGTAGCTGGCTGGTGGGGATGAGTGAAGAGGAGTGAGCTGGAGGGGGAACTGCAGGCTGTGGCCTGGATGCAAGCAGCCTTGCGAATCTGCCAGCCAGAGAAGATGGCTTTTTGCCCTAGAAGACAGGATTTTACCCTGAAAATGTCACCTGCACATCTGTGCTGACAGCATTCCCCTGCGTGTTTCAGCTCTTAGCATGCCCTGGCTGGCTGGGCACAGGCTGGTGAGCATAAACCAGTCAGATCTGATGGAATGTTCCATGCATCTGCTTTCGCTGGTACATAAATCTGCATGCCTGTTTTGCGTGTTCTTAGATATCTGACCTCCATCTTGGTGTGTCCCTCTACCCAGCAATGGCATTTGTCAGCTTCTGGTGGCAAATGGGATTTTGGTTGGGCTGTGAGGTTGGGTTTCTGGTGTGAATTTCTGGGGTGGGTTGCAGGTGCTGAAACCAGGGCCAGAGCCTGGTTATAGGTGGGGTGTGGCTGCTTGTTCTGTTTCCTGTGGGAGCTTGCCTGGCAGTCGGCCTGATGTGGGCCTGTTCATCTGAACAGGAAGGGGCAGGTTCTGGAAAGGGGTGGATGGTGCAGGGCTGGGGAGCAGACCCAGGTGCTGGGGTGAGGTTGGGTGACAGCAGTGGGCTGCAGGGAGAGCCAGATGAGAGCAAGCCTTAGTTTCAGTCCCCGAGGAAGAAGCTCAAGGCCACTTACCCAAACTGAGATGTAGGTTAGGGGAACCCAAGGCTCTGGCCAAGGTAGTAGATGTCCTAGTGTTCAGGATGGGCAGCAGAGTGAGTAGAGAAAAAGGGGAATCAAGATGTGAGCCCTTGGCAATGGTGGGCCCAGGAGACCCAAGGAGGGTTCAGTGTGCCCAGTCCGTGGAGTGAGCAGGGGACAAAGACAGGGGCCAGGGGCGAGGTCTCTGGCCTGCCTCTTCCACAAATTACTGTACAGAGAGAAACAAGTGCACTAAGTTGTAGATACAGAGATGCTTCTTGTGGCCTTCGTTTTAGTAGGATAAAATTGGAAGCAACCAATAAAAATGTGCATTGGTAGGATGTCAGCTTTATTTATAATGTGTTCTGTGCAGCAGAAAACTGAAGCAGCTGAGAATGAGCTAGGCCTACGTGAATGGGTATGGGAAACATTGCAAAGGTGCATGCTGAGTGAAGAAAGCAAAGTGCAGGGCACTGTCCAGTCTGCACCCATTTGAAGAAAATTAAATTCACTAATGATGCTTCTATATTGTATCAATTAGGATGGGTTCTTCTATAAGTAACTGAAAACCTGACCAGCACTGGTTAAAACATTGAGCTTTATTTTTCTCATGGAACACCATGTATGGAGGTTAGCAGCCGGGGGTATGTGTTCATCCACTGAACAATGTCTTTAGAGATCTGGGTTCTTTCTCTTCTGCTGTGCCTTCATAAAATGTGTTGGCTTTTTATCCCGACACTCTTTACCCCATGGTCCCAAGATGGCTGCTGCAGCTCCAAATATCACACCCAAGCATGAGAAAAGAGGAAGGGGCTGGCCAATGCCAGGCACATTGTTTTTTCTTTTTAAATCTGGAAAGTAAGAGCTTCCTGGATGCCACCTGGCCCCTTGTCTCCCTGCCACAGGCTAACTCACCTGTGCATCTCATTGCCAGGATAGGGTCACGTACCCATCTCCTGCTGCAAGGAAGGCTGAAAAAGCAAAGATCTGGCTTTCTAAACATAATAGCAAGGAGGGAGAGTCTGAAAAATCTGTTAAATTAGCAGCTGTTGGTCCTGTGCATGTAATGGCCCCTCCTGTGCATGTGATGACTTGTTGGGAAGGGAACCTATAGGACTCTTGAAAGTGATTACCTCTGGGGCGTAGGGTATTGGATCTGACAACAGAACGTGGCTTCCTGTTTAATTATATATCTTTTTGTGCTCCGGCTTTTTTTTTTTAATCATGTATATATGACTTTCAATGAAAAAATTTATTTAAAAGTCTACTAAAGCATAATGAAATGAAAGCTGTGAAATATGCCAGACTGAGAGTTGATTCAGGAGACAGTGTCTAGGGCAAGCCCTGAGCTTCCTGTTTGCAGAGAGCAAGGCCACCTGTGGGGCTCCCCTGGCCCAGTCCATGGGCACATGGGCTGCAAGCCTGGGCAGTCTGGGCTGATGATGGGGTGGGGGAGGGAGACCCCGTCTCTGCTCCCTGGGTTTGCCCTAGAGTCTGGGCTAGGGCTGAGGGTAGGGGTGGGGCTTGCAGGGGCCCAGGGCCAGCCAGTCATAGGGAGAGGAGGATGTGGGGGAGGGAGCTGGGAAAAGCCTAGTTCCCCCATTTTGCAAGCACGTTCTTAGTGTTTGTGATTTTCTTGCTGCCTCATCTTTCAGAGGTTGACACTAACTCCTCAGGAAAATCCCTGCCTCTTCTACTATCGAGACTGATGTATGTTTCTGATTCTGCTAACCAACTGGACACGTGTTTTTGATGATACAACATGAAGCAGAAATGGGAAGATGATCTGAAATTACTTCTTAAATCAGATGACTGGGATGAATTCGGAAGAGAGCCAAGGAACATGGGATTTTGCTTTTCCTAAGAGTGATCTCACTTATGGTGGTTGAGGGGGTGATCTGTACCCCTGCACATGTGGATGGAGTCTAAAGAGGAGCAGAGGACAATTGTCCCAGCTAATACCACCCCAAGTCTTTCTCCATTAGTGAGTGACCTGTAATGACCCTGCAGGAGGGGACATGTCGTGGCTGGACTCAAAGCTGTGTTCTGCTGACCAGGCATGGAAGACCCTGGCCTTGCCCTGGTTTTAAAATAGAGCTATAAGAGTTTACAAAGGGAGAATGATACTCCAGCTTTTTATCAGTCTACAGGGGGTTCTGTCCACTCAAAGTCTTGGATGGGGCATACTTTAGTGTGAGCCTCTAAAATTTTCCTTATAGGGGATCAAACTGTATCAGTGTATATTTTATTTGTCTTGTGTGCGTAAGAGAAAGCCCAGCATAGTGTAAGTTCAGATGCTTCTTAATAGAAAGGCCCAAGGAAGGTGGAGCTTCAGTATTTTACTGACAATGTATTGGAGATGATTGTAGGGTCCAGGAAGGACTTTACAGAGACTCATAGATTTTTCGGGCAGCCATTCCTTAAATTCACAAAGCATGAAAATTGCCTAGATCTGGGAACCTAAGAATAGATGTATTAGACCTCTTTGCAGGAAACAGAAACCACTCTAGGTGTGTTAAACAGAAAAGGCTTTAATACAGGGAATGGAAGACCTAAAGAAACAGGCTTTAAACTGGGCTTCTGGAATCATTCCTGTAAGAATATAGAACTGGACATTGGGAGAGCTGTAACCTCTGAGGCTGCTCCTAGGGCTGACCTGAAAGCAAGAAGCTGCTGCTGCGTCTGCTTCTGATGGAAAAGGAGCACTCAAAACTGCCATCTGGGGATTAGGAAGCCAGACCAAGACACCCAGGAACTGGAGGATGGACCCTGGGCTGTCATTGCTGGAAAGCCCTATGTCTCTGTGCCTACGCTGTGGCAGCAGCGGTCAGGTACTGCAGGAAGAGGGCACCCACCTCACTACTGCCTTTTAAAGGTATCTGTTTGGTGCAGGCTAACTTTTATCCAGACCCCTGGATGCACGGAAGCTTTGAAAATGCCTTCTAACTCTTCCATCTGACAGAGGAGAGGGCAAATGGGCCTTTCCAGAGAGCCCAGCAGAGGAGGTGACACCAACAGGTGCTGGATGGCTAAAGTCAATTTGTGCAAAATTAATTCTTCAAGAAATGTTTGAGTCAGAAACACATCACACTTCGGGTGGGTAAATTGTGGAAAGCAGCCATTTCTCCCAGTTTCAACGTGTGACACTAGCTCCTTCTGTTTCAGCTCTATGGTACTTTGGTTTGCGGCCTAGAACAAGCCTCAGTTGCCACAGTTGTGAAAGGAGACGTGACAAGCTTGAAGGGGTGATTTCTCTTTTAGCTCACAGTTTGGTCTTGAGCTGGGCATGTCTTATAAGCACTTCTGTGAAAAGCAATTCTTTGTTCTTGGGTTTGCCAAATTTTAGGCACACTTCACTGGGTGATTTTCTAAGAGCTCGTGGAGATCAAAGTGAATTAGGAGGAAGAAAAACTTGTGGAAAGGTTGGGGAAGCACTAGAACAGTGGGCTATTGCACAAACAGCAGTGTCTGGTATGAGGCTGGCATCATAGTTTCCAGGCTCTGTTCTGTTTGCTATCTCCAGCAAGCCTCCTTTTGCAGATGAGAAAACTGAGGTCGGGCAGCTTTGTGACTTTGGGGATGATGTTTTAGAGACCCCATGACAATGGTAGGGCTGGGATACAGACGCATGTGTCCCAGTGCTCTGGCCCCATGACGTGTGAACTCCACCCACCATCATAAAGGGCACTGTCTATTTGGAAGTCCCCCGGTCCCTAGCTGGGCTCCTGGGATGAAGAGGAGGATAGGGAGGGACATGGCGGGTGTAAGCTAGGGTCCTGTTCTGCCTGCTACCCTGGGCTGCAGGGAAATGCTGGTAAATGTTTAACAACTGACACCCTTCCCCACCAAAAATAAAAAGCCCCAAGTTATAGCATTTTCCCACGTCTGTGGTGTTAATTCTCTCCCATCCCGATTCTGAACTACCAATGAGAGACTGATAAGTGCACATCTGGAAAGAGATGCTCCCACTCAGCAATAATGATGCTGTGGGGTGGGCACCCTGATGTTGGTGTTCTGCTACTACACCTGTTGGCCAAACCCCCCAATGTTTGTGAGAGAGCTAGGGCAGAGTGGCTGATGGCTGGAGGATTACGGAGACTAAGGGGACACAGGCTGCTTGGTGAGGGGGCTGCCCCGAAGGCAGTGATGTCACTCTGAGGCAGGAGAGGGCTGAGGCTGCATGTGCTGACCGGTCCCCCGAGGAAGGGCTTTAGAGGCTATCCTGGCAAGGAGCGCTAACGACCTCCCACCCATTGCCAGGGACCTCAGTGACCTGTCCATTGTCACACAGCTAGCAGCCGCCGCATTCTGAGCCTCCAGGTTCCGAGCTTGTGAACCAGCTCTCGTTCGCTCAGAGGCCTCAAGGGCGGGATGCCTGGCAGCTCCCTTCCTACCATGGGCCAGAGGCGGAGAAACAGGTGCTGACTGGAGCTGGGAAATGACTCCTCCCTCGGCCCGGATGGAGTGCTTCCCACTCCCGCACCCCACTGGAATCCCACCCCCCTCCCTGAGACCCAGGAAGTTGCTGGAAGAAAGGAGGAGAGGACAGGATGTCCAGGCAGGTGCAGGGATGTCAGGGGATGCCCCTGGAGTGTTGCAATAGCCTCCTGGGAGTACTTTCTAAAAGCATGGCTGAGCCAGGCCGGCATGGGCTTGTGGGAGTAGGTGATTCCGGGTCTCCTGCCTCCAGGGCCTGTCATGAGGACTCCACAGAAAGTGACTCCACAACAGTGGGACTCAATGAGCACCTTTGGGAACTTATCCCCACCTCACCTTTAACATTAAAAAAAAAAATCACATCAAAACAGAGTGGCAAACTGGTAAAAAGTACAGATACTGGAGCCCCACTGCCTGCACCCAGGCTGCAGGAATTTCTAGCAGTGTGATACTCAGGACACTAGGCAACTTGCTTCTCTCCCCCACCTCAGTTTCCCCATCTGTAAGATGCTGATGATGGCGGCTGACAGTGCCCATCTTGTAAGGTTGCCACGAGGATCAAATAATTTTATATATATATATATATATATATATTTTTTTTTTTAGACCGAGTCTTGCTCTGTCACCCAGGCTGGAGTACTGGGGCATGATCTCAGCTCACTGCAACCTCCACTTCCCAGGTTCAGGTGATCCTCCTGCCTCAGCTCCCCCAAATAGCTGGGATTACAGGCATGTGCCACCACACACAGCTAATTTTTGTATTTTTGTAGAGATGGGGTTTCACCCTGTTGCCCAGGCTGGTCTCGAACTCCTGAGCTCAAGTGATCCACCTGCCTCGGCCTCCCAAGTGCTAGGATTATAGGACTGAGCTACCGCGCCTTGCGATTATAGATACTCTTAATCACACATGCTGGGAACAGTCCCTAGCAGGTGTGGAAATCAATAAATATAAGCTACTAGAGTATTATCTGTATTAAAGTGGGTGGTCTCTGAATACGGGTGCTCCTTCAAGCCTTTTGCGGGGTGGCTTGTTTGGAGGGAGGCTTTACTTGCCGTTCTGCCTCCCAGCCAAGCTGCTCCGTGTTGGACCTGTGCAGGCAACGAGGGGCTGAAATGGTGCTTAATGGCAGCATGGCGTGTCCTTTACTCCAGGCTGTACGCGGGCAGCTCCGAGATCTCCATTTCTGAGCCTCTTGCTCCACTGTAGACTTGGGAACTACTGCTTCTGCTCCCCCAGGTGCATCACCGTCTACGGGAGGAGGATGCTGAGGGGCAGTAGGACTTGGACCTGCCTTGGTGTGACTGGCCTTGGAATTCCAGATGTGCCACTTCCAAGCTCTGTGACACAGAGCAGGTTACTTCACCTCTCTGAGCCTTGGTCGTTATTGTTGATTGCTCAATGAGCATTTATTGAGCACCTCCTTTGTGTGGAGTTCTATTTTAGGTGTGAGAATTAATAGATTCACATAGCCACTAGTCACTGTTACTTAGACATGGCTCTGGGCCTGAGAGAACGTGAAATCTATTAGGGAAAAGATCACTAAATTGATGATGGTCAAGCGTGCACAAGAGTGGGAAAAGGTCCTGGAAGGCTCTCCAAAGGACGGGCTGCATTTCAGGGAGAGATGGGAAGCAGCCTGCGGGATCGGGGTACCCTGGAAGGGTGTGTGAGGGGTGGAGGGTGAAGGTGAGGAGGCAGGTGGCACAGCTGTAAAAATGACACAGTGTGAATGCGTGGGGCTCAGGGCAGGCACGCCAGCTCCCAAAGTGTAGGGCCATGCACTATGTTATGTGGTTTAAGCAGATAACTCATTTCATCCTCATAAATCCTCTGAACTAGTCACAGTATTTGTAACTCAATGTTACAAATTACAAGTAATGATAAACCACAGCCTGCCCGAAGGTCACAGAGCCAGGACATGCAGCATGGGCAGTAGGTGGGCTCCACTCTGAGCCCTAGGCTTCACCACAAGGCTCTGCTGCCTCCTACTGTGTCTTCCTTTCTTCCTGCCATGTTGGAGGAACTCAACTGGGAACCACTAGCCGCAGTCCTGAATGGGCCCTTTCTTCCCATGAGGACACCTGGCTGGAGGTTGGGGCCCAGAGGAAGTGGAGCGACAGCAGGTGTAGAATGGTTTCTGTTTGCTTCTCAGTTCTGAAGTGTTTCCTCTGATAACATTCACAGACAGCAGCTCTGCTGGACAGTTACTGCCCACCTGGAGGGCTTGAGGTGCTCTGTGTGGGGAGGTGGAGGAGGGGAAGGGGAGGAGGAGGAGGAGGGGAAAGGGAGGAGCAGGAGGAAGAGGAGGGGGAGAAGGAGGAAGACCTTGAGGAGGAGGAAGATAGGGAAGAGGAAGGGAGGAAGGAGAGGGAGGAGGGGGAGGAGGGGGAGGAGGGTGGATAAAGAGGAGCAGGAGGCAGCCATGCCCAGTGCCTGAGCAGGACCTGAGTGTGCTGTTCCTGAAGGTATTAGGAACCTCGAGCTTTCTACACCCCAGCTTCCTTTGGGTTGAGGTGTTCCTGAGACATTCACAGTGTCAAGGGCAGCCCTCCTTCGTGACGCAGGGGACGAGATACCATCGGAACAGGAGTATATTTAGAAGACAGGAAACCAGCCCTCCAGCTTGCCCTTGATTTTACAGCCAGCGTTTTAGCCTTGTGAGCACCCCCGGAATTGACTGAGGCTGCAGGGCACTGTGAGAGGCCCTGCAGCCACCCATGTGGCCTCTTCCCCTTTTCTCCTCTCTGCCTCTTGGCCTCTCTGCTGTCTCTCTTTCTGTTTCTATGCTGTGCTGGCTTTGCTGGGGTTGTCCCAAAGTGATGGGGGAGAAATGACATTTTACTTGGAACTGAGTCATTTTGCTGGATTTTTTCAGCTGCGTTCCTGATTAGTAAACCTGTTTCAAGAATGGGAAAATGCACGGGGCTATTTTTAAGTGTTCTCAGCACCAGTGTCCCTAATTCCTAGAACAGACATCAATTGCTTTTCTAGTCTCAAATGCAGATAAACATGCGGCAGCGACATGACCTTTAGCAAAGTAGACTTGCCTACCAACAGTTTGCTCATCTGTAAAATGGGGCTCACACACCCTACCTCATGGGCAGAGGAAGAAATGAGACAATGAGCACCTGACCCCCCACACAGTGCATATTGCCTATGGGTGTTTAATGTGCTGAAGGTTCCTCTGGTGGTTTTTTTCTGGATGAAACTGTGCCAAGACCAGCCCCAGGGGAACTGGTGAATCCCCTGGTGTGCTAAATACAGGTGTGTTTCTTAGTTTAAAATCCGCCTTTGGTCGGCTACTGGAGGAATCATACTGAAACTTGTACTTAAATCATCAGCTGGGAGAAAAGTTGGTAACTCCTGCTCAGTAAATAAACATTTGCCAAGCCCTCCCGTGCTAGCTCTGCACAGACAGATGGAGAGGGAAAGGGAGGTCACACAGCTCTGCCTGAGAGCCTCCATGAAGGGAAGGAGGTGAGCACAGAAATGAGGACCAGGCAGTGAGAATTGTGGGATGGGGATGGGGTGCCTGGCTCTACTAGGGGAGTTTGGAAATGGCTTATCTGCAGGTCTCATTATCCATGGTTGAAAGCTAGAGGACACTCCAAAATGCAGCAGTAGTGGAAAGACTGGGGCACCATACGCTGTGAGGAATACGTGACCTTCCAAGAATGAAACACATTTATGTGGCTAATTTAAATGACAGCCGTGATCAATTTAGTGTCTGTTGAGTGCTAGACATCGTGCCCAGTGGTTTGCATGTACCTCCTCATGGGATCTTCACAGCAGCTCTGTGGGGCTGGTACTGTCCTCATCTCCAGATTACAGATGGGGCCAAGATACTTGCTCAAGGTTGGACAGTTAAGAGACAGCAGAGTGGGGTTTGAATGAGATCTGTGTGACTTGAAGTTGGCTCTGCCTGTGCTGGCACCTGGCTTCCCTGCTCAGAGGATGGGCTCACCCTTCTCCCCTGGCCCATGCCAGCAGTGAGGGAGGCATCCTAGGTTCCCTGGTCTCTCTTGCTACCATGTCCAAGCAATGTTGAGTCCGAGCTATCCCGCCTCCCTCAGCGCCATCCTAATTCTGCTTCTCATCCCCTCCCCGCTGCCCCACATGGGTCCCGCCTCACCCTCTGTCTCCTGGCCTCCTGCAGGAGCAACCTAGGTGGTCTCCTTCTGGCTGTTCCTCCTCAAACCCATGCCTTCGTGGCTGTCAGTGAGCCCTATAAAATGCAGTGGCACGTCCCTCTCCAGGGTACCCACCTTCAGGACCTCCCTACTCCCACACTCTTGGGACATGTCTGTCTCCACCTCAGCATCCCCAGTGGGCCCTGCCTGCCCCTCCAGCCTCCTCTGGAAGGATCCCGGCCCCCTGCTTCGTGCCCAGGACCGTGAAGCTGTTCAGGGTCTTGCTCAGGCCAGGCCAGCTCCCCTCTTCATGCTGTCCCCACCTCCAGCTCCTTCCTTTCCCTTTGCCTGGTGGCTCCTGCTGTGAGACTCAGCCCTGGCACATTTCTTCCAAGAAGCCCTTCCAGACGCTCTCCTCCCAAACTTCCCGTGAAACTCTATGGGTATCCCGGTTCCACTGGGTCTTTCTCATGACACGGGAGTCTCTTTCCATCTTTTTTCATCTCTGTGCCCTCGCACATCTCACACTTGACACCTGACATTGGAATGCACAAACAAGACAGATTCACATCAAATCTGGATTCGACAGCTGACCAGCCAGGCTTTGTCCCTCATTCTTTCTTTTTTCTTTCTGAGGCAGAGTCTCACTCTGTCGCCCAGGCTGGAGTGCAGTGGTGCAATCTCGGCTCAATGCAACTTCCATCTCTGGAGTTAAATGATTCTCCTGCCTCAACCTCCCGAGTAGCTGGGATTTCAGGCATGTGCCACTACACCTGGCCATTTTTTGTATTTTTAGTAGAGACAGGGTTTCACCATGTTGGCCAGGCTGGTCTCCAACTCCTGACCTCAGGTGATCTGACCACCTCGGCCTCCCAGAGTGCTGGGATTACAGGCATGAGCCACCATGCCCGGCTTGTCCCCCATTCTATTTGTGCCTTGGTTTTCACCACGGGGAATGGGAACAGCAATGCCTGCCTCCTGGTGTGGTTGTGAGTCACTGAGAAGATGATGTGAGTAGTGTCTGCAGTGCCTGGTGCTGTGCTGGACTCCTTGAATGGGGTCTGTATTGTCAGGGGCACAGCAGCAGCAGGGCAAGGGCAGGGAGGGTGGAGGCTCGGCACTTTCAGAAAACCTACCTCAACCATGCATACTCGGGCCGGCAGTGTCTTTGCCTCTTGGCTTTGTAATGTTGACAGTGACACAAACCACATTGCTGTGTTGTGGACTGAATGTGCATCTCTCCTTGTACCCCTTAATCCCTATGTTGAACCCTAACACTCAGTGTGGTTGTGTTTGGAGATGAGACCCGTAAGGGAGGAACTGAGCTTAGATGAAGCCATAGGGTGGGGCCCTGATCCAATAGGATTCACATTCTTGTAAGAAGAGACACCAGAAAGCTCCCTCTCCCTCCATGCATGCACACCAAGGAAAGGCCCTGCCAGAACTGCAGGAAGGCAGCTGCCTGCAAGCCAGGAGGAGCACCCTCACTAGAAATGGAATCAGCCAGAACCTTGATCTTGGACCTCCAGCCTCCAGAACTGTGAGAAAATAAACCTCTTGCTTCAGCCACCCAGTCTGTGGTATTTTGTGATGGCAGCCCCATAGACCAATACATGCAGATAAGCAGCTGGGACACAACTATCACTTTTTACACCTGGGGAGCTGTGACTTCAGTGTTGGGTGCAGATCTCTCTAAGTACCATGTGGCTTGGAGTTACCATGGACAACTCTGTGTGAGTCCTTCCTGACTGTGACTCACCAAGGCAGAGAGTGGTGATTCTGCTGTGGTCATTTCTAATTGCTCCCAATTGGCTATCCTGAGATAGACAAACTAAAAATAATTCCTCTGTGGGTGAAGGCTGCTGAAGGGACAAGAATGCTGCCCTATTGCTGGTCATCACACTCTCATGAGTGGGACTCTCCTGGGATATACCTGAAGAACAAGGCTTTCTCACTACCTTTGGTAACCATCTTCAGTATTTCTGCCAAGTGGTAAGAAGCCACAGGGGCCTGTTGCTTCTGTAGCAGCTACTTCTGGTGTGGAAAGCCTCAGAGCCCAGCATGTCTCCCACCCCAACTGTGGCCACCCGCTTCTCAGACTGAGACCAGGAGACACCAAGAGTGAACACTTCATTCCTGCTGCAGCCACCAGAGACTTCTGGGGGCATCTTTTGAGCAAAGGGGGCAGATTAGGTGCAGACATCCAGGCAAGAGGGGTGCTTTGGAAGTTCACACTCATACCTGTGAGTGCAGCCTTTGAGACTGGCCTGGCAGAGAAGGGGCCCAGGGGAAAAGGAGGTGGGGGAACCAACTGAGCTAGAACACCGACTAGGTGCTGGTCACCCTGGCTAGAGGCTTTTTGGACTTTAGCTCATTGGTTCCACACAAACCCCATTCTTGTGAGGGATGTGTGCTCATTATACAGAGGGGGAAGTGAAGGTTTAGGGAGTTCTTTAACCATATGTATTTCAGGGCCATGATTGCAGCCTGAAAGAGCTGGCAGGGACCTTAGATGTCTTCTGGTCTTGCCCACCTGTCTGACAGAAGGGGAGGCCAGCCTAAAGTCAGAGGTCACGGCAGAGGTGGGAACAGGATCTGGCTGTGCCTGTGGGTCACTCCTTTTTCTAGCAAATTCCATGTCATTTCTTCAGCTTTGATATGAGACAAGCTAACACTGGGTGAAGGCTATAGGAATTAGTTTCCTTGATCAGGCAGGAAGGAGCTAGCAATCCATTCTGGAAAAAGAAACTCTGACACCTGGCATGGTCTGTAGCCCAGGGGTTCTCATACTGGGCCCTGGAGCAGAGCAGGACAGCCCAGGCCAGCCACTCTCTGCATGGAGTTCAGTGCCTGCAGTTCCTGGGCAGTGCCTGCTTGTTCCTGGAAGCCCCAGTGTGGGTTCTGTCTCCCCACAGCTGCAGGGGGCAGGGATGCCCAGACTTGCCCTTTTAGCTCCCCTCCCTTTTTCACCCTGGAAGAAGTCCATTCACCACATCCCTGCCTTGAGACAGGTAGGCACCCACTGGGCCTGCTTGGCTCACCTGTGAGCTACTGGATGGCTGGGAAGACCAATCCTAGTCCTACGGGGGTTTCTGTCTTCCAAAGAACCACATTGAGTTTTCATGGTTTTGATTTAGAAGCTGAAATGAGATTTCAGGGCTGGTTTGGTTTGGGTTCCCCTGGGAGCAGACATGGAGACAAGGATTTTAGTGGGGGTTTTGGTTTGGGAGGCAACCCCAGGTGGAAACACTGGTGTGAAGTGAGGCAGGGAAGGAGTGTGTGCTTCTGAGGCTGCTGTGACAAAGCCGCCAGCTGGATGGCTTCCAACAGGGGAATGTTCTGGCCTATGGTCCTGGAGGGGAGCTGTCAGCAGGGCCTCCTGACAGAGAGCTGTCAGCAGGGCCTCGTCCTCTGAAGGCTCTGGGGAAGGCTGTGTTCTGTCCCCTCTCCTGGCTTCTGGTGCCCTCAGGCATTCCTTGGCTTATAGAAGCCTCCCTCCCATCTTTCATGTCCACATGACATCTCCCTACACTGCCTTCCCTCTGTGTGTTTGTCTCCGGATTCAAATTTCCCTCTTATAAGGACACAGGTCATATTGGATCAGGGCCTACCCTATGGCCTCATCTTCACTTAGTGATATGGTTTGGCTGTGTCCCCACGCAAATCTCATCTTGAATTCCCATGTGTTGTGGGAGGGACCCAGTGGGAGGTAATTGAATTATGGGGGCAGGTCTTTCCCATGCTGTTCTCATGATAGTGAATAAGTCTTGTGAGATCTGATGGTTTTATAAGGGGGAGTTTCCCTGCACAAGCTCTCTCTTTGCCTGCTGCCTTCCATGTAAGATGTGACTTGCTCCTCCTTGCCTTCCGCCATGATTGGGAGGCTTCCCCAGCCACGTGGAACTATAAGTCCAATAAACCTCTTTCTTTTGTAAATTGCCCAGTCTTGGGCATGTCTTTATCAGCAGCATGAGAACAGACTAATACATTCGGTTACCTCTGTAAAGACCCTGTTTCCAAATGAGATCATCTTCTGAGGTACCACTAATATACTCCAATGTACCACTTTGGGGGGGACACAGCACCCCAATGTACCACTTTGGGGTGGGACACAGTTCACCCCATAATAGAAGGGAAGGAAGCTAATAAAGGGTGTGTTGTCTCAGCTTGGGTGGCTCAGTCCCATGGGGACTTCTGGAAAACAGTGTGGACCACACCCCAGTTACCCAACTGAGGGCAAGGAAGCTGTGGTATAGAGGGACTCCAGTGCCCTATTCGCCCTGTATGTCCCCAGCCAGGCACATGCTTCAGCCCTCAGCCCTCAGTGTGAAGGACAGGGAACCTCTGCTCTAGAAGCCCACATGAGGCTCATGGTGGCAGTGCTCATGATAGATAAAGTGGAATTGACCTCACCGTGGCATGTTCAGTGTACTGAAAAGAAAATACTTTTAAAAGCACCTGAGCAGATTTACTGCTGCTCTGCAATATAATTCAATGTGTTGCCTTACATGAATTCACATTATGTGTGAAATATAATACACAATCAGCTATATTATATATGGTATAATTCTTGATTAATTTCCAGCCCTACAGCTTTCTTACCAGATGGGCAGGGTTGAACTCAAATTAGTCGGTGTAGCTTCTGGTTAGCATTTCTCTTAAGTTCAGAAAGGGAGATGTCTGAACTACAGTTGTCCGAAGGAGTCCTAGGTGAGTCTTGATCTTGGGGGAATCAGCATCTGGCTGGGTTGCAATGACTGAGAAGGTCTTGACACCACAGCCTGAGATCCAGCAGAGGTGCTGAGCTTGAGAGGCCTTGCAGAAATGGCTGCCTGTGCCTTCCGTGCAGCTTGGGGTTTTGTGTGTTGTGTGTTTTCTTGTAAAGTGAGGAAAATCAAGTTTCTTTGTTAGGAAGATAACCCAGCACAGAAAGCCCTCTGCCAGGTTCACAAGGAGGCTCAGGGAGCAGTGGCGGCTCTTGGCAGAGGAGAGCAGCTTGGGGGCTTTGATGCATGGGGGACTGTGGGCCATGGGCAGGGTGGGACTTTGGGGACCCGCCAGAAGTTCCAAGATGCACCCAGACCCCTGGGACTTCCATTAGCCAAGGACCCCTGTGCACCTGTCCCTGCTGCCCAGAGCTTTCCACATCAGTTCTGTGCATCTGGTGGTGGGGGTTGTGGGGTGGCATGGCGAGGAATGGGCACTTCCCTGTCTGGCCCAGCCTCTGGCTTCTGGCTTCCTTCTGGCTCATTTGGTGGCTGGTGAAGGTCTGGCTGGTAGGAGCAGTGGACGAGCACTTAGCGTGCTTGGAGGCCACCCCGGGGTTCCTGGGTGTGTGGAACGAAGCTAAGCTCCCAATTTGCAGGGGCAGGGAGTATGGGACCCAGGAGAGGGCCAGATATGGGAGTTTGACACGCGGAACCCCAGCTGGGGCTGCGTGGCCTCAGACGCATTGTGTTCGGCCAGTCTTGCCATACTATAAAGAAATACCCAAGGCTGGGTAATTTGTACAGAAAAGGGGTTTAATTGGCTCCCAGTTCTGCAGACTGTACAGGAAGTGAGGTGCTGACATCTGGTCAGCTTCTGGGGAGGCTTCAGGGAGCTTCCAATCATGGTGGAAGGCAAAGGGGGAGCCGAGGTATCACATGGGGAGAGTGTGAGCAAGAGAGAGAGCGGGGAGGTGCCACACACTTTCAAACAACCAGATCTCAGAGAACTCACTCACTATTTCGAGGACAGCACCAAGCCCTGAGGGATCCACCCCCCGTGACCCAAACACCTCCCACCAGGCCCGCCTCCAACGCTAAGGTTTACATTTCAACATGAGATTTGGGCGGGGACAAATATCCAAGCCATTTCACCTGTTATTTAACCCACGAGAGCCTCCATTTTTTCTTCTCTCCAATGGGGCTAATAATGTCGACCTCACAGAAGTGCAGGGAGGAAAGAATTGCGTGAAATATTTACATAAAGGGCATAGCACTGTGCCTGGGACACAGAAGGTATTTGATAAACAGAAACTCTGATTACTAATAACATGCAGTGGTTTGGGATAGCAGATTTGGCTTCCTTAAGAGAGCTGTCTTGGAGGCATTTTTACATCCTACAATACGGTGCTAAAGAGACAACTAAATTCCTGTTTACATGTCAACCTAAACCTTCTTATTCTAACTGTGCCACCACCTTAAAAGACATATATTTATGCTTTCGGCTCTAGCTGTTCACATGTGTGAAAGCGGTGCGGCACTTGCGGAGTGATTATGCTCATGTACATTAGGAATTGAACAATCACGCTGACTGCACTAACCCTCTATTTGAACTACATTGTGCAAATAAGATGTTATCTTAAATAAGCTCCTAATATAACTCAGTAATTACTATAATGCTTTTGGGTGAAATTGTGGTGGTATTACTGAATTTAGCCATTGAGTCTCAAATACGGAACCTTTGAGCAGACACCAGCAGTGCCCAAATGCTGAGTCCCTGGCCTGGGGGAGCTGAACGTGGCTGTTCTTGCAGGTTGAGGAGGGTGGGGGAGGGCTGGCATAGTGCGGGAGGTCCCAGTGAATAAGGGCGAAGAACGATGGCACCTGCTGGAGGTGGCCTCCACCTGATGAGAAGCCTCATCAATGGAGCAGAAGACCTATAGAGGCTGTGCGCCTGTACGTTCTGGTGATAGCAGAGAACCAGGCTTTGAGGGTAACTGAAGGACCAGTTATCCAAGTAGTGAGAAGGCAAACACAAACCGCAAATTCAGTGTCTTGGCTCCAAAATTTTATCGCAGTTCTTATAAAGGTCATGGCATTGGGCTTTATGTAGGGGAAGAAGAAAAGTTGTATCTGTTTGCTCTGGAAAAAGCCCTGGGTCTGGAGTTTGAAGACCTAGGTGAAGGGTAGCGAAGGCAGGCCCCTTTACCTCTCTAGGTCAGAGTATTAAGCAAGTTGATGCATTACCCAGAGAACACTTACTGATCACCTATTAAATATTGAGCACCGTGAAGCACTTTCTAAACTACAAGGCACTTTGCCCATTTCAGGTAGTTTTTGAATATCTGCCACAGCTGGGGTGGAGACGGCTCGCACATGTAGTCGGCTTGTCAGGACATGTGGAGGAAACTAATGTATATTTTAAATGCTCACCATGTGCCAGACCCTGTTCCCAGAGTTTTGCATAAATATTTGGAGGAACTTTCAACGCTCTGTGATGCTCATTTACATAAGGAGCTGAACAATTGCAGTCTGATGAACAATCACAGCGTGATCTTCATTTATCAAGTGAAGACACAAATGCTTGGAGCAGCTACGGTGCCTGCCCCTGATCACCCAGTTAAGATGCAGAGGAGCCTGAGACCTCAGATCCACCTCTCTATGAGGCTACATCCTTTTTCCCTCTCCCTGCTGCCTCAGAGAATGGCAAACATTTGCCTTCTTCTCTCTGATTTTGTAGGTGAGCAACAAGGAATACCGAGAGGAGGTTTCCACACCATGAACAAACATGGCACCAGGATCTGGAAGCTCCGGGCTTCTCCGTCTTCTAGAATTCTGGGAGCCTCACATGGCCCCCTCCTTGGCGAGTGTATTAGGCTGTACTTGTATTTCTGAAATACAAATAAATACCTGAGACTGGGCAATTTATAAAGAAAAGAGGGTTAACTGGCTCACAGTTCTGCAGGCTGTACAGGAAGCATGATGCTGGCATCTGCTTGGCTTCTGGAGAGCTCTCAGGAAGCTTCCAATTGTGGAGGAAGGTGAAGCGGAAGCAGGCATCTCACATGGCCAGAACAGGAGCAAGAGCGTGACGAGGGAGGGGCTACACACTTTTAAATGACCAGATCTTGCAAGAACTCACTCACTATGGTGAGGATCGTACTAAGGGGGGTGCTGCTGAAATGTTCATGAGAAATCTGCTGGCATGATCCAGTGCCCTCCCCCCAGGCCCCACCTCCAACAATGGGGATTCCATTTCAACCAGAGATTTGGGCAGGGACACACATCCGAACCATGTTAGGGAGCGACCCACACAGAGAGGACAGGGAAAGCTGGCTGCTGGGCCTATTCAGGAGTATATCTGTCACATGGGGGGGTCTGCAGTCTGGAACCCTCTAGAAGAGTCACAGCATTTTCTCTCACACACACATAGAAACCCAAAGAGGCCAGCTGAGTCTGGTGTGGATTATCTATGATTTAATTTTAATTATTGTTGTAAAATTAAACTTCCAGAGATGTGTAAAGTGTATTCTCAGCAAGTTTCCACACTGCCTGGGAGTGCTGTTGACACTTTTGTTTGACTGGATGCGCCTTCCCTCCCTGTCCTCACCCCGAGGTGCAGGCTCATGCAGACTCTATTCAGACTACAAGTTTTAGGAATGTAGGATTAACCTTCCCATTCTGTGGACAAGGACATTCAGGCCTCGGGAGCTTTAAGGGAGTGGTCAGAGGCCTCCCAGCTGGTAAGTGAGCTTTTCATTTTTAAATCCAACACTCTTCAGCAACAGAGCACATAGAAACTTCATTCAGGGTGGACTAGGACTGCAGGGCTGCTGGGGGACACAGCATGGCTGGAGCGATGCGGGATCGGGGGTGGGCACAGCGATGCGGGAGAGGCAGAGGCGTGGGGATCGGGGGTGGGCACTCCATTCTGGCCTGTGTCACCAATTTACTCTGAAATCTGTAAAGTGGCAGTTTGGATGTTACAAGCTGAGCTGTGTCCCTTCAAACCACATGAGAAGTCTTAACTTTCAGTACCTGGAAACCATCATTCTCAGCAAACTATTGCAAGCACAGAAAACCAAACACCGCATGTTCTCACTCATAGGTGGGAATTGAACAATGAGAACACATGGACACAGGAAGGGGAACATCACACACCGGGGCCTGTCATGGGGTGGGGGGAGGGGGGAGGGATAGCATTAGGAGATATACCTAATGTAAATGCCGAGTTAATGTATACATATGTAATAAACCTGCACGTTGTGCACATGCACCCTAGAACTTAAAGTATGATAAAAAATATGATACATGTATATGATAGAAGATTATTAAGCCATTAAAATTGTGTTTTGACATGTAGCGAATAGAATGTTAATATATTTTATTTTACATTAATAAAAATAAGTAATGTATGCCGATTAAAAAAAAAGAGGTTCATTAAATTAAAATGAGGTCATCAGGGTGGGCCCTAATCTGCTGTGACTGGTGTCCTTGTAAGAATAGAGATTAGGACACAGACACACACAAAGGGACGACCATGTGTGGACAAAGGTAGGAATCAGCCTCTGCAGTCCAGGGAGAGAGGCCTTGGGAGGAATCAGACCTGCCAACACTGTGATCTCGGACTTCCCGCCTCCGGAACTGTGAGGAATTGCATCTCTGTTGTTTAAGGCCCCAGTGTGCTACTTTGTTAGGGCAGCTGGAGCAGATGCACACGGATGAGATCATTCCGTAGTATGAATTTCCACCGATGGCAAACACCAGTATATAGCAACATTGTTTCTTGCCTGCTGGCCACCACGGATTCATGAGCTTTCCATGGGTCATGGTTGACTTGGAGTTGAACAAATGAGATTGGGTCCTGAGAGGTTTCTGGGGCCTGAGGACTTGGAACTGGTGTTTGTCTATCCAGGAGCCACCTCCGTTAGCCCTTTTCCTTACTACCTCTAACCCCTCTCGGGTGCCTTGCATGGGAGGCTGGTGGGTTCGTCTGCCCTACAAAGCTCCACATCCCTGACAGGTTTTGCCCTGTGAGCAGGTAAGTGTGGTAGAAGGAGAGCAGAGTGGCTTATGAAGTAGTTGCATTAGTCAGGGTTCTCTAGAGAGACAGGACTTATAGGACAGATGTATATATAAAAGGGAGTTTATTAAGGAGAATCGACTCACACGGTTAGAAGGTGAAGTCCCACAATAGGCCATCGGCTAGCCCAGGAGCAAGGAAGCAGTCCGAGTCCCAACATCTCAAAAGTAGGGAAGCCAACAGTGCAGCCTTCAGTCTGTGTCCGAAGGCCCGAGAGCCCCTGGCAAGCCACTGGTGGAAGTCCAAGAGTCCAAAAACTGAAGAACTTGGAGTCCAATGTTCGAGGGCAGGAAGCATCCAGCACAGGAGAAAGATGGAGGCTGGAAGACTCAGCCAGTCTCGTCCTTCCATGTTCCTCTGCCTGCTTTATCCTAGCCGCACTGGCAGCTGATTAGCTGGTGCCCAGACTGAGGGTGGGTCTGCCTCTCCCAGTCCACTGACTCAAATGTTAATCTCCTTTGGCAGCACCCACACAGACACACCCAGGACCAATGCTTTGCATCCTTCAATCCAATCAAGTTGACACTCACCATTAACCATCACAGTAGTGTTGAAAGAGAAAAGAGAAAAATTGGCAATGATCTTCTCATATTCGGAAACCAGTAAAATGGGAATGGGAATAAGTGTTATTCACGGTCCTTATTGGTGGAGCTAGCAGGCACTGGAGGCATGTCTGGTCCAGCCTGTGCCTTATTACAGATGGAAATGGGGGGAAGGGGGGCAGAGAGAAAAAGCGCCTTGCCCCAGGCAGAGCTGAATCCACACACTCCTCTCCTGACCTCCACTCCCCTGATATTTTTCCCTAGATCATCCTTATTTGAGAAATAGGAAAGGGAGAGAAAAAAGATTCTCTTCAGATTCAGAAATGCCTAATGCGTAGCAAACAATGCTTTTAAGCCCTGAAGGACTTCTGCAGCTGAAATTGCTTCTGTTTGTTTGGGTTCATGCTGCCTTTGCTCATTCCTCTCTGTCTGGAGGAGCTCTTAGACACAGCTCAACATTATCATCCACCTATTGTGTGAAAATGACGGCGAAGGTCAGAGAGTAACGCAGCAGGCTTATCTCAACTCATCTGAAAATTACCCTCATCACCGGCATTGTTGATGTTCCACCATGGATGCAGTGCCAACTCCACCCACACTTTCTTTAGGTTGCCCAGGTGAGGAGCGCAGAGGAGGGGAAGCAGGGCTGGCAGTGCATCATGCCTTCCACAAGATGCTGGGCGTGGAAGGTCAGTTGCCTCCCCGGCCCACGTGTGCTGAGAACTTCCTAGACCTGGCAGCCCCTGCCATGATCTTTCCATGGCAGTGCCTTCCTAGAGAGGGAGTGTTCCTAAGGGACTTGCTCTGGGGTCTTTCTCGGAAGGGAGACGCAGCCACTGCCAGGCCATGTGGATGTGGCTTAACAGATCCTTGGACATCATTGTCATCACCATCAAACACCCCAGCATTACTCTTCAGAGACAGTCTGATACATGGGCTTAATGACACTTGTCAAGTGGAAGTAAGAAAAGAAGGATTGGACTAGGGCAGCTGCCGAAGGTGGCCTGGGTTCAACCAAGTTCAACAAATAATAACCTTCACTAATAGGGCACCCACTGTGCACACCACGTCTGTCCATACCCTCTGTGGGGGAGTTCATCCCACAAGATGAATGCAGAGGGGCTTGAGGACTGGAGGGCCCACGGTTTTGCAGCCAGGAAGGGGCTGAGCTGGGATCATTCACTCTGTGTCGTGCAAAGCTGAGGCCTCTTCAGATGGCCACACTGCCCCCACTGGGGTCGTTTGCTGAATTCCCATGACCTGGCGGGCACTGGGCCAGCTAACAGGGACTTGCAAAGATTCTCAGCCTGGCATCTGGAATCTGTCCAAGAGCCTTGGGTGTGGACAGTAGAAACCCTGTCTCTACTAAAAATACAAAATTAGCTGGGCATGGTGGTGCATGCCTGTAATCCCAGATACTCCGGAGGCTAAGGGAGGAGAATCGCTTGAACCCGGGAGATGGAGGTTGCAGTGAGCTGAGATCAAGCCATTGCATTCCAGCCTGGGCAACAAGAGTGAAACTCCATCTAAAAAAAAGAAGAATGAATGAAAATAAAGTCTTATTTTTAAAAAGCAACACTTGTTCATTGCTGAAAGGTTAAAAATGCAAAAGAACAAAAAGAGAAGAAAAAGCAACCACCTGTATTTTCACAACCAGAAATTAACTACCGTTACTTTTTGGTAGATTTTGTTTTGGTCTGTTTTTCCCTACTGATTAGTTTTCTCACAGAGTTGTAATTACCCATTGATTGTAGGCTTCAGTAGATAGAGTCTAAGTTTTTTTTTTTCATTTTCCATTTTATCCTTAATACCTGTAGAGTGCATTTGGTATGCAGATGGTGCTCAATAAATGGTTTTAAATAAATTTGTAGAATAATAATATATATTTGAATAATAGTATACATCCAGGTTTGCAGCCTCCTGTCCTCATTTAAAGTTTTAATCTATTTTCCCACATTTTTACTGTATTTTTCTAAATAGCGTCTTTTAAATAAATGCATAGTTTAATGTACATATTTTAATGTACTTGCCACTTTCCTGTTGTTGAATATTTTAGACAATTTGCAAGTTTTTAGAATATAGTATATTCTCAATAAGTAATAAAGCAATGAACATCTTTGTGTAGAAAGGTTTTTTTCCCCATATTCTGGGGTATTTCATTTGGATGGCTTCCCAGAAGGTACTTAACAGGTCAAAGTACTGAACATATTTACTTCAAGTCCTTTGGCTATACATGGCTATAAGCGCCTTTTCAAAGTGTGTGCCGACTTATATTCTCATCAGCAGGATGAGTGAGTGGCTCAGGCAGGCAGAATGTGAGGTCTGGAATCCAAAGGCCTGGACTGATGTCCTGGCGCTGTCAGCCCCTTACAGGTGCTGTTGGGTAAGCTGCTTAAGTTCCCTGGGCCTCCGTTTCCCCTTATGTAAAGTGGAAGTGATGGCAATAGCTCACAGGACTGTGGTGAGAATCACATGAGCAAGAGTTGTGACAGTGCGTCTCGGACTGTCAGACTCTGAAGTGTGGGTTCTCTGGTGAAATGACTTACTATCCGGTAGGCATCAAGCCTGCAGCACCCCAGGACTCAAGAGGTATAGACCCCTGGCAGCCAGGGGCACAGCACCCAGAGACTCAGGGTTACAACACTTGGGACTCAGGTGTACAGTATCCTGGGGTTCAGTTGTGAACTGCCTTTGCTACCCGTGGCTGAAGTGTGCATTATCATCTGTACTACCTGGGGCTCAGGTGTGCGTCACCTGCATTACCTGGGGCTCAGGTGTGCGTCACCTGCATTACCTGGCACTCAGGTGTGTACTACCTGCGGCTCAGGTTCTCAGTACCTGGGACTTAGGAGTTTAGTCCTAAGAATCCCATGTTTTGATGTTCCTGCCCACCTCCTCTAGCCTGCTGAAATTTGAGCTACAGCTGCTCACATTCAAAAAACTGGAACTGTCTTCCAGTTCTAGTGACTCAGGTCAAGGTTTGCTCAACAGCCTGAGTACACAGGCTCGCTGTTCTGTTACTCGTGGCTTCTAACAAACTGTTTGCCAAAGGATTATGTCAAGAAACACTTGGAAGTGAGAGGTAATTTCTTTCTCTGGTTAAATACACTAGGTCAGAACTATCCTAACAAGTCTCTTCCCTCAGTTGTAGAGGAAAAGAAGGGTACGCAGGTGGTGAATTGCAGCGCTTGGTTGGCAAGGACTCAGCAACAGACAGGAACAAGACGAGCAGAGATCACAGGCAGAAAGGCGATCCACCTTCTAGGAACCTCTATTTCATTTCACCCTCCCTCCTTCCCTCCTTGCCTTCCCTCCCTGTGTTCTTTCACTCATTTATCCAGCATCTACATTGGTTAGAATACGTGGATTAGAAAATGCAACTCCTGCTCTTAGGGCCTTCTAGGCCTAGGAGGGGACATCAGAGTGAGGGAGTGGTGATGATGTAGTTGTGTGAGGGCTGGGACAGAGGGTGCTGGGCGCTAGGGAGCACAGAGACAGCCAGCCCCAGCTTCTCTTAAAGGTTCGGGGCACATGGGGGCCACATTTAAGGGATGTGCTGAGCAAAGGACAGTAGCATGGGATCCCTGTTTGTGTCAGGGGCCTTCCCACAATGAACTAATTGGGAGGGAGGTGAGGCCTGGCTCCTGAAGCTGTCACATGGCAGCAGCGGGATCTGAGGAGTACAGAGGGCTGGTGCCTTGGGGAAACCAGAAGCCAGCTGGCCCAAGGGCATCAAGTTCTACTTCTGGAGGCTGAGGCCAGCCATGAGCCCCGAGGCTCAAGAAGACCCCTCTGGCAGCTCACAGGTCCGAAGGGGATTGCAGAGGTTCTTTTATGGCTATGCAGAGACTGTGAAGCGCTTGTTAATTTCCCGAAGGAAACTGCGTGGCTGCTCCTGTGTGTTCTCCTCCCCTCTCACCTGGCTCATGTGATAGGAACAATGCTTTCCCAAGGCAGCGTGTGATGTGACCGGGGCCCCTTCCAGCATAAGAAGGGCTGCCTCACTGGGGTCTGTGCTGTCAAGCGCAGGACGCCAGTTGGCTTTCCTCTCTCCTGTTCTTTTGGCTTTCCACTTCACACTCCACACAAATGTGTAGGCAGCAGAGATCGCACGAGTATCAACAGAAAAGAGCATCAATAGCTACAGTATATTGATCACTTACTATGTGCCATGCACTGGGCTTGCAGGATGACATTTAGTTCCTAGGAGCAGCCCACAAATTAGCGATCATGACTTGCCATTTTACAGATGAGGATCCCAAGCCTGAAGGTATTAGGTGACTTGCACACAGCTGGCAAAATGCAGAGCTGGAATCTGCTTCAGGTGATCCAATTCTAGGACACACACTATCAACCACTTCTCTATACTCCTCTCAGTGGAAGGAGAAGGCACGGTGATATATAATTTGTCAAACGGGCCAAGCAACCTTGTTGAAAACATGGACATCCTATGGTGAGGTGAATGAGGCCCCAGTATGTCTCTGGGTGGGGCTGACACTCTACATGTCAGTAGATAAAATTATGGTAAATATTGTGGAATTTAAGAAAACCAGGAAGTTAAAAGTGGAAGTAAACTAAATAGAAGTGGGGTGACAATCATACAGAAGAAAGGAAATACTTTAAAAAGATAAAGTGCTCTCTCACAAGGATACCATATACGTGCCTCAAGATTCCTAATATCTGTTGAATGATGTATCAGGACTATTAACTGAAAATAAAAGATTGTCATGAACAGCCAGTAATTGGCTGGTCTCTGAGGTGCGTGAGATCAGAGGGAAAAGAACTAGCATTGGAATATTTCCTATGTGGCAGGGATGAGCAACCTCTTCATTTAACCTTTACCTCACTCTGGGATGTGGCCTCCATCCTCATCCTCATTTTGCAGATGAGGCTATAGGGGGTGCCTAAAGTCATGCAGCAAGTCAGTGAATCTGGACAGGAACCAGGTCTGGCTGCAAAGCCAGGGCGAGCTCATTCTGTTATGTTAACCTGTAGCGGACCCACCTCACTGTTCTCACACAGTGACAGGCAAAAAGCAATAGCTTGACAGACATGTATGTCTTGATGAATGACTGGGTGTATTGGATGATCTTGGCCTGGTTTGGTGGAGCCAGAATTTGCAGCAATGTCTATGTGCTGTGAGCTGCTCTGGAGTCATACAGAAAGGAAGCTTCGGGTTGACAACCAGATCCCAGTGGACAGGCCTGGAGAATCCCAGGTCGCTGACAGTGTCAGCAGTGAGACTCTCAGGGACACGTGCAGATGTCCCCCTGCCCCAGTTCTCCCTTCTTACTGCCGGGCTGCCACCTCCAAGCCCAGATGGGGTTCCTCTCCCAACATGCTCTGCTCAAGGAAACACGGATCAACATTCACTTCTTTGGGAGGCTCTCGGCCTCTGTGATTTCCCTCCCTGGACTTTGTGCTCTGATCTTCTCCCCCGTAGAAGACTTCATTCTTCCTTTTTAGGGATAAGAGAAGAGAGAGTCACGTGGCAGCAGGGGTTGTGGTTGCTTGCAGGGAGGGAGGCCCTGAAATGACATCAAATCAGCACCTTCTCTTTCCTGAAACCAATCTTAAGGGCACTGATATGCACTTGTTTATTCTGTCCTCTGGAAAGACTGACATTAGCCATGGCTTTCAAGAAATTATGCTGTGCTGTTCACAATAGCAAAGACATGGAATCAACCCAGGTGCCCATCAACAGTAGACTGGATAAAGAAAATGTGGTACATATACACCATGGAATACTACACAGCCATAAAAGAGAATGAAGTCATGTCCTCTGCTGCAACACGGATGCAGCTGGAGGCCATTATTGTATGCGAATTGATGCAGGAACAGAAAACCAAATCCTGCTTGTTCTCACTTATAAGGGGGAGCTGGGCCATGGGTACTCAGGTACATAAAGATGGCAACAGTAGATGCTGGGGACTACTAGAGGGGACAGGGAGGGAGGCCAGGATCGAAAAACTGCCAGGTACTATGCTCACCAGCTGGGTGACAGCATCAATCATACCCGGAACCTCAGTATCACGCAATATACCAATGTAAGAAAGCTGCACGTGTGCCCCCGGATCTAAAATAAAAGTTAAAATTAAAAGAAAATAAAAAATAAAAAAGGCAGTTATGCTCTCAAGGAGCTGGGTTGTTGAGGCCAGGCTTAGAAGGGTCCCCATTATACATGCACTGTTCCTGCAGGTGACTGCTTGCTTCTGCTCCAGAAACACACAGATGGGTCAGAGGGACAGACTGATGACTTCTCAATGTCTGAAGGATGATCACAAAAAAGGGATAAAATAGTCATTCGTGGGCCAAGATGTAGAACACAAGTCAGAGGGTGGAAAATATACCATGGTAAAATTTGGCACCATGAAAATGAGGCACTTTACTATTAATAAGAAGATCAATAATAAACTTGAAGTTAAGAAAAGACTAATGGTCTTGAGAGCAGCTGTACTTTGAACTGTATCATTATGCATGTGAGACTCAGGTTGCCTGAATTTTTCTGAGCCCTGGATTCCTCTTATTTAATGGAGATGGTAACATAGTGTATAATTCACAAGGTAGTTGTATGGATTAAAGAGACACCTGGACTAGCCGTTGTGCACCAAGAGCTCCACAAACGAGATTTCCTCTGCAACAATTAGGGCTGTATTAGGGCTGTCTTTGAAGGGAATGACCTGTCTTCATGGTTGGGGAACAGTCCAACACTGGCAAAATTTAAGAAAACGTTAGATGACCTCTTGATGGGATAAAGTGGAAGGAGGAGATTCTGACACTGGGAATTTCCAAATCTGATGGAGCCCAGGGGTCTGGTGGATTCGCCAGGCCTTTCACAGGGAGCAGGAAGGAGCAGCCCTCCCGGCCAGCTGCCTCCTGCCTGATAAGGAAGGACATAGGTAGAAATCCATCCAAACTAAACAGAGGGCTGAAGAGTGCAGTGGTTGGAGTAGGACTGTTTCCTGCGGAGGTGTGTCCTTGGTTATGATCCCTGGTCAGGGGAGGGATTGTGCCCTGGGGAGCCCTGGTATGTCTTTCAGTCACCGCTGACACCAGAGGACAAGACTCAGCTGCAGCCCCATGGCCAGCACCCTTGCATTCTAGTTGGAGAGGAAGAGACATTTACATCAAAAGGTTAATAACTATAGGAGCCAACTTAACAATCTGAGCTGCACTGAGGGAGGAGGTTGAAGGAGGCATGATTACTTGGCATTAGAGTTGCCGGGAAATGTTGGAAAATGAATGAGCTCAAAGGGCTTTGATTATGGGTGGGATTTGGATACCTAGAAAGGTGTAAGGCCAGAAATCCAGGCAGAAAACCTGATGGGAAGAAAACCCAGGGGCTGGAAAGCTCTGCCAGGTCTATTTCAGGGCTAGCAGCAGCTCTCTTTGCTGTGGTGGGGAGAGAGATTGACAAGAGGCAGAAGAGTGGTGTCAGGCCCGGGCTGTGCAGGGCCTTGGCTGCCGGGCTCTCCTCCCCAGCTGGACAGTGATCTCCAAACAGCAGGGCTGGTGTGGCTTCCTTACTCCTGAAGCTAACCAGACTGGGAGGGGCTCAGTACAAGTTGAGAACGTGAATTGACTGGCATGCTGGAAGGTTTGCTGGTCAGGCATTCGGGGAAGGTTACTATGTTGGGGGGGAAAGAATGGGATGGAAGGATGCAAAGACATTGCAAGGGGGGACTGTGTGTCTGTGAAGATGAGGAAGGGGAAATTGGAGAGGAGGCTGACTTTTCTCAGTGTGGGGAGTGGGTGGATTCTGGGAGAGTGGTAGCTGCAGGATGGACCTGCCAGTCCCTACTGAGAGTTCCTTACTTCTGACACTTTTCAGAAGCCCAGGAAGGCACATTCAGCTGGTTGGGGATGCCAACAATTTGACTGTTGGAAGAAATGAGATAGGCCACAATACTGACTGTCCCCTGAGCACCTGCTGTGCAGCAAGAAGTGTGTGGGGACTTCACACACACCACCTGCTGTAATGCCAGCCGTTGGCAGGCAGGTGATCACCCACCACCCCCAAGGAAGCTGACAGGAAACAACTGAGTGGACAGCTTGGTGTCTCTGGGCAGTGAGGAGCTCTGGGGTGGACCCCAAGCACTGCGATGTCCCAGCCTATCCTCCATCTAACACAGCAGCATCCTCTTCCTCACGTGTGGCGGGTCGAGGAGCAGCTGCAGCTGGTCTCCTCCAGCCATTCCCTCTGCAGCTTAGCATCCAGCCTCCACTCCTCTTGGGGAGCTCAGAGGCCAGTTCACCACAAGACGGTACCTGGGGCTGGGTCGGAAGCAGCTCTTCAGTGGCCATGGGTTCTTTCTGGAAGGTGGTGACTCATGCTTGCAGAAATTCTCCAGGGCCTCAGGATTCAGAAGGGGAGCATTGTTCACTGGCACTCAGGGCCATCTCTCCATGGCTCAATTCACCACCCGTCAGTCACCACCGCCGGCCAGTGCTGTTGGAGCCCAAGGTTCTAAGTAGTAAATGCAGACGTGAGGAAAGTAAGATTGTTGCAGAGTCATCATCCTCCTTTGCCTCGTGCCTATCCCTCCTCCTGTCTTCCTCCTTCCAAGGGCCAGACGTCCTAATGTCAGCACCCATGCCAGGTCAATTGTGTCAGATGTACCAGCTGCGTGAAACACTCATTGAGTATCTGTTGCTTGACAGGCACTGCAAGGGCAAGTTTCAGCTCTAAGGTGCCCACAGGGGTCAAAGAAAAATCACATCATTTACTATTGGGACAAGAAGTAGAACATGGTAAATCCCTTAAGAGAAAATCAAGGCAAGGGACATGGAGCTCTGTTCCTTTGTTGCTGAGGACACGTAAGGAAACTCCAGGGAGAGGAGGGCACTGAAGCTGGATAGGGAAGGACATTCCTGGAGGAAGGAACAGCAACAGGAAGTGCAGGG